>NC_000001.11:68038683-68341713 GCF_000001405.40 Homo sapiens | reverse complement strand
AAATTCGTATGCTTTTCACTGATTAACCTTTTATTATAGATACCTCAGCTATAAACTCTGGAGGTGCAAGAAAAGATTTCTTCTCCCCTACAAACCTGATCATGTTTTCTAAGATTTTTCTTTAGGAAAATGCAGCTATGAAATTTATTTCACAATGTTTTCTGAGGGTGAAAAGAAATCGAGTTAGTGAAAGAGGCACATAGAGTGCTCAATCATGATGCTAATTCCCATCCTTGATTACAAAAATACAAACCTACATATTCCATAGTCATTAGAAACTTGTACACACACAGAAAAAGGACAAGATAAATATATATTAAACTCTTAAAGTTTTTATTTCTAGAGATTAACATTGAAGTGATTAACATTTTCTTCATTATGCCCCCCGTAGTTTCCAAATTTTCTAAAATAAACCTTTATGACTGTTATTACTTTTTCTTGTGGTAAATGATACATAACATAAAACTGGCCATTTAAAACATTTTTAAGTGTATATCTCAATGGCATTAAGTACATTCATCCCCTTGTGCAACCATCATCACCATTCATGTCTGGAACCTTCTTATCACAAACAGATACTCTTTACGCATTAAATCATAAATCCCTATTCTCCCCCGCTGCCCCATCCATTAAAGACATGGATGTCTTTAATGTTCATCCATGTCGTGGCATGTATCAGTTCATTCCTTTCTAAGGCTGAATAATAGTCCGTGTGTATATACCACATTTTGTTTATCCATTCATCCATCTGTGAATATTTTTATTGTTTCTGTTTTTTATCTATTGTGACATAGGAATGCAAACATCTGTTTGAATCTCTGCTTTCAGTTCTTTTGGGTCCATACCCAGAAGTGGAATTGCTTGATTATATCATAATTCTGCGTTTAATTTTTTGAGGAACTGTACTGTTTTCCACAGTGGCTCTGCCATTTTACATTTCTACAAGCCATGCTCGCAAAGCTTCCAATTTCCTCACATCCTTGTCAACACTTGTTATTTTTCGTTGTTTTGTTTCTAATAGCCATCCTAATGGGTGTGAAGTATAACTGATCATTGTAGTTGTTGCATTTCCCTGATGTGTTGACTTGCATTTCCCTAATGATTAGTGATGTTGAGCACCCTTTCATATTGTTGTTACTTTTTTAAAAGCTTCTATTTTGTAAAGATCTATTTCTCTAAGTGCTTCTCAAACTTTAATGTGCTTCTTAATATCCTCCAGGTCTTATTAAAATGCAGATTCTGATAGAGCAAGTTGGGATGGGCATTAGATTCTGCATGCCTAACAGTCTCCCAGGTGATCTTCAGGTCACACTTTGATTAGCAAGCCTCTAGGCTAGAAGAGGGACCCAGCCAGTCTTGAGTATCATACTTATTTGCACCTGGCCACCCATCTTTATCTTTGCAACAAAACTTTCCAGGTCTGGTTTATCTTCTCTCTCAAGGGTCATAAGGCCAAAGAAGCAGAACACAGATTTTCTCAAACTTAAGTCTGTGTGGCATAGAGCACTGGTGGCAAGGAGAATTAGAAGTCAACATATGCAAGCAGGACATTTAGACCCTTCATTTTACTCTATGGTGAGTAACTAAAAGAGAGGTTTTTCTAAGTGGATAATTTGTGGAGCAGAATAAAACAATCATACCAATTATCAGCTAAATCATGAGACTTCAAATAAATTTCCTGTATGTGGTGGGCAGCGTAGATCGATATTCCTGGACCTCCAGGAGTCCTGTGTCATTTTCCTTTGCCATGGGAATGCGTCAGGAAACAATTTGAAAAGCCTTCTGGTCTCTGAATTCAGAGGAGGGAGAAAGGATATGATAGGCTAAGAAGGACACAGTCACCTGACCCAGCTAGCATTTAATAAGAAAACACTTCCAAAGGAAAGTCAGCCCAGAAGTCAAATGAAATTTGGTTTGATAAATACTTAAAGGTAGCTGGAAGCTACTCTGCATGTGACAGTGATCAAGTTACTCCTCACCCAGTAGTGAGTAAAACAGGCATTGAGCAATTGTTACTGTTGCAATGAGTATTGCCAGCATAGCAGTAGAGGCCCCTGAGAGGGTATAACAGGAGGATTCAAACTAAGGAGTATGGCAAACCCTGAGCCAGACACTGGAGTGGCAGGAACTCCAGGAGGAGATGGACCAGCAGCTAAAAGGAGCACATGGAGTGGTGATTCCTAAACATCAGTCTGTGTGCCAAGTGGTAACTAATCGGCAGAGAAAGGGGAAAATAAGGACAGTCTCATGAGATTTTCACCAGGTTAAATTTACTCCATGTGGGAACTATCACTGGGAATTAAATTCTCCTTTTATAAAATGAAAAATATTCCTTTTTTATTTTTTTTTTGAGACTGAGTCGCTCTCTGTTGCCCAGGCTGGAGTGCAATGGCGTGATCCCAGCTCACTGCAACCTCTGCCTCCCAGGTTCAAGTGATTCTCCTGCCTCAGCCTCCCGAGTAATTGGGGTTACAGGAGCCTGCCACCACACCCAGCTAATTTTGTATATTTAGTAGAGATGGGGTTTCACCATGTTAGCTACGCTAATCTCAAACTCCTGACCCATGGTGATCTGCCTGCCTCGGCCTCCCAAAGTGCTGGGATTACAGGCACGAGCCACTGTGCCCGGGTTGCTGTTTTTTTTTTTTTTTTTAGACAGGGTCTCACTCTGTCACCCAGGCTGGAGTGCAGTGGTGTGATCATGGCTCACTGTAGCCTCAACCTCCTGGGCTCAAGTAATCCTCCTGCTTCAGCCTCCCAAAGCACTAGGATAATAGGTGCACAGCTCCACATCTAGTCCTGGACACTTTTTTTTTTTTTTTTTTTTTTTTTTTGAGACGGAGTTTCACTCTTGTTGCCCAGGCTGAAGTGCAATGGCGCAATCCCGGCTCACCACAACCTCCGTCTCCTGGGATCTAGTGATTCTCCTTCCTCAGTCTCCCGAGTAGCTGGGATTACAGGCATGTGCCACCATGCCCGGCTAATTTTTTGTATTTTTAGTAGAGACAGGGTTTCTCCATGTTGGTCAGGCTGGTCTCAAACTCCCACCCTCAGGTGATCCACCCGCCTCAGCCTCCCAAAGTGCTGGGATTACAGGCGTGAGCCACCATGCCCAGCCAGCCCTGGACATTTTATAGATATGAAACTTATGGCATTGAGAAACTTGTGGCTTTGAGTTCACCATAAACATGTTTTCTAAGCATCAATATCATCATCATTGCTAGAATTTTATAACTTCTTGCTGTGTGCCAAGCAACAGACTTAAGTACATCATATAGATTATTTTACTTAATTCTAATGACCCTACTATACATAGGTATTACTATAATTTTACACTTTACTGCTGAAGGAACTGAGTGTCTGGAGGTTATGTAACTTGCCTAGGCCCACACAGCTGGTGAGAAGTGGGGCTGCGGTTCCTAAAATAGGGATGTGAACTACTTCTTGCCACAATAGACTAACAGGGACTGGATTTACCCTCCCACCTTAAAAAACTAAAACTCTATATAAAACATATGAAACATTGGTTTTCAGACATTGAGAAACAGGCAAAGCAGGACAGTGATCCTTAAGAGAAGGGAAACAAAAAGATGAGTCCTACAATGCCCTAGCTCATTGTCTGGGGATGTTTCCAGGCTATATCAAAGGAGGGAGGAAACAAACAGAGCCTAGCAATTTAAGGACACAATGTTTGGAGCACTGGGAGGCCAGGCAGCTAAAATTTCTGGGCAGAGTACTGTAAAGGAGACAACTACACAGAAGGAAAGCTACAAAGAGATGCAGAGGGACCCCTTGCATCTTTAGTCTACACTAATCAGCACACATGTGTAGAGACACTACCGAGCCAGGAGAGAACCATCAGAAAAAAGCAATCTCCAGAACTCAGTGAGGGTCAGGGAATATTCTGTTTCTACTAGCAAGAGTAAAAGACCTCCTAAGATATGGGGTACAAAATAGAGTACTCAAAAGTTATCACTTTAGCAATCAGGCTAAATTAATCCTATACTAAAAACTGATCTGGTCTTTCCTAACAAAGATTAAAAGCAAGTCAAAAGGATCAATTTGTTTCCAAGTAACTTAGTTACATCCCAAAATAAAGCCTAATAAGTATTTGAAGGATTGGAAAAAATCTACACCCCAAAACATAACATTAACAATGTCTGCTATTCAATCAAAAGTTTGTAGGCATGAAAAGAAGCAGGGCCGGGCGCAGTGGCTCATGCCTGTAATCCCAGCACTTTGGGAGGCCTAGGCAGGTGGATCACGAGGTCAAGAGATCGAGACCATCCTGGCCAACTTGGTGAAACCCCGTCTCTACTAAAAATACAAAAATTAGCTGGGCATGGTGGCGGGCTTCTGTAATCCCAGCTACTCAGGAGGTTGAGGCAGGAGAATCGCTGGAACCCGAGAGGCGGAGATTGCAGTGAGGAGAGATTGCACCACTGCACTCCAGCCTGGCGACAGAGGAAGACTCCGTCTCAAAAAAAAAAAAAAAAAAAAAAGAAAGAAAGAAAGAAAGAAAAGAAGCAGGAAAAAGACCGATATCAAACTTATGGTGATGGAAAACAAGCAACAACAGTATAATGTCTGAGCTGAAAGGTCACATGACTAGGAAGTGGCAGAACTTGAGGTTTTAACTCTGGACTAACTCCAGGTTTGGTGCTCATTGCACTACTAAACTAGTTTTGTGGCAGGCAGAAAAGCCTGAGAGAGTGAGAGAGAAGGCAAATTAAGCACTATTTTCTTTTTCTTTCTTTTTTTTTTTTTCACTTAGCCTTGACTTGAAACTCACATTTTCTTAATTAAGCCAATTGGCCCACAAATGTAAGTAGCATTTTAAAAATTTCCCTGATAAGCAAAAGCTGGAAGCATTTCCCATAAGAACAGGAAAAAGTCAAGGATGCCCACTTTCACCACTCCTATTCAACATAGTACTGGAAGTCTGAACGAGAGCAATCAGGCAAGAGAAAAAAAGTAAAAGGCATTCAAATAAAAAATGAAGACGTCAAATTATCTCTGTTTTCTGTTGATATGATTCTATACCTACAATACCCAAGAAACTCTGTCAAAAGGCTCCTAGAACTGATAAATAACTTCAGTAAAGTTTCAGGATACAAAATCAATGAATACAAATCAGCAACATTTCTATACACCAGTAGTATTCAAGCTGAGAGCCAAATCAAGAACACAATTCCATTTACAATAGCCACACACAAAAATAAAATATTTAGGAATACATCTAACCAAGGAGGTAAAAGATCTCTATAAGGAGAGCTACAAAACATTGCTGAAAGAAATTACAGATGACAAATAAATGGAAAAACAGTCCATGCCCATGGATTGAAAGAATCAATATTGTTAAAATAGCTATACTGCTTAAAGCAATCTACAGATTCAATGCTATCCTTACGAAACTACCAACATCTTTTTTTTCAGATTTAGAAAAAAAATTTAAATTGATATGGAATCAAAAAAGAGCACAAATAACCAAATAACTTTGAAGCAAAAAGAACAAAGCCAGAGGTATCACATTACCTGACTTCAAACTACTATAAGGTTACAGTAACCAAAATAGCATGGTACTGGTACAAGAGCAGATATATAGACCAATGGAACAGAATAGAGAGCCCAAAATTAAGCCTCACATCTACAGCCATCTGACCATCAACAAAGCTGACAAAAACCAACAATGAGAAAAGGACTCCCGGCCGGGTACAGTGGCTCACTCCTGTAATCCCAGCACTTTGGGAGTCTGAAGTGGGTGGATCACAAGGTCAGGAGTTCAAGACCAGCCTGGCCAACATGGTGAAACCCCATCTCTACTAAAAACAAAATACAAAATTTTGCCAGGCATGGTGGCGTATGCTTTTAATCCCAGCTACTCAGGAGGCTGAGGCAGGAGAATTGCTTGAATCCAGGAGGTGCAGGTTGCAGTGAGCTGAGATCGTGCCACTGCACTCCAGCCTGGGCAAAAGAGCGAGACTCCATCTCAAAAAAAAAAAAAAAAAAAAAAGACAAAAGGATTCCCTATTCAATAAATGGTGCTGGGTTAGCTGGCTAGCCATATGCAGAAGGAGGAAACTGGACCCCTATCTTTTACCATATGCAAAAATTAACTCAAGATGGATTAAAGATTTAAATGCAAGACCTCAAACTATAATAACCCTGGAAGAAAGAATACGAGTTGCCCTTCTCGACATCGGCTTTGGCAAAAAATCTATGGCTAAGTCCTTAAAAGCAATTACAACAAAAACAAAAATTGACAAGTAGGACCTAATTAAACTAAAGAGTTTCTGCATATCAAGAAAAACTATCAACAGGGTAATTAGACAATATATAGAATGGGAGAAAATATTCATAACCCATGCATCTGACACAGTTTTAATATCCGGAATCTATAAGGAACATAAACAACTCAATAAGCAAAAAACGAATAAGCACATTGAAGAGTGGGCAAAGGACATGAAGAGACACTTCTCAAAAGAAGACATAAAAGCAGCCAACAAACATATGAAAAAATGCTCAACATCACTAATCATCAGAGACATGCAAATCAAAACTGCTATGAGATATCAACTTACACCAGTCAGAATGGCTATTAAAAAGACCAAAAATAACAGATGCTGGTAAGGCTGTGAAGAAAAGAGAACACTTACACGTTGTTAGTGGGAATGTAAATTAGTTCAGCCACTGTAGATAGCAGTCTAGAGATTTCTCAAAGAACTTAAAACAGAATTACCATTTGACCCAGCAATCCCATTACTGGGTATATACCCAAAGGAAGATAAATTATTCTAGAAAAAAAGACACATGCATTTGTACGTTCATTGCAGCACTATCCACAATAGCAAAGACATGGAATCAACCTAGATGCCCATCAACAGTGGACTGGATAAAGAAAATGTGGTCAGCCTGACATGGTGGCTCACACCTGTAATCCCAGCACTTTGGGAAGCTGAGGTGAGAGGATTGCTTGAGCCCAGAATCCAAGACCTGGGCTCAAACTGGGCAACATAGTGAGAACCCCATCCTCACAAAAAATTTAAAAATTAGCTAGGTGTGGTGGTGCATGCCTGTAGCTATTTGGGAGGTTCAGGCAGGAGGATTGCTTGAGCCCAGGAGTTTGAGGTTAAAGTGATCTCTGATCATGCCACTGAACTCCAACCTGAGTGACAGAGTGAGAACCTGTCAAAAAAAAAACGAAAAGAAAGAAAATGTTATACATATGCACCATGGAATACTACACAGCCATTAAAAAAAATCATGTCCTTTGCAGCAATATAGATGCAGCTGGAAGGCATTATCCTAAGTAAATTAACACAGGAACAGAAAACCAAATACCACATGTTCTCACTTGTAAGTGGGGGCCGAACATTGGGTACACATGGACATAAAGATGGGAACAAGAGACATTGGGGACTACTAGATAGGAAAGAAAAAGTTGGGGGCAGGGGCTGAAAAACTACCTATTGGGTACTACGCTCACTACCTGGGTGACATGGACTTTTGGTAACAATGATGTGCTAAAGCAGGTTCCTCAACGGAAAGGAATGTACTCCTCTGGTGGGGGATGTTGATGATGGGGGAAGATATGCACACACGGGGGCAGGCATATATGAGAAATCTTCCTTTCTCTCAATTTTGCTGTGAACCTAAAACTGCTCTAAAAAAATAAAGTCCTAGGCCGGGTACAGTGGCTCAGGCCTATAATCCCAGCCTTTTTGGAGGCCAAGGTGGACAGATTGCTTGAGCCCAGGAGGTTGAGATCAGCCTGGGCAACATGGCAAAACCCCATCTCTACAAAATATACAGAAAAGAAAAGAAATTGGTGAGGCTTGGTGGTGTGCCCTTATAGTCCCAGCTACTCAGGAGGCTGAGGCAGGAGGATCACTTGAGCCCAGGAGGTTGAGGCTGCAGTGAGCTGAGATTATGCCACTGCACTCCAGCCTGGGCAACAGAGTGAGGCCAAGTCTTGAAAAAATAAAACAAAAAAGTCCATATTATTTTTTTTAATTGCCTGGATATGTTTAAACTTTCTCCTTCTTACACCACACAGTAGGGATCAAGGCTCAGTAGCCACTGCCCTGCATTGTCTCTGATAATCAAAGTAGAGGGTACAAGGAAAAAAAAAGAACAGCCATTACTACACAAGTGTAACTTTAACCATACCTGGGTGAATTTGCTTAATTTTCTTCCCTGTTGAGAATATTCACGTCTCATTTTTAAAAAGATAAACCCATGTGATAAAAGTTCAGCTCAGTCACTATTCAGATGCATGAAGAAGCTCTTTGTTGATCCATCAAAGCCATAAGAGGCCTCAGAGAAGACAAGGACACTATTTTTAATGGGAAAAGATTCTGGATATCCCCAAGGTAAGTCAGTCTCTGATTTGTGGCTCCCACATTTCACCACGGTGGAGTTGGAGTCTCTCTTTTGGGCTTTTCAAGATATTTTCAAGAGCAATATTTAAACAGCTAAAAGAAATAAAGAGTTTTCCAGTCTCTGCCACATTTATTTGCCTATTACACATTACTAACTATACCTGAGTTTATCTACTCAGGAAAAGCAGACTAAGTAAGATGTTACATAAATGCAAAGCATCCATGCATGCAAACATAAATGCATAGCATCTTAGAATCAGACACAATCTCAAAAATCATCTAATCCACCCCCGTCATTTTACAGATGAAGAAAGCAGGACCACACACATGGATAATGGCAGAGCTGGAACTAATGTCTGTACTTTACTTCTCAGAAGACTGTAATACATGTGGGAAGCCATGGATCTACCTTTCAGAAGCTGTGGGAATTTGGGCTGGATCCTTAAACCTTTCTAAATGAGAATAATGCCTTCTGTAGATTCGATGAAATAATGTATGTGTGTTACCTTAAGTTTATTTCAGTGGCTTCCATACAGAAAAGACTTACTAAGTTAACTTAATGTCCCCCAGAACTTGTTGACTAGGAATCTCTCTCTGAGAAGGAAACCAGTAGGGATCTATACAAAATGGGAAAAGATCTATCACCTAAGAGCCAATAAACATGGATCTTTCCAAGTCTAGTAAAAATAATTGAGATACATTTTCAGGAAGGTGTAACTAGAATACAATTTATGGTGGAGGGAAGAGCTGTGGTCTAATGAATTCCTTGTAATCTTCCTAAGATGGTAATGGAAAAGGAGGCTTAGCTTGCATTGGGACTAGAAATAGGCAATGAAAGAACATGAATTGGCCATGTTGCCTCCATCCCCGTCCAAGAGAGGTGATGCCATGAGCTGGATAACAGTGACTATTTTCATCCAGGAAATTTTTTCCTCTGATTCTATGCTGCTTCCCATGCACTTTTCTAAGAGTAATGTATGTTAGGACCATCCCCAGTTCCTTTTTCCCCCAATCTCCTCTCCTTTCCTCCCCTTCTTGCCCTTTCTCCCTCCCTCTCTCTGAGTCTCACTCCATTCTGGGCCATGTGGTACACAGATGTAAAGCAATGCAGCCGTTTTGCCACCATAAAAGAAACCAGCCTTAAAGGAAACAAGACACTGCAGAAGGCAGAGACGAGGCACTTCTGTGTGCACACTTGCACACACAACGCATATACAACAAACATACAAACAAAATCAGACTTTGATAATGTTGTTAAATGTCTAATCAATCCAACTCCAGGTCTCACTCCGAATTTCCTTTTCTAGAAACCCCCATTTGTGTCACCTATTTTGAATTGTAGTTGTTGTAACTTGCGACAGAATGCAACCTACTTGATCAAAATCGATTTATGCTGAGAACTTTCCTAAATGAAAGATGATAATGTACTAGTTAGCTAACATATATATTTGTCCACATGAAAAATGACTTCAGATAAAGCTAACAAATTAGCATTAAATTTTGTTTCAGTCACATATAATTTTGTTTCACATGATTCATTTATTTGTTGCGTGCACTTGGACATGCCTTTTAACCTCACAGAGTAGATTACTTCTTGCAATATCAAGAATTTTACATTTCTGGACCTATAAGTCAGACCCTGAGATGTGGTCACCATGCTCCGGTGTTGCATCTTGTGTGACCCAGGCTGCATATCCACATTTATCTCATTTCTCTCCTTATCAAGGTCCAGCTCAGAAGACTCCTATTCCAGTGCTTTCCACCAAGCCACATGCTCATTAAGTGGTTAATTACATCATGGGCTTGAAAGTAATAAAACAGTGTTTCTTACTTTTTGTTAACTCAAATAGGCCTTCCCTCCAATTAGTGTAAATTATTGAGGTTTTATTACATACATACATATGTGTTTGTGTTTGCAAAGTTCCACTGATGAATAATGACTGTGCAGCCACCCACAGACCAGATGGAAATGGTTGGAGATCATTAAATAAAACATTGTTAGGTCATTTCCACCATATAATCAGCAACAATGGCTGTGGTTAGACTTGTTATATAAACAGATGGAGGAGAGGATGACTCACTGAGTACCAGAATAATCAAGCTCTAGGTATCCCAAACACAAAACTTCTAAGAAATAAGCTTGGGGACTGCTGAGCATGGAGTGGGTGGAACCCTTGGTTGAAGGAGTAGTGACCAGCACTGAATCATTGATCACTGAGTGTTGGCGATGGCTTGAGGTTGTGAAAAGACATTCTTCCTTCTTCCTTTCTCTTCCTTCCTCCTTTCCATCTTTCATTCACTCTCTTCTGTCTTCCTGCCTAAAAACATTTATTGAAGTAAAATATATGTCACCCATGGGTCAGGGTCTTTAAAAATATATAATCTAATCACTGTCATAAGCATTTCCTGGTTCTATGGCCTTGGCCAAGCCTAGAAGTACAGTTTCTGCATTGAAAACTGCAGATATACTCCTAGCTATTCAGGGATCTGAGGTAGGAGGATCACTTGAGCCTGAGATGTTGAGGCTGCAGTGAGCTGAGATCACATCACTGCACTCCAGGCCTGGATGAATGAAGTGAGACCCTGTCTCCTAAATAAATAACAAATAAAACTGAAGATAAAGGTGTTTCTCATGTCTCTATCCCACAGGTTTGCTTTGAAGATCCAATGAAATTAGAAAGATGAATGAAACCTCTGTGAAATATTCCTTGCCCAGCACCACTACAGCTCTTTAGCAGATAATACCATCCTTGTGCTTTGTTTCTCAGCATATTTTCACTAATAGCTTTATAACACGTTACAGTCAAGCATATGACATTTGTTATCAGAAGAATCACGTTTCAGTCTCAGCTCCACCATTTAATGTGGAATATCTTTTAAAGGTCTCTGAGCCTCAGGAGATTGTTGGGATGAGCAAATTATGAAAGAGAAAGAAAGAAAAAGAAAGAAAGAAAGAAAGAAAGAAAGAAAGAAAGAAAGAAAGAAAGAAAGAAAGAAAGAAAGAAAGAAAGAAAGAAAGAAAGAAAAGGAAAGAAATGGTTAGAAATAAGTTAGGGTGTTTTTGGTTGTGAGAACCAGTTAAAAAGTGTTGGGGAGAGGAAAGTTGATTCTCAGGATTTAGACTGAAGCAGGAACAAGAAGATATCAGAGCCCAAGTCTCCCCTGAAGACTAGACAGATCTGTTGAACTCTTTCTCATTGCATCTCTGTTTCTCTCCACCTGTCTGCTTAGTACTCACTGAATAATTTAGACAGAATCCTGAAGTGAATCACCCTGAATGATAAAGACATCATGTCCTCAATGAAACCATCCTCTGCACAAGATACCTCCAGACAAGCCAAGGATGGACTATCCTCTGCCCACCGTGGCCCCATCAGCACAATTCTCTTGATTAGGGGGCTGTAGGTGGCAGAGGGATGTTGTAAATGTCAGGAAACATCACTAACTATTCAAAAATAAGATAAAAGCAGATAAGAACATTGTATTGATAAAGGGAAACTGCCCCTGAGCTCTCAGAGGGCATGTTTAATGGTGTTACACAGAAGATGCCACTGCTTAGTGGGAGGAAGAGATTAGATTCCATTCAGAAAATAACTATTTTTACTAAAAGGATTTTTTTTTCAATGCAGCTGGCAGAGAGAAAAAGAAAGCAAGTATTGTGGGGAAGAGGGGGGAGTAGAGGAGGCCAAATACAGTATCGGCATCCAGAGTGTTGAGAGGAAATGAGGGAATCAAAGATGAAACACCCTGCAGCCATTCCCATAGTAAAAAGCAAAGCAAGTGGTTAGCATTTTGCAAGGAGTTTGGGGGGGATCCAGTCTCCTCAGCAATATTGATACAATTTGAATACTTAATGTGAATTCTGAGAAATAACATAAGAAATTACTAGTAAGCACCTCTCAAAGCCTGTTTGAGATACTATAACAAAATACCATAATCTGTGTGGCTTTTAAATAACAGAAATGAGACTAGGAAGTCCAAGGTCAAGGTATGTATTAGTCTGTTCTCATACTGATATGGAGAAATACTGGAGACTGGGTAATTTATAAAGGAAAGAGATTTAATTGACTCACAGTTCCACATTCCTGGAGAGGCCTCAGGAAACTTACAATCATGGCAGAAGGCAAAGGAGAAGCAGGCACCTTCTTCAGGGGGCAGCAGGAGGGAGTGAGTGCAAGCAGGGGAAATGCCAGATGCTTATAAAACCATCAGATCTTGTAAGACTCACTCACTATCATGAGAACAGCATGGGGGAAAATGCCCCATGATCCAATTACCTCCACCTGGTCCCACCATTAACACATAGAGATTATGGGGATTACAATTCAAGGTGAGATTTGGGTGGGGACACAGCCAAACCATACCAAGGTGCCAGCAGATTCTGTACTGGTGATTGTCTGCTTCCTTATAAATAGCACCCACTTGCTGTTCTTATGTGGTGGAAGGGGTGAGCTAGCTCTTTGGGGTCTTCTTTTATCAGGACACTAATCTGACTCATGAGAGCTCTGTCCCTCATGGCCTAATTGCCTCCCTAAGGCCCCCACTTCCTAATACTATCACCTTGGGGGTTAGGATTTCAGCATATGAATTTGGGGGAGGAAATAAACATTCTGATGATAGCAGCGCCCTAACAAATATGCACAGCATCACTTGGGAGGAATGTAGGACATCAGAGGAAATTCCACAGAACTCAGAAGAAGACAAATCTAAACTGAACCAAAAGCAAAGCTCTCTCTTCAGTAATACTCATCTGCCATGAGTTGACTTGTATCACCCCAAAAATAGATATATTGGATGGCTAACCCCCAGTACCTCAGAATGTGACTTTATTTGCAAATAAGGTATTTGCAGAGGTAATCCATTTTCTTAAAATGTCATAAAGGAGGGCCCTAATACAATATGACTGGTGTCCTTATAAAAAGGGGAGATTTGGACACAGAGGCAGACACGCCTAGAAGGAAGATGATATGAAGACATGATGAGAAAGCTATTTATAAGTCAAATATCAGCAGCAAACCACCAGTAGTGAGGAGATAGATGAGGAAAAGATTCTCCATCACGGCCCTCAGAAGGAACCCACCCTACTGACACTTTGATCTTGGACCTCTAGCCTAAATTCTGTTGTTTAAGCCACACAACTTATGGTACTTTGTTACGGAAACCTCAGAAAACTATTCGTCATCTAAGGATGTTCACCAGTTCCTTAGTGAGAAGGAGAGGAGAAAGTGATAGTCTACACTCCATTGATAAGCACACAATGTTTTTGCTTATAAATGATCTGACACTGCTTTGTTAAAGTGTATAGGTTCTTGATCTCCAATATAGACTCAGTTGTTGAACCATCTCCTTCATCCCTGAGTTAGGAAGCCCTTTCAGATCTATTGTAAATATTTGAAAATGGCACACTGCACCTGAGTATTGCCATCGAGATTCTAGTGGCTGCAATAGTCAAAACCAGAATGATTCTTTAATATGGCTCCCTTTTTATATCCATGTGGGTTATATGATACAGAAGCACATTATAGACCATTAAATACTATGCATTAACAAGAATATATTGACCAAAATATTCTCTCTATTTTATGTTTCTCTCTCTTCTCGACAAGGTTGAAAGGCTTTTATAAAACTCCAGGGAAGTGGTTTGAGGAACATTGAGAAAGAACATATTGTTCCAGCAGGAAACTGAGTGCAAGGCAGACACTATGGCAAAATTCCAGTTACACCAGAATTATCCTCACAGTACTTTACAAAATCCTGTCTGGGAATCTCCACTCTTTCCTCACTGTCGCCCATGCAACTATACCATCATCTAGATGACTTAGGGAGATTCTCCACGTGGTAGAGACTAGTAAGTATCCCTCAATATCCCTACACCTCTTCTTCTTTAGTAAAAACCCACAGACTTTTTTACCTGGAAGCATAGATATCCAAAGAAAAGACAACTTTTCAAGCTGCAACAGACATGCTCCAATGGCATATGACCCAATGGCATAAAGTGGAAGTGATATGTGTGTGTGTGTGTGTGTGTGTGTGTGTGTGCATACGTGTGTGTGTGTGTGTGGTTTCTATGTCTGTAAAGAAGATGTGTGAGGCATCCCTTGTCCCCTTCCATCTTCCTGGTAAGAGTGAAGACATGATAGCTGTACTCTGTAACATGATCCTGAAGCTATCTCTTGAGAATGGTATAGCAACTTGATAAAGGGATCCTACGCTTTGCCATCATGAAGTGTATGCCTGGCCTGGACTGCCAAAATCTGGTAATTTTTTATTAAGAAATAATTAAAAGTCTATATTACTTAAACCATAATTATTCTGAAACTTTCATAACATGCAGCTAAAATTTGTCATAAATGATTCAAGTACCTTAGAATACAAAGGACAGAAAACTATGCCAAGATGGTTCAAACAATACGAAAACTTATCTCACATAAGGAGAAATGCAGAAGTCAGGCAACCCCAGGACTGGTTAACTCAGCAATTCTAGGAGATCCAAGCATCTAGATTTTGGCATCTTTCTGGTCTATTTACCACTGCTCCCCCACAAATACCCTGTGCTTCAGCCCTGGTGAACTACTGCTGGTTCCCTACTTATACCTTGTTCTGTTAAGTCTCATTTCACTTACATAAGCTATTGCTTCTCTTTGGAATACTCTTCCTTCCCTTTTTATTTGGTGTCTTAGTCAGCTGGAGCTGACATAACAAAATATCATAAAGTGAGTGGCTTAAACACAAATTTATTTTCCACAGATCTGGAGGCAAGAAGTCCAGGATCAAGGTTCTGGCCAATTCGGTGTCTGGGAGGGCTCTCCTCCTGGCTTTCAGAAGGCTGTCTTCCCACTGTGTCCTTACACGGCAGAGAAAGTGTGAGCTCTCTGGTATCTCTTCTTTTAAAGACACTAATTGTATCACATCAAGGACCCACCTTTAAGATCTCATTTAGCCTTAATAACTTCCTTAAAGGCCCCATCTGTAAATTCTGCTGCATTGGTGACTGGGGCTTCAACCTAAGAGTTTTGGTGGGACATAAAATCTCAGTCCATAACACCTGGCAAACTCTCTTAATCTTCTAAGATATAATTCAAACCTTGTTTCCTTTGGAAAGCCTCCCTAGCCCCTAAACTATAATTAGATGTTTTCTCCTCAATCTTCATATTAGTTCCTATCATGCAGTATTAATTACATTGAACAATAATTAAGTACATGTTTGTTCCCCTCATTAGACTACAGGACATTTGCATTACTCTGTTTTCACATTGCTGATAAAGACATACCTGACACTGGGTAATTTATAAAGAAAAATAGGTTTAATGGACTCACAATTCCACGTTATTGGGGAGGCCTCAATCATGGCAGAAGATGAAAGGCACGTTCTTACATGGCAGCAGGCAAGAGAGAGAATGAGAACCAAGTGAAAGGGGTTTCTCCTTGTAAAACCATCAGATCTCTTGAGACTTATTCACTACCATGAGAACAGTATAGAGGAAACCGCCCCCATGATTCAATTATCTCCCACCAGGTCCCTCCCCCAACACATAGGAATTATGGAAGCTACAATTCAAGATGAGATTTGGATGGGGACACAGCCAAACCATAACAACATTGAAAATCAGGGACAGTAGTTTGTTTGCTTTTTATCCCTAACACCTAGGACAGTGCCTGGCACAAAGTTGGTGTTTAACAAATACTTAAGGAAAGAGGAAAAGAAACATTACACCTCTAGAAGAAAGTGTAAATTTTCCAAACAATTGAATTACAAATGAATGCCAGAATATCCATCATCCACTGAATTTGTGTCAATGATATATAAATTCAACTTCCAGATGTAGTGGTTAAGAGTGTCTGGGTTAATAGAATACTATGCAGTCATAAAAATAATGAACTCATGTTGTATGCAGCAACAAGGATGCAGTTGGAGGCTGTTTTCCTAAGTGAATAAACACATAAACAGAAAACCAAATACCACGTGTTCTCACTAATAAGTGGGAGCTAAACATTGGATACACATGAACATAAAGATGAGAATAATAGACACTGGGAATGGCAAAAAAGGGAAGGGGGAGTCCAAGGGTTGAAAAACTACCTATTGGGTAGTATGTTCACTATCTGGGTGACAGGATCAATAGAAGCCCAAACCTCAGCATCATGCAACATACCCTTGTAATAAACCTGCACATGTACCTCTTGAATCTAAAATAAAATAAACTGGGGGGGAAGGGGAAGAGGAGAGGTGGGGATGGTTAATGGGTACAAAAAAATAGAAAGAATGAATAAGACCTACTATTTGATAGCACAATGGGGTGACTGTAGTCAATAATAACTTAATTGTACATTTAAAAATAACTAAAACAGTATAATTGGATTGTTCATAATACAAAGGATAAGTGCTTGAGGGAATGGATAACCCATTCATTCTCCATGATGTGATTATTATGCATTGCATGCCTGTATCAAAACATCACATGTACGTCATAAGTATATACAGCTACTATGTACTTACAAAATCAAAAATTAAAATAAATACATAAATTCTAAAAATTACAAAAGAGTGTCTAGGTTAAAATGCTATTTTTCAGCTTACTAGTTATATGACTTGATTACTTACTGTAGCAGACTGAAAATACTTCTAAATTTGTTGATTTTCTTCATATTTAGAGGTAGAATCTAATTCCCTTTCCCCTGAATGTTGGCTAGTCTTAATGACTGGCCTGTGGCAGAAGTCACCTCCTGTGGGTTCCTAGGCTATTTGATAAGAAGCCTTATAGCTTCCACTCAGACCTCTTGGACAACTTGCCCTGGGGCACCATGTTGGAAGTCCAACTACCCCGAGGCCACTATGCTAGGAAAAAACTCAAGCTAGCCCTGTGAAGTCACCATGCAGACAGAGATGCCTGGCCAGCCCCTCACTATTCAAATCATCCCAGCTGTAGTCCTAGACCCCATGGAGCAGAGTAGCACTGCCCGTCAAATTCCTGCTCCCCCAGAAACATGAGATAATGGCAATAAATTGTTGTTTTAGGTCACGAAGTATTGCAGTAGTTTGTTAAGTGGCAATAGATGATGAAATACTCCACTGTGTCTCTGTGTTCTTGTTTGAAAGTGGGGATACAACAATTTTCTACCTCTTTGCATCACTGTAAGAGTTAAATGGGTTAGAACTTGTAAAGCACTTAATGCCTGGCCCAAAGTAAGTGCTTGTACATATTAGATGTTATTATTTTAAAGATGTTATTTTTTATTTCTATAGATCAAAACAATTTTGTTTTGGTGAAATTAGTGATGGCTCAGAGCTAAGGTACATGATGATCTTGATTAATAGGTCACATTGTGAATTGGATGCCTTTGGTTGACTTTTTAGTTAGCAGGACTTGATTCAGACCCTGTGTAAGTAAGGTGATCTCTTGCTGAAAATCCACGTGTCAAGGGCGAAGGAGCAACCCCTGCCCCAAATATCAACTTAATCATCTTCCTAAGGCATCTGAGCTTTGCCCTGGGCAGAGGAGAGAGGCTTCCTAGTACGCTTCCAAATGCCTCCATTTATACTGCTGTTTTTTTGCCTTTTCCATACTGGCATAATTTGACACTAACGGGAAAAAGCTCTTGAGGATGAAAACTGTTGGTCGTTTCTCCCTGTGAGCTTGGAATCCAGCTTCAGAGGAGGAGAAACACAAACATGACACTAATGGACTTCCCTTGTTCTCAGTTCTTCTCATTTCAAGACAGCAGTGCCCTTGGCCTCCGGCTCCTGGCTTCAGATCCATTAGTGCCGGGCAAATGAGCCATGTGGTTTCTCTCATCTCCTGCCCATAAACCACCACACATACCTCTCTCCTGACCCTTCCCTCTAGTTAACATTGTTTAACACACTCAAGGACACAGTTGCGGTTCTTTTATTCCTAGAAAAGCAAGACGTGCTAATGCTTCCTGTGCTGGCCACCTCGGTGGCGACTCAAAGCCACAGCCTGGGCCGTTTGATGCTTTCTATTTCGGAATGGTATTGATAGCCTGTTACTGAGTGCCTCGGTGATGAAAAGCGCCCCTGGGAACCCGCTGACACGCCTGCGTTCCTCCACTGACTCAACCTGGCACAGCAGTCACTTCACTCTCCCTGGACTTCCAGATGTTGCAAGGCCTTCTCCAGGGCAACATCAGGGCTCTGTGCCCCTGGGAGGAGGAACTGAGGGGCAGAAAAGGGATGGAGAACTCAGACACACACACAAGTATCCTAACTCACGAGGGCATTTGTGTGCTGGGCTGGATATTTAACCAGCACCTGAAGTAATGAAAAGTGTTTTGGTTTCAAAACACCAGACCTGGGTTTTAGGCCTCATTCTGCCTTATACTAGCTGTTTGAGTTTTGGTAAGCTATCTAGATCTCAGCCTGCTTATTTGTGTAATTAGCACAGAGGGCTATCCTGACAGTTGGACTAGATGGAGTTTTGCCTTTATGCAGCGGAGATCTGGAAGGGCATACAGATATCAACCATTACCAGGAAGAGCCCAGTTTTCTTGTAGCTGGGTCACAGACACATTTGGAATCCAGAGGATGCTAAAAACAGTTCAGCTGCTGTTCTCAACAGGCTGCCTTTGAGTCCACACAGAATTTACCTTCTCTGTTTCCTCCATACTTTCTTTTTCTTTTCTGTCTTCTCCCCTGGGTCCTAGTTAAGGATAGAGTCTGACCGTCCCTTTCCTCTGAGCCTGGGACAAGTTCGACTCCAGGAGCCTTCTTAGTGGAGCTCCTGAAATGAAACAAGACTCTCTTGTTGATCCTAACTGCTTCTCTTAGCAAAGCTTTGAGGTGAGATCTGAGAATGGGAAACGAGTGAGAATGGGACCACATTAAAGGGACAGAGAAGTGTACCTTGGCAAAGATTAGCACATAGTAAGTATTCAGTAATGCCCTTGCCTTTCTTTAATTTTTTTTTCACCTAGTTTTCACTTTTATTCTGTCCAGGGTAGTTCCTTGTGCTCTCAGTTCAATTTGGATGTTTTCTTATCTGGACATATCTTAACATCTGCAGATGATTTTCCAAACTTGAGGGCTTGTAAACAATTCTGAGTCAGTTGTGGTGGATCATGCCTGTAATCTCTACGAAAATATGTTGGCTTTTTTTTGTTGTTGTTGTTTGTTTTTTGTTTTGAGACAGAGTTTCGCTCTTATTGCCCAGGCTGGAGTGCAATGGCGCGATCTTGGCTCACTGCAACCTCCACCTCCCAGGTTCAAGTGGTTCTCCTGCCTCAGCCTCCAGCCTCAGCATGTGCCACCATGCCTGGCTGATTTTGTATTTTTAGCAGAGATGAGGTTTCTCCATGTTGGTCAGGCTGGTCTCAAACTCCCGACCTCAGGTGATCCGCCCACCTCGGCCTCCCAAAGTGCTGGGATTGCAGGCATGAGCCACCATGCCCAGCAAAAATATTTCTTAAAAATTAGCTGGGTGTGGTAGTGCGTGCCTGTGGTCCCAGCTACTCAGGAGGCTGAGGTGAGAGGATCCTCTGAGCCAGGGGAGGTAGAGGCTTCAGTCAGCCATGATTGCACCACTGCATTCCAGCCCAGGTGACAAAGACCCTGTCTAAAAAAAAAAAAAAAAAAATTTCTGAGTTTTTCATAATTCTTTTGTTTCTTAAAGCAAATTGGTCCAATGACTAGATTCCTCCATCACAGTTAATTAATTTTTTTCTGGTCCTTATTTCTAATATCTGGGGTGGATTTCCACTGATATAAAGAAAGCTGAAGACAGATCCCAAAATTCACTATGCCCCTGAAATTCTATTTTGTATCTAGAAAAATCTAAAATCCTTCAGTGCTCTAGAGTTTCAGTTTAAGAAAGCTCTCAGCCAGTGACTATACAGGGACAAATATAGAACAATGACAGCAATTACCAGGACACTGCCCCACTGACAACATAAAAAAGTAATGTCATAAACCTATGGACACAAACCAGTTTTATGTCAAGGAGCCCCGACTCCAGGGTTCTTCTGTAAAGCAGGAGAGGGCCATTAAGCCCTGGGCTTAGCCAGACATCCTCATCCATGGGCCAGGGTGAGCCGCCAGAGGGCAGAGCCGTGGCAGCAGCAAGACAGCTAGCCAGCACACTCCGCAGCTCCTGCAAATATTTAACTAAATCTTCATTCTAACTCTCCAACCGACTAAATGTGTGACCTTGGGCAAGTTGCTTAAGCTCCCATGTCTCAGTTTTCCTCACGTGTAAAATTAATAAAATCTAGGCCAGGAAGTGTTATGGAAGTTAAATGAATTTATACATATAAAACTCTCAGAATGATGCCAAGCAAATAACAAATAACATATAAGTGTTTTCTGGTATTACTGTTGTTCTCATCAACTATTTTGATTACATTTTTAAAAAATAGTCTTTCTTCTAAGCTAACACAATTTAAAATTGGAGGTTCGCACAAGTCAGTCTCTTCCTTGTCTTTCCTAACTTATTCATAGATTTTATTATTATTATTATTATTTTAGAGATAGGGTCTCATTATATTGCCCAGGCTAGCTTTGAACTCCTGGGCTCAAGTGATCCTCCAGCTCAGCCTCCTGAGTAGCTAGGACTACAGGTATGCCCCAACAAACCCGGCTTTTGATTCATAGATTTTTTTTTTTAAAGTCGATTCCAATTTCCCATTCCCCATGTGTTGTATAGGGTGTCAGCTGGGAGCGTGCAAGTCTGAGGGCTTCAGGCTTTGCCACTGTGTGACCTGGGGCAAGGCACCTGGCCATCTGCTCCTCCCTTTTCTCCCATATGAAGTGGAAGGCTCATGCTAGGTTACCTGTGGAATCAATTCAGCCCTCAGGCCAGGAGAACAGCAGGGCTCCTTCAGTGCTGCATCCCTGTATTTCTCTTTCACTCCAGATTCCAAGCAAGGCTGAAGGCAGCCTATTTTCAAACTGCTCAACTCTCTCAAGAGAGGAAGAAAACCTGCCTTCAAACATAGCTCGCTGACTTTCCCCAAGATAAGCAACCCCCTTCCCAAGACTCTCTGATTATCAAACATGTCAGCAGTATTCTAAGAATCCTGTATAAAATAAGCAAACCAGTCCTCCGGGAAGACCTGAGGGACTGCTTTGAACAAGGGAAATGAACCTTAATGCATAAATGGATACATCCTCATTAAGCTGCAGATGCCAGGAATCACTGGGATGCTGACCCCTGTGCGGGAGGTACTGCACCTCTGCAGGTGGCAGGGTCACCAAGGAGCATAATTCTCTACCCCCTGCAGAATACTTGCCTGGAATATCTTTATATTCTCCGGGTGATGCCTGTAGAATTTTTTCTTTCTTTCCTTTAATCTCTCCTTCCAAAGTAGTCTCGAGCCCCTGCTATGCGCCAGAGACTGTGCTTACTGACAGTTACATAAGGAAGATTAAGACATGCTTCTTGCTTTCAAAAAATTCACACATCAGTAGGAAAAACTAAAATGTAAAGAATTCTATAACACAATGCCAGGCTAAATCTGGTTCCCCTGTTAACACTCTAATAGCACTTAGTACTTTCCTTTTCTATCACTTATCACAAGTTGGTAAATGCACTTGTATATTCCATTAATTAATATCTTACTTCTGCCAACCCCCCTCTCACATTGTAGACTGTGACTCCTTGAGCTAATATATACTTAGTAATTATTATATACCAGACACTGTCTTAAGTGCCTTATATATATTATCTTTCAATCTTCACAACTACTTTAAGAAGAATATACTAATATTCTTATTTTACAAATGAGGAAACCAAGACAGTAACGTGCCTGAGGTCACACAGCTGGTAAGAGTCAGAACCAGGTCTTAAACAAAAGCGGTCTGGCTTCAAATCTCTGTTCTCAGCTCTCTATTAAAGGGAAGATATCAAGACTCTTTTAAAGGTGATGGATAAGTAGGTGATACAGCCTAGAAAGATTTCCTTCTAAAATTGTTAAATTTCAATAATGTAGGTAAGCTTCCTTTGTCTGGAAAATCCATTCATATGGAACTCCTTAATTCCTACTATCAAACCCAATTTAGGCTTTGTGTATACAAAATATAAAGAAGAACAGGAGATAAATGGTGGCACTTAGATCAGAAAAAAAGAATATTTATTGCAAAACAAGTCTATGTGTATTGAAAAATACTGTTATCCTAAAAGCAAAAGGCTATATATTGTCATTTCTCTGACTTGATCTAAATTTAAGATTATGAAAGCCAAAGAAAATTGATCAACTATTTCCTAAAGAAAGAGACCCACCTCCACTGCTGTAATAATCCAATTCATTAACCCATGGACAGCAGGCACTTCTCTGGTAGACGCTTGTTATCATCTCATCAACTAAAAATGCAAATGTCTGTTAAAAATAAATGAGATTGGCAGCTGGGCATGGTGGCTCACACCTGTAATCCCAGCATTTTGGGAGGCCGAGGCGGGTGGATCACCTGAGGTCGGGAGTTCGAGACCAGCTTGACCAACATGGTGAAACCCCGTCTCTACTAAAAATACAAAATTAGCTGGGTGTGTGTGGTGGTGCATGCCTGTAATCCCAGCTACTAGGCAGGCTGAGGCAGGAGAATCACTTGAACCCAGGAGGCAGCGGTGGCAGTGAGCCGAGATCACGTCATTGCACTCCAGCCTGGGCAACAAGAGTGAAACTCTGTCTCAAAAAAAAAAAAAGAGATTGGCTGGGCATGGTGGCTCACACCTGTAATCCCAGCACTTTGGGAGGCCGAGGCAGGTGGATCACTTGAGATCAGGAGTTTGAGACCAGCCTGGCCAACATGGTGAAACCCTGTCTCTACTAAATATACAAAAATTAGTTGGGTATGGTGGCAGGCACCTATAATCCCAGCTACTCAGGAGGCTGAAGCAGGAGAATCGCTTGAACCCAGGAGGTGGAGGTTTCAGTGAGCCAAGATAGTGCCACTGCACTCCAGCCTGGGTGACAGAGCGAGACTCTGCCTCCAAAAATAATAATAATAATTTTTAAAAATGAGGTTCCTTAATGCATCCGTGTAATTTAAAGACATATTAGATTTCTAAACTGTTTAATTGTTCTGTGCCTTTTAAAAGTATAACATGAAGACTTTTTGTCTTGATGTGTTAAATTCTTGTTTGTAGTTTAAAGCCTGACATGACACCAGTTAGGTTTAAACCCTGGCTCTCTTACTAATTATCTACGTAGATGTGGGCTGTTGGTCCAGTTTAGTTAACTGCAAAATTAGAAGACTGAATTAAATGATTTGTAAGATTCTTTTGTCCTCCCCTAACATATTGAAATTTGAAAACTTTGTTTATATCTTTGTATGATGCTTTATTTCCATTCAATAATGTTAGAAAATATTCATGTTTGACTCCAGTTTAAATTCTTTCCATGAGCATTTACTGTAATAAAAACAATTAAATTCACTTAGAAAATAAATTGGAGTTAGGCTCAGTGTTCAACAAAGGAGTCTGGTTCGCAAAGCATCAACACACAGGACAAGGACATCTGTTGTAGAGATTATTGGTGTTTACAAATACCAGTGTTCTGCTTTTCTTCTGGGCACATGGCTGGAGCACATCTTGCAATTAGTTGAGACCATGTGTCTGAATTTCAGCCAATGGAATATGAACCTACATGGCATGTGCCACATCTATGCCTGAAATGTTAAAAATGTCCTTCATGCAGTCCTGGTTCTCCTTTCCTACCCACTAGCTAAGTGGACAGAATTTGAAAAATGGAGAGAAGAGCAGAGACACAAGACAAAAGGAGCCTGGGCTCCCGAATGACCACATGGAGCAGAATCCTTCTGCAGGCCTTTACTGGATTGCCATGAGAGAGAAAAAGACGTTTATTACGTTAAAATACTGAATTTGAGGCACTAGCCTATTCCGACCTTTTAGAGTTTTATCCAGGTGAAATTGGGTTAAAATGAGCATCTAATTCGATCTTGAAGGAAGGCAATCTCACAAAATGGTTAGTCTGCGAAGTGCCACATTTGTGATGGGCATCTTGCAGCATGCAGCCCTGTGAATCTTGTGACACTACTTTCTAATACCCTATTCTGTCTGTCATTATACACAGGTCACCCTAGTTTTGCCAATGCACTTGCTGCACTTCCAGCACCTCTCTACAGCACTTCACTTTCTCCTCTTCCTACCCAAGTTCTTCCTCGGTTTCCCTAATACTCTATTATCCAAATTTCCTCTCTAATAAATGCAGCTTAGCTGTTCTTCATTCATTTTTTCATTTGCTATCCTTTATAACATTACTTTTAAATCATTTTGAATTTTCTAATTCATTTCTTCCCTTTTCTTTTCTTTCTTTTTTTTTTTTTTTTTTTTGAGATGGAGTCTTGCTCTGTCACCCAGGCTGGAGTGCACTGGTGCGACCTCGGCTCACTGCAACCTCTGCCTCCCGGGTTCGAGCAATTCCAATCCTCTGCCTCAACCTCCCAAGTAGCTAGGATTATAGGCGCCCACCACCACGCCCAGCTAATTTTTGTATATTTAGTAGAGACGGGGTTTCACCATCTTGGCCAGGCTGGTCTTGAACTCCTGACCTCGTGATCAACCTGCCTCAGCCTCCCAAAGTGCTGGGATTACAGATGTGAGCCACCGTGCCCAGCCCTTTTTTTTTTTTTTTAAGAGACATGGTCTCACTCTGTCACCCAGACTGGAGTATAGTGGCATATTCATGGCTCACTGCAGCCTTGACCTCCTGGGCTCAAGCAATTCTTCCCCCTCACTTTCCCAAGTACTTGAGACTACAGGTGCACGCCATCATGTCCAGTTATTTTTTATTTATTTTTATTTATTTATTTATTTTAGACGGAGTCTCGCTCTGTCACCCAGGCTGGAGTGTAATGGTGCGATCTCGGCTCACTGCAACCTCTGCCTCCCAGGTGCACACTATTCTCCTGCCTCAGCCTCCCGAGTAGCTGGGACTACAGGCACCCGCCACCATGCCTGCCTATTTTTTTGTTTTTGTATTTTTAGTACAGACAGGGTTTCGCTGTGTTAGCCAGGATGATCTCCATCTCCTGACCTCATGATCCACCCGCCTCGGCCTCCCAAAGTGTTGGGATTACAGGCCTGAACCACCGCGCCTGGCCCATGCCCAGCTATTTTTTAAAATTTTTTGTAGAAATGAGATCTCACTATGTTGTCCAGCTGGCCTCAAGCTATCCTCTCACTTTGACCTCCCAAAGTGCTAGACTTACAGGCATGAACCATCATACCTGGCAGCTTCACTGTGTGTGTGTGTGTGTGTGTGTGTGTGTGTGTGTGTGTGTGTGTGTAGACAGAGTCTCACTCTGTCACCCAAGCTGGAGGGCAGTGGCACGATCTTGGCTCACTGCAACCTCCACCTCCTGGGTTCAAGCAATTCTCCCACCTCAGCCTCCCAAGTAGCTGGGAGTACAGGCACACATAACCACACCCAGATAATTTTTGTATTTTTTGGTAGAGATGGGGTCACCATGTTGGCCAGGCTAGTCTCAAACTCCTGACCTCAAGTGATCCACCAACTTGGGTCTCCCAAAGTGCTGGGATTACAGGCATGAGCCACCACACCTAGCCAGCTTCACGTATTTTGCAGCTCTGTTATTAGGTGCATATGTGTTTAAGATTGTTATGTCCAGGCCAGGTGTGATGGCTCATGCCTGTAATCCCAGCACTTTGGAAGGCCGAGGCAGGTGGATCACAAGCTCAGGAGTTCGAGACCAACCTGGCCAACATAATGAAACCCCATCTCTACTAAAAATACAAAAATTTTCTGGGTGTGGTGGCACGAACGTGTAATCCCAGCTACTCGGGAGGCAGAGGCAGGGGAATCGCTTGAACCCGGGAGGCGGAGGTTACAGTGAGCCGAGACCATGCCATTGCACTCCAACCTGGGTGACAGAGTGGGACTCCATCTCAAAAAAAAAAAAAAAGATTGTTATGCCGTCTTGATGGAATGAACCCTTTATTTTATGAAATGGCATTCATTATTCCTGGTAATATTCTTTGTTCTGAATTTTATTTGCCTAGGTTCCACTTCCCTGCTCCACTACTTAGAAACTCCTTAAACACAGTAAGCTGGGACAATTACAGGGCTTACCTCATTTGTCTCTTAGCTCTCAGGAATAATTGTCCTTTGTTGTTTGTTGCCTAAGTGTCTTTAAAAAATTATTTCATACATTTTAGGCAATTTTTGGTTGTTTCAGCCAGCGGAGTAAATCTGGCACCTATTACACTATCTTGACATGAAGGTGAAGTCACTAAGTGCATCATCCCATTTGATCCTCATTGGAATCCTATGAAGTAACTATTATTCTTCTTTTTAGTGAAGAAAAAAAGTGAAGTCTCAGTGTAAATAATTGGTCTACATTTACACAACTAGCAAAATCAATTGAAATAAATGGAACAGGTAATGATTTGGGTGATAGGCACAACTATTTCCTGAAACTAAAATTAGACTCATGGTGTAAGATTTTTTTTTAATAATTTGTAAGTTTACTTAATGTAATAAATTTCACAAAGATAACAAGATCGAAATGCATTTAAGTTCGCATGTAATGATTTGCTTTAACTGACAATAGTGCAGTACATAAGATGAAGTCTGTCTCAGAAAACCTAGGCTAAAAATTCAAAATACTTGATGGGAGAAATGATAAAATCTTGTAGCCAGTGAGACTGAACAAAGGATAAAAGCTAACAATATTTATTTCTGGTAGGAATTCGACCTGTTGCCATATTTTCAAAATATCCCCAAAGCCAGCAGTCCTGAAGCAAATATTTTTAGTATTCATGGGAGTGTTTAAAAGAAACAAACAACTGAACTATGTTTTTTTAACCTTCTATTTTTCTTTTGCCCGTTTGAATGAAATGCAAGTAAATAATCCAGAGTGGCTTGGGAGGGGCCACCCAAAACATGACTCAATCTGTGTCACAAAGATAGTCTTAGGGCATAAATGCCTCAATTTAGCAAATGTTCTGCAGTGGGCTGAGTGGGAACAATGGGAAATCCTAGTTCAAAGGTGCCTCCTTCTTCTAAAGTACGTATCATGGTGTCTGGCACATCAGAAGCCCTAGCAAATTTGAGTTCCCTTCCCTTCTCTCCAAGCAGAATAGATCAGACCAAACACTGTCCCTGTCACAAAGGAAGCAGCAACTCAAGGACACCCAAGCAAGGCTAAATGAGGAGGCTTAATTTGTTTTTATCTTGGAGATCCTTTACTGACACTAATTAATCTCTCCCTCAAACTTGGAGGGTTAGCAAACCTCTTTTAAAAAAGCTGCAATATAACGCTCCCTAAATGGGATTTTAACTAATGTATAATAATTACTCTTATCATAACGGTATCTCTTTACCACATTCAGAAGAGAACCTCGCCTGTCTGCCATAAGTGGTGTTATTAGAGGGAGGAGAGTGTTTTTTCCTGTCCATTCATGCTCCAGCTGCCATTCAGCTGCATTCTGTGGGGACAATGATCCTCGCCTTTTATGGAGTACAGATGGAAATGCAGAACCACAGCATTCACAGAGATTCTGCTGTCTGCCACAGAATGCTAGTCTGCTCTATTTCTTTGGAAATGCATAATATTTCTGAGCTATATAAAAACTTTCTTTAAAAAGGAAACTGCTTTCTGAGTCCTCTGAAGCCAAGAAAGAGAAGTCAGATATGGAGAGTCACTATTACAGACTTGGCCTTTAGATAAAATGCCTCTTTTATTTATCGAAATGAAAGAGAATTTGCAGCCACACTGCATGAACCAAAACTTAATTGCACAAAAATCTGATTGGAGAGCTCATTTTGCTCTTGGACACAACAGAAAAGCATTTGCTTAGACCCAGTCTGGCTGTGACTTGCTAAAGTAGAAAAAGCATGGGCTTTAGCATCAGATAGACCTGGGTTTGCATCTTAACCTGCCATATGATGATAGAGTTTCGAAGGTAGTGCTGTCCAATAGAACTTTCTGCCATGATAGAAATGTTTTTATGTCTGTGCTGTACAACAGAGTAGCCACTAGCTACATGTAGCTATTGAACACTTGAAATTTGGTTAGTGAAACTGTGGAGTTGAATATATATGTTATATATATATTTTTTTATGAATATATATATATATTCAAGACAGAGTCTCGCTCTGTCACCCAGGCTGGAGTGCAGTGGTGCTATCTTGGCTCACTGCAGCCTCTGCCTCTCAGGTTCCAGCGATTCTCCTGCCTCAGCCTCCTGAGTAGCTAGGATTACAGGCACGCATTACTACGCCTGGGTAATTTTTGTATTTTTAGTAGAGATGGGGTTTCACCATATTGGCAAGGCTGATCTCGAACTCCTGACCTCAGGTGATCCGCCTGCCTCCGACTACCAAAGTGCTAGGATTACAGGTGTGAGCCACCGCACCCAGCCAAATATATATATTTTTATAAATTCATTTAAATAGCCACATGGGGCTACTGGCTATTTTATTGGATGGCATATCTCTAAGATAAGAATGAGTTGTTGCACCTCCTACCACTAAGAAAAAGTTGCACCTCCAATCACTAAGTTGGCTTCTTTGAGTTTTGGAGGGAGCATAGACTGCTCTTAGGAGCACTTCTCCAATCTGTTTATCAGGTGACCCAGAAGGCTGTGGTTTTACATGGAACCCAGAGTAAGAAGAGGGGTTGCAACAAGTTGAGACTGTTACCCACTTGTCCTCCTACTCAGGCTATATACTAAAGGGAACAGTAGCAGATGAGAATGCTGGGTGGAGAACCAGGTAAGCCCCAGTAGAAGAATTGTTACAGTGTCTCCTAGAGCTTGAGACTAAGGGCATGGCTTTTGTAGCAGAGGGCACTTTTCTGTTTGAAAAGCAATGCCTAGGCTGGGCACAGTGGCTCACACCTGTAATCCCAGCACTTCGGGAGACTGAGGTGGGTGGATCACGTGAGGCCGGGAGTTCGAAACCAGCTCGACCAACATGGAGAAACCCCATCTCCACTAAAAATACAAAATTAACCAGGTGTGGTGGCACCTTCCTGTAATCCCAGCTACTTGGTAGGCTGAGGCAGGAGAATTGCTTGAACCCAGGAGGCAGAGGTTTCAGTGAGGCGAGATTGCGCCATTGCACTCCAGCCTGGGCAGCAAGAGTGAAATTCCGTCTCAAAACAAAAAGAAAGAAAGAAAGAGAGAGAAAGAGAGAGAGAGAGAGAGAGAAAAGAAAGAAAGGAAGGAAGGAAGGAAGGAAGGAAGGAAGGAAGGAAGGAAGGAAGGAAGGAAGGAAGGAAAAGGAAAAGAAAAGAAAGGAAAAGAAAAGAAAAAAGAAAAGCAATGCCTGTCATTCTACTGGACCCTAAGAGGGACTGGGTATTAATATCAATGACTATGTATCCAAAGCTGCCCATCATATGCTGAATCTTATTTGATCCACTGTGTCATGGTTGGAGTAGGTGCAAGGCAACTTATTATTCCATGGAAATGCTACATTAGGATCAGGTCCAAATAGTTCAAGAAGGTACAAGTACATTTCATAAACAGGTAGCTCAGATTCACATTATCAAACTAATGCCTCTTCTAAAATCCAAACCTCTAATTTATGGAGGGCTTTCCATAACCAATTGTCAGAGGAGGAAAGGACTTGGGCTTGGTTCAAAATGGGTGGCATAATACGTTGGTGCCGACTAAACATGGACAATTGTTATTATAATCCCATTGGGGTACTTCTAGAGGACAGTGGTGAAGGGAAATTCTCCCATTGGGCAGAGCTGCTAGCAGAACACTTGGTCATTTGATTATAATGGAATGAGATGTGGCTTCAGGTACAGACCTACATAGACTCCTGGTAAGCGGTCAGTGACTTGGCTCATTGTTGAGGGGCCTGGAAGGAATGACAAAAGATCAAGAACAAGGAATTCTAGGAAGAGTTATATAAATGAATTTATAGGACTGAGCCCAAAGTATTTATGTCCTTGTGTCTCACATAAATACTCATTAGAGAATAGTCCATGCAGAGGAGGTGGTCAACAATTAAAGGGACAGAATGAATCTTTCTATGGATTGCCCCCTTTAGCAACCACAGCCAATGAAATGGGTCATGTGGCAGAAACTAAGACATTGAATTGGCCGGACAGCATTGACTTCCTCTCACAAAGACTAATACAGCTACTGTCATGGTGAATGTCCAGTCTCCTAGTAGAAGAGACTAATTCTGAGCCATCAAGATGGCACTATCCCTTGAGGCAAACTCAAGTATAGCAGTAGGTTTACTACAATGAGCCACTTCCAACATGAAAGGGACTGTGACTTGGTCTCACTGAAATAGAAATCTCCTTATGGTGTTAGTTTGCCTTCCCTTGTACCTCCCTCAGCACCACCATCTACTGGCTTACAGACTATCTGATCTATGTGTATTGTATTCCATTCAGCACTTCCCCAGAACAAAATCCCAATTTATGCCAAAGGAAAGGCTACCTGGATGCATGACTAAAGGACCCACTGGTCTTCCTATGCACACCATCATCAAGATACTCTGTCTAGTAGAACAGTGGAAAGTCCTGTTAAAGCTTCAGCAAAGGCACCAGCTCAAGAGTTCTCTTTCCCCTAAGTTGTAGACTATCTGCTGACAAAAAGCAAATTATATGGTGTTGCTTTATCCTAAATAGCAAGAATTCATGGATCTGGGAACCACAGAGTCAAATAGAATTGGGTTTTCTTATTTCCGAAACTCACAGAACTTGTACTTTCTAATCATAGGTTGTACAAGGTTAGAGATTACAGTTCTAGAGGGATCAGATGGATGGCAGAATGCTCTGTCAGATGACACAGAAAGGTACCTAATGAACTTAAAGCTATAACCTACATACCTTTTTACTTGAAGTTCCTTATACCAGGAACTAACACATAACAAAGGTGTGAGTGTCTCCTCAGGAATCACTGATCCTGATTATCATGAGAAATAATCCAGAATTGCTACTATACAACAGGGATAAAAAGGAACATGTCAGGAACCCAGGAATTCACTGAGGTATCTCTGGGTAGTAGTTTGTTTGTTTGTTTGGTTGGTTGGTTGGTTTGTTGGTTGGTTGGTTGGTTTTTGAGATGGAGTTTCGCTTTTGTTGCCCAGGCTGGAGTGCAATGGCACGATCTTTGGCTCACTGCCACCTCTGCCTCCCAGGTTCAAGCAAATCTCCTGCCTCAGCCTCCTGAGTAGCTGGGATTACAGGCATGCATCTCCATGCCTGGCTAATTTTGTATTTTTAGTGGAGACGGAGTTTTACCCATGTTGGTCAGGCCGGTCCTGAACTCCTGATTTCAGATGACCCACCGGCCTCAGCCTCCCAAAATGCTGGAATTACAGGGGTGAGCCACCATGCCTGGCCTTCTCTTGGTAGTATTATGCATAGAAGATGCTCAATTGTAACAACCAGAGCCTGACAAGGGCAAGGCAACTATGAATAGAAACCCTCAGAGATGAAGCTCCATGTCATCCCAGCAGATGAACAACTGAAGATGAGGGGATTCAGAATAGATGGTGAAGAAAGGAGGTGATAGATACCTATTACAGCCTTGGGATCAGTTGTAGCAACAGGAATTATAGCTTCACTCAACCCTTTATTTAAGTCTTTTCAGAGATTATAGCTAGTCACCACCTTGAAGAGGACTCTTTGGTTGAGTGAACCTCTCCTTTTGGGAAAAAAAGTGACAGCATGCTGTTCACACACACACACACACACACGCACACACAATGTTTATTATGGCAGCTGGATATAATGAGAGCACATGAATTGATGTGAATAGTGCAAGGGGTGGAATGTATCATGTACAGCCTATGGCTTATTTCAATATCTTGGCTGCATCTACTTCTGTCATTGCCATGCTTGTTCCAACACCAGTAGTCACTGCACTGACAAACATTGGTTGATCTCTGACTAATTTCATGTAGGCCGAACAATATTTTCACATGCCCACACTAGGCACTTCTTGCTTTTTGCCCAGTCAATGCTGAGGGATGAAATGACATGAGGCTTGCTAGGTCCCACATAGGTACAACCCAGATGTGTAGAAGAACTAATGTACTAGAAAGCAAATATTTGACCAATGAGAAATGGGAGCTAGTGGATAAATTCTCCTCCCTTCCTCCCCTGAAAGAACTGTCTTGAGAAGCAGTTGCTTTTATGGGCTCAGAAGAAAGTCTCATGAGATCAGGTAATAGTCTCATTTGATTCCAAGCATGGCCAGCTTGATTCTTCAATCATGCTGTACAGGATTAGGAAAACTCATGCCATGAGAAAATGGGATTACTGAGATTTTCTTGTAAAAAAAATTGAATGCAGGTGTATAAGAAGAGGGCTATGTTTAAACCTCTTATGAAGAACAGAGTTAATATGGATCTTTCTGACACTTCAGAAAGTCAGCCAGTAACTCTTGCTTGCTGGTTGGCTGTCAATTCCAATTCATCCATTCTGTAGGCCTGACCCAAGGCATTTAGCAGCAGTGCCAGCAGATACACAGTGGTATCCAGAAAAGGAGAGAGCCATTTAAAAAAAGGAAATTATACTAAGCACTGTGGCCTGTGCTACACATATTCCATGTATTATTGCATCTAATCTTCATAGACAGGTATCATTATGATCTCTAATTTAGAGGAAAGGAAAGAACAGGAGTTCAGATTAACACCACCCAATCACTAAGTGGATAGGGGTCAAACTCATATTGTTTTTGACTAATGCAATTTCTCTAAACTGGATTCCTTTACCAAGAACCAGAGCTGTGCTCAGCTATTATTGTTTTGTGATCTCATTTGACCCAAAGGAAAGGAAGGCTGGTACCCTGAAAGAAAGAAAAAAATCACACACACATATTATCTTGGCAAAAGCACACATTAAATACAGTTATAGGTAAAAGAGGAAAACAAGATGGAATAGAGAAAATCAAAACAATCTTGGACTGCATTTGTCCAGACCGATGGTTCACAAAGAGTGTAACACAGCACGTATATGTATCCCAAAAAAAAGTGGATGTGTTATTAATTTGTGATCAATATACCCAATACTTTTTGGCTAGCACTAAAGACATTCTATTCAGCAATGCCTGCCAGATAAGCAGTGGGTGGTGTGACAGGCTGTAGGGCAGAGCAAAACTTGCTGTGAACCAGAAAGGATTGTATCAAGATCAAACAGGTGCCAAAGAAAGAAGCATTTACTGGAACACTTGAGAACACTCTCTTCTGTGTATATAAGACAGAGTAGTTAGGGTAGTCAATATTTCTATCAAACAGCAACAGTGTTGCTGAGAGACCAAGAGAGAACTGAAAAGAAAATTAAAATGTGAGACAAGATTGTTTTCTGCCCCTCAGACTGATCAGTAATGACTGCTGACTTATTTACTGATGTTACATGAATCTTTTAATTCCTTCAATTTATACCACTAAAAATACCATAACTATGAAAAGTGTGATAACACTGGTTTAGGAAACCAATTTACTTTATCAGAATTACCGCCTTACCTAAGCTGAGAAAAAAATGGGAAACCCTGCTTGTTAAAGCACTTTTCTTACAAAAGCACTTTTCTTCACCAGTACAACTAAGACGAAAGTAAGATTAATAAGATGTAGATCCACTTTCATGGGGCTTTCTAACAGAATCTGGCATTCCTTTGGGGCAGGTGACTCACCTGGACACAACTGGCTCAGAAACCCTGAAAGATAGAAGACATCACTCACTGAGAATGTATTTGGAACACAGAGAGCTAAAAATGAAATTCCCTAAGCCATGGGTGGCACCACAACATGCAATAGAAAGGACTGGAAGGGGGGTGGTGCTTTGAAATAAGAAAGCCAGGATTTTGCTGTGACTTGGCACCTCTCCCTCCATTTTGCCACACATAAAGGAAGCCTGCAAAGTCGTAAATGGCAGACCTCACATCAGCTGAAGAGCTGTGAAAGTAGCCGCCAAATCCCACAGGCTGTTCTTGAAACTAGTCATGACTCCTGATTAGGCAGAGACCTAGGAAGCTGTGCGGACCCTGCAGGTTTGCTACAGCTCTTTCAGGAGTGTTTGCTACAGTTTCCTTTGCTTTGCTTTAACCATAAGGAGACACAAGTTTCACCTGCTAAAGTCTCTTCTGTCACACTGTGGTCCTTTTATCAATATTTGATGATGATGAGGTTCAGGACATATGGCACCTTAGCATTAGAGAAAACAGCAGAAGCAGGAAGGTCATTCTCAACTTCCCCTCACCCTTTCTCCCCTGAAGCAGGCCATAAAACCTAGCTGACATTCTTCTGAAGTAGGTCATAAAACCTTCATTCCGGCCAGCACAGTGGTTTACGCCTGTAATCCCAGCACTTTAGGAGGCCCAGATGGGCAGATCACGAGGTTAGGAGTTCAAGACCAGCCTGACCAACATGGTGAAACCCCATCTCTACTAAAAATACAAAAAAATTAGCCGGGCATGGTGGCATGTGCCTGTAATCCCAGCTACTCAGGAGGGTGAGGCAGAAGAATCACTTGAACCCGGGAGGCAGAGGTTGCAGTGAGCCGAGATCGCACCACTGCACGCCAGCCTGGACAACAGAGCAAGACTCCCTCTCAAAAACAAACAAACAAACAAAACAAAACAAAACAAAACAAGACTTCATTCCAGAGGTGCCCACCCTATGCCCAGGAAAAAGGAACATCCTAATCCTCAGACACAGAGAAGCCAAGAAGAATCTGAACAAATAGACCTTGCTAAATTCCTCCCAGTTTATTACCATTATTAGATCATAATCCCTCTCTCCAATCATACTTCTGCACCACTGGCCACTTTTCATCAAACCTAAGCATAAAAATACACAGATTTCCCTGTTTCTTTGGGGTCTTCATTTCTGAAGATTTCACTGTCTCATAAAACTTACATTAAATACATTTGTGTGCTTTTCTCTTGTTAATCTGTCTTTTATTATAAGTGCCTCAACTATGACCCTTGCAATGGGTAAGGAAAAGATATTATTTATTCTCCCATACAATGACAGCAACTCAATATGTGGCATTGACTTTCACATTTGGCTCTTGATGCTGACCTGAAAATAACAGTTCAAATAACAGTTGAAAGCATCCCATGGTAAAAAGAAAGTCATTTTTTCTTTTTTTTTGTTTTCCTGCGTGCTTAGCTCTCCAAGGTTGGACATGAATTTAAGGGCCACAGAGCACTGGATGAAAATCCTAACTCCGGCCGGGCACAGTGGCTCATGCCTGTAATCCCAGCACTTTGGGAGGCGGAGGCAGGCAGATCATGAGGTCAGGAGATCGAGACCATCCTGGCTAACACGGTGAAACCCCGTCTCTACTAAAAAATACAAAAAATTAGCCGGGCGTAGTGGTGGGTGCCTGTAGTCCCAGCTACTCTGGAGGCTGAGGCAGGAGAATGGCGTGAACACGGGAGGCGGAGCTTGTAGTGAGCTGAGATCCCGCCACTGGACTCCAGCCTGGGCAACAGAGCAAGACTCCATCTCAAAAAAAAAAAAAAAAAAAAGAAAGAAAGAAAAGAAAATCCTAACTCCAACACTTACTGTTTTGTTAATTTAACTCTGAATTTCAGACTAGTCTTTGTTAAGTGGGGAATTTGACACCTGTCTTACAAGAGGATTTTTGAGAATGATATTATGTAAAGGGTCCAACCCAAAGACAGTGCTCAATAAATGTTAATCATCTTGCCCTGATTGCAGTTAAATTCCACGCTTCCTTTAATAAGAAATGTAGTTGGGTATTATCTCCATGTAACAGGCTGGAGAAATGGAGGCTGATAATGTGGCTAAAAGACAGCCGGCAAATAACAGAATTAAGAATTAACTCCACATCTTTTTGGAATTCCCAGTGCTTTATTCCTTTGCTCTGAGACATTGGGCTTCAGTTCATTTATTCACTGATTGAACAAACGTTTTTCAGGGCCTAATATATGCCAGATAGGAGAAATAATGGATAGAAAAGAAAACAGGCAAATCTCTGCCCTCATAGAATTTATATTCTAGTGAATGGAGACAGATAATACTAAATATGTACAACGGGGACAAATGCCAGAAGGAAAAAGAAGTGGAGTAGAGGACAGGAGTGTGGAATGTGTGTGCTAATTTACAGAAGACAATCAAGAAAGTGGTCTGATAAGCTGACCCTTGAGCAGACCTGAAGTCTGAGTGAGAATTGAGCCATGCAAATATCTGAGGGAAGAATGTTTCGGGCAGAGGGAAGCACCAACTACAAAGGCCCTGAGGTAGGAGCGTGCTGCATTTGTCAAAGGAATATCAGGATATAGCGAAAGGAGAGATGCAGTGGGAGGCAGGTTTATCCAGGGCTTCATAGGTGGCAGACAGCTCTTTGAATTTTACTCTGAGTGAGGTGGGAAGTCAGTGGGTATGTTGGGCAGAGAGGTAACATGATCTTAAGTGTTTAAAGGATCATTTTGGCTGCTGTGTGAAGAGACCATACCCAGGACATGGGAAAAGCTCAAGATCATTTCCTAATTCAGGGGAGAGGAGAGGGTGACTTGACTAGGATGAAGATAATGGTGGAGGAAAAGAGGAATAGCTGGGTTCGGGATATATTTTCAAATAGGCTCAACAGAATTTGCTTATGGATTTAATTTGGGCATTAGAGACAGAGGAAGACATGTTAAGAATAACATCAAGGTTTTTTTTTTGTTGTTGCTTAAAATACCATAGAAAACCACCAATGATTGCTAAAGTATCAGCCTTTATAAGTAACCCTGAATTCGTCATTTCCCCTCTCTAACTTTAGCTTCTTCATCTGCAAACATTTTGTGATGGGTCCAGGAGCACTTCAGCATCCCTTCACTCCAGCATCCTTCATGCCAGCAAACTTAATGTAATGACAGTGTTTCCTCTTCCCAATTCTAAGAATTTCTCTCCTTCCACCCCCAGGTATCATTCTATTTCCCTCCTCTTTTCATTTTTCCTACTTCCCTTTTCCCGTTCTACCTGCCTCTTCCAGAGGAGTCAAGAAGAGCTGAGGAGACACAGTCACAACTAGGCAGAGAAACACCCCGTTTCCTCTGGATCATGCTGGCCACATATTTTCAATCCATCAAAGGCTAAGTCTTGAGCATCTACAATGCATTAAGTACCCTAGGAAGATAGCTCATGTCCTAGGAACCAGTTGCTTCTCCTCGCGTTAGTATCTTGACTCTTGTGGAACCCTCCAAAAGAACATAAGGGAAACAGTGCTGCAGAGCTGTACCCTAAACCTGGTAAGTTTGGACCATGTAAAAAGCTTTATTTCTCAGAGTATTGCTATTGCCTCCCTCAAACCTATTCACTGATCTCCTGAAGTATACATATTCAACTGATTTGAAAGCTAGACAAATAAAAATTCTATTGGACAATTAGAAATTCTTCATATGGAGCAAGGAGAGGTGGCTCATGCCTGTAATCCCAGTATTTTGGGAGGCCAAGGCAGGCAGATCTCTTGAGCCCAGGAGTTTGAGACCAGCCCGGTCAACATGGAGAAACCCAGTCTCTACTAAACATATAAAAATTAGCCGAGTGTGGTGGTGCACAACCATAGTCCCAGCTACTCAGGAGGCTGAGGTGGGAGGATCACTTGAGTCCAGGAGGCAGAGGTTGCAATGAGCTGTGATCAGGCCACCACACTCCAGCCTGGGTGACAGAGCGAGATATTGTCTCAAAAAAAAAAAAAAAGGAAAGAAAAGAAATTCTTCATATCTTCTTTGCACTGAATGGCGTATAGAGCTCTTTCACATTCACGACACTATTTAATCCATCAGACAGCCCTACGAGAAAAGATGGCAAGACAGAAATTATTGTCCCCATTTTCCTGATGGGAAAATTAAAATTCAAACAACTGTTTACCCAAGGAAATTACTGTTAATTATAAGATGTTCACTAGAATGTGGGCACTCTGGTTTCCAAACATAATGCTTTTTCATAATAATGGCTGCCATTTATTGAGCATTATATGCCTAGTATTCTGGGAATAGTTTATATAAATTTTCTTATTGAATGTTTACAAAAGCCTAGGAAGTGCATGCATTGTCCCTATTTTTCAAATGAGAAAACTAACACTCAGAAATGTTAATAAATTATCCATCAGATATTTATAGATGTGACACTAGGAGATGTGGCCAAAATCAACCTCGCCCATGGATGTTGTTGACTCTCATATAAAGAGGTTTGGGGGTTACAAATGAATTATCAGCAGCCTTTGGCACAGCTGATTTCTCCTTCATTCCTATAATATATATATTTTTCCCCTGTAGTCATCATTTTCCCTCTCCTACCTCACAGCCATGGCTTTTTGGTTTCCTGTGCTAGTTCCTTTTTCTCTACAATCATCTTAATTTTGGAGTCCCCAGGGGTGAGTCCTGCACCCTTTTTCTTCTTTCCCCATATGATTTTATCCATCCCCTTGGATTCAAATACAAACTATTTTCTGAAGACTCTCAAACTTCTGCCTCCAGCTTAGCCCACTTCTCTGAGTTCTGGACTTTCTTCTATATCCAAATGGCTTCTTGGCATATCTGTTCAGCTGTCTCACGGACGTTGCAAACTTAACATTTCCAAAGTGGAACGATTGATTCCCCCTCATTCCGTTCCTAAACTGATCATATCACAGTCTTTCTTTCCCTGACAATGATAACCACTGGTACAGTTACTAAAGCCAGAAACCAGAATTCTCTCCCTTCTCTCACTTCCTGTAACTTACCAGCAAGTCCTATTGGCTCTGCTTCCAAAATATATCCTGCATCTCTCTAGTCCTCTCAGTTCCAAGTCACCATTCACTTTCATCTGTGGCTCCTCATAGCTGCCCCACTGTACCCACTCTCAGTCCTCTCCCACCAGTCTTCTCCACAGTGATTTTTTTGAAAATGTGAATCAGCTTGTGTCACTCCCCTACTTTAAAGCCCTTAATAGCTTCCCATGGGCTTAGAAAATGTTTGAAAACCTTGTCATGGTTCCAAAGGCCCACTGAATGGGCTCCTGCCTTTGTCTTTCCTTCTTTCCTTCATTATACTCTAGTCATACGGGCTTTCCAGAAGTACTGCAGACTTTCCCTGCTCTTCCCCATCTCAGAACTCTTGCCATGACTCTTCTTGGAGAGCTCCTCCATTGATTGACCCTTCACTTGGCTGGCTCTTTGGTCTCATCTTGAACATCTTCTCTTATGAGAAGCCTTCCTTAAACATGTTCCCCTGTTAGCCTTTATCACAGCATCATGCCTACTTTCTTTATCACACAATCATAACTTGTAATTATCTAATATATTTATCTATTGTCAGACCCCTCATGAGGGCAGAGATCTGTAGGTCTCACCACCGTCACGATACAGCATCTGTGTATGTATATTTCCAGTACCCAAAGCTCAGTAAACATTAATTGAGTGAACAAAAGAATGCAGAGGGTGAATTTCAATTTCAATTATGCAGACCCTTTAGCATGAATATGGTGCTTGGTTATGTTTATCCTTTGTGTTTTGTGCTTTGCAAACTCAGGGAGGAGTCCCACTGATGAAGTAATGTAGAAAAGAGCTGTGGTCATGACCTAACCTCTATTAAATAAGAACAATGAGGACAAGTGATATTGACCCAAAAGAATCTAGGCTGTTAGGCCAGGTGCCAAAATTTTTTTGGCTTTTATATTTCCTTAGGTATATAAGAGACTTGAATTTCTGAGAAGCTATCCAAACTATGACCAAACATTACAAAATCCATTTCACTTAGCCTTTAAAGACTCGTCATGCTCCATTTCAATAACAGCTAGACCTCTCATCAGCATTTGCAGGGCTGGAGGCCATATCCGACCCAGGCTTTCATCTTTGTCTCCAAAAGTAGGCAAATGTGTAATCATAATAACCATTTGTCTTATGTTAAGAGCCTACAGCATGACCAATACTGCCAAGTACTAGGTGCTCTGCATGTTATGCCTATTTAGTCTTCACCATAAACCTATGAGGATTGTTTTATGTCTAACTAATAGATAAAGAATCTGAGGCTCAGAGAAGTCACACTACTTACTCTTATGCCAGGCTTTCAGCTGGTAAGAGACAGAACTGAGACTGACCCCAAGTTTTCTTATTCCAAAGTGAGCATTATTTAAACTCCATTATATTTTCCTTTTTAAAAAAAAAATCACATCCATGTATTTTTATTAAATTATTTCAATTATTAGGTACACTGCATAATATTTGCTGATCAACTGATGAAGTATGATTCTCTTTAAAGAGGCAATGTAAGTAAGCTTTCTGGGTCTCCACTATTCCTCCAGGGTGAAATCCTAGCAGTGATGCTGTCACAGAGAATAATCTTAATTTACCTTCTCTGGGTAAACATCTGGCTCATAGAGATTAGAGACTGTTCTTGCCTAAAGTCTCCTTAAAAAGGAAATGAATCTACTTCACCATTAGTCCTTACACTGTGATTTGTGGAGCCCAAGGATTCCATGAAGACCCTTCTAGGGTCCCTACAAAAGGGGAAAAGGGTACCATTTATTCCTTTGTTTATCTGGTTTGGGACTTTAACTGAAGATTTCATTTAACATTTGAAAAACACTGCCCTTGAGGAAATGAAAAAAGGAAGGAAGGAAGGAATGGAGGAAAGAAGGGAAGGAGGAAGGGAAGAAGGGCAGCAAGCAAGAAAGAAAAGAATGAAGGAAAAAGGTGACAGTCAAGAATTTTCTGTTTCTTGGAATGGTTTACACAAATAAGGCATTCTGAACACATACCTGACTGAAAGTTGGGGAGAAATAGCAGACCAATGGTGGAGGCTCCTTACGAAGGAAGGTGGAAGAGAGATATGTTCCAACCTTAGGAAAAAAGTTAGTTAGAACAGCTAACATAGGTGTGAGGGAATAAGAGCATGGCTTTTTTTTTTTTTTTTTTTTGAGACGGAGTCTTGCTCTATTGCCAAGCTGAAGTGCAGTGCTCCATCTTGGTTCACTGCAACCTCTGCTTCCCAGGTGCAAGCGATTCTCCTGCCTCAGCCTCCCAAGTAGCTGGGACTACAGGTGCATGCCACCATGCCCAGCTAATTTTTGTATTTTTAGTAGAGACAGGGTTTCACCATGTTGGCCAGGATGATCTTGATCTCTTGACCTTGCGATCTACCTGCCTTGGCCTCCCAAAGTGCTGGGATTACAGGCATGAGCCAGCAAGCCCAGCCAAGCATGGCTTTAAATAGAAACACAGGATAACTACTAGACCCTCATTTTTGTAAGGAATTCCTAAGATGACACTGAAGTGAAAGTTCAACACAAGCTCATGCAAACCATGTGAGTGGTGCTCTATCTCCAGAAAGCTAAAAATGTTGTAAAATTCTTGATTATAGTTTAGAGATGCTGGACTGGGTTAGGCGCAGTGCCTCACGCCTGTAATCCCAGAACTTTGGGAGGCCGAGGCAGGTGGATCACCTGAAGTCAGGAGTTCAAGACCAGCCTGCCCAACATGGCAAAACCCTGTCTCTACTAAAATACAAAAAATTAGCCGGGCATGATGGCGGGCACCTGTATTCCCAGCTACTCGGGAGGCTGAGGCAGGAGAATCTCTTGAACCCAGGAAGTGGAGGTGGCAGTGAGCTGAGATCGCGCCACTGCACTCCAGCCTGGGTGACAAGAGTGAAACTCCATCTCAAAAAAAGCCATAAATAGAGACGCTGGACTGCCAGCATTTTGCTCTTATGTTCTTTTTCTTTTAGATATAAGGGTCTCACTGTGTCGTCCATGCTGGACCCCAACTCCTGAGCTCAAGCAATCCTCCTGAGTACCTGGAACAACAGGCACACACGACTTCAACTAGCTTCACCCAGCTTCACTTATGTTCTTAAATTTAGTTTTTCTTTGGTAATTGAACACCCAGCTCTCCCCCTTAAACCTAACAGATGACTGCTTGTGACTTTCAGTATATCTAATGGTTTTTCAATTTCCATTTTGTTACAGAAAACATCACTTCCAGAATGGAAGTACCTCTCTTCTGACAGGTCTATTAATATGGTCCAGAAAGTAGTCCCAAGCCTACCGCTCTTCTGTAACTATACATTCTCTCTAGGCACATTCCCTTAGTCCCATGCCTTTTTTTTTTTTTTTTTTTTTTCCAGACGGAATTTCACTCTTATTGCTCAGGCTGGAGTGCAATGGCGTGATCTGGGTCACTGCAACCTCTGCCTCTGAGGTTCAAGTGATTCTCCTGCCTCAGCCTCCCGAGTGGCTGGTACTACAGGCGCCTGCCACCATGCCTGGCTAATTTTTGTATTTTTAGTAGAGATGGGGTTTCACCGTGTTGGCCAGAATGGTCTCGAACTCCTGACCTCAAGTGGTCCAACCGCCTTGGCCTCCCAAAGTGCTGGGATTACAGGCATGAGCCACTGTGCCTGGCCAGCCCTATGTCTTTAAATAATTTCTATGCTGTACTGCCTCTTATAGCTTTACCGTCAATCCCGATCTTTCACCAAAACTCCCTTGCTGGGTAAGTACCTGACATCTCCATGATGTACACTCAGATGATTGAGTGTATATATAGTAGGTATAGGTATCCCAAACTTAAAATGCCCAAAACAATGTTCCTATTCCCCTAAATTTGATCATCCTCAGTTTTGCATCTCAGCAAATGACTACACCACACATTGCTTAAAACAAACAAAAAGCCCTTGGAGTCATCCTTGCCTCTTCGCTCTTCTTTCACCCCATATCCAATGTTGGCTTTATCTCTCAAATTCATAGTATTCCTCCGCTTCTCTCAGTCTCCTCTGCTACTGCTCTAGTCCAAACCACCATCATTTCTCCCTGGATGAAAATCAGCAGCTTCCTAACTGGTCTCCCTGCTGCTCTTGCCCACCCCCATACAGTCTGCTCTCCAGACAGCAGTCAAAGCAAATTTTTAAAAATGTAGGCCGGGTGCAGCAGCTCATGCCTGTAATCCCAGCACTTTGGGAGGCCAAAGCGGGAGAATCTCTGGAGCCCAGAAGTTTGAGATCAGTCTGGGAAACATGGCAAAACCCTATCTCTACAAAAAGTAAAAAATTAGCTAGGCATGGTGGCAGGCACCACCTGTAGTCCCAGCTACTCAGAAGGCTGAGGATAGTGTGAGCTGTGGTTGTGCCACCGCACTCCAGCCTGGGTGACAGACCAAGACCTTGCCAAAAAAAAAAATTAAAATGTAAATCAGACCATGTTACTCCCCTGCTTACAACTTTCCAAGGGTTTCCAATTACACCAAGAATAGAATCCAAGCCCCTCACTATGGTCTAGGACAGAGTTTTTCAAACCAAACCATTTACTAGATTGTGAAACCAATGTACTAGGTAAAGATCAGCATTTTAAAATAAAATAAGACAGAAATATCAAAGTTACCATGTGTCATAAAGATAAGTATTATTTTATAAGGGCCAGGCATGGTGGCTCACGCATGTAATCCCAGCACTTTGGGAGGCTGAGGCAGATGGCTTGAGCATAGGAGTTCGAACCAGCCTGGGCAAAATGTTGAAACCCAGTGTCTACAAAAAATACAAAATGAGCCAGGTGTAGTGGTGTGGGCCTGTAGTCCCAGCCACTGGCAGGGGAAGGGGGCTGAGGTGGGAGGATCAGCCCCAGAGGCTGAGGCTGCAGTGAGCTGTTATTGGGCCACTACACTCCAGTCTGGGTGACAGAGTGAGACCCATCTAAAAAAAAAAAAAGTGTTATTTCATGAAGTTTTTCTCTCAGATACGTGTGTGTGCTGGACTGTGATGGAAAATACATTTCTTACTCTGGGGCCACATTAAAAGAGTTGAAAGCCATTGCCCTACAGGACCCTAATGATCTATTTGCTCATATCTCCCACCTAATCTCCCACTCCATCTCCTGCTCACTCAAATCCTTGAGTCCCACCAGCCTTCTTACTGTCTCCAAAGAAACCAGGCTTCTCCCCACCTCAGGCCCTTGCCTTTTGTTTGGAATGCTATACTTCCAATTATTTCCATTGGATGGATCCTTCTTGTACAGGTCAAGTCACTGCTTAGAAAGCCCTTCCTCTGACTGTTCTAAAGCAGGCCCACTCACTCCTCTATCATTTCAACCAGTTTGATTTTCTGATGATGCTGACCATATTTATTTGTTTGTCCATTGTCTTTCTCAGCCATCCGGGCATAGCCACAAGACCTTGTGACATTACCAAGGACCTTGACTGTCCACCACAGATCCCCTGTCCACATATAAAAGTGAGTCGATAAATATTAATTGATGGACTGTTGAATGAAAAGTGAAATTGCTTGTACATGTGTTTTTATAAAATAGGGACACCCCATAATGAAATGCTTAACTAATTGTACTAATGCTGCTGAGAAAACAAAGCTGCTGCTGCTGCTGCTGCTAAAACTGCACAGTGGCTGGCAGGCAGTGCCCCGTGGGAGAGCCTGATGTTTCATTTGTCAGCTGATTGATGAATGCTCAAATTTAGTGTGCAAAAGTTAATTTCTTGGAGTGCAATGTATGAAAATGCAGATTGGTTGACACTGAGCATTTAATAGTTAAGAACATTCTCATAGTATTTGCCTAGTGCCCTGTGGTTCCTGGCAACAATAGGCAAAAAAAAAAAAAAAAAAAAAAAAACTTTAAAAATCAAGTATTCATCTTGAACTCCTTTCAGCTATAGTGGAACCAGAAGTAAAATCTACTTCTAACACCTTTTTCCTGAATGAAGGAAGAGAAACCCAAGAAAGCAAGTAAGTAGTGGCAACTGTCAGGAGTGGCCAGATGGGAGAAGAGTTTGAATGGAAACTGCCCTCAGGGAGCCAGGCCCAGGGGCTACACAGCCTGTTCACCAAAGTTCTCCCAAAGGTTATTAGGATTATCGTCTCGATCTTTATTTATTTCCAGGTGTCTGATCATAAAGGGGCTTGTATGCTAAGCTAAGGAGGTTGAATTTTCTTCTAAGTGCTATGGGGAAGAACCTTAAAAGGGTTTTAAGCAGGAGAGTGACCTTTTGGGGGGTCTCCAGACTCCCAGGCTGCATTGAGCAGGGGAGGGGAATTGAGGGTGTGCACGCTTGGCAGTAGGAAGCACTGCGGCAGACATTCCCAGTGAGGAGTAATGAGAAGCCTACAGGAAGGCAAAGGTTGTGGGAACCAGAGATTGTGATGAGAGAGCCTTGTTCGAATCTGACTCTCCCTACCTACAAGTTACTGCTTCCACTTGGTGACCCTACGATGGTTCCTACGCCTCTTTCCTCTCTGAACAAATAAAGCTGATAATAGTACCTATTCCAGAGATTGCTGTGAAGATTGTGGTAATGAATATAAAAGTTCAATGCCTGCCACATAGTAAGTGCTCAATATACATTAGTTGTTCGTTTTTAACCAGGCACTGTCCACGGCGCTATTGATACAGGAGTGCCCGGAAGGGAAGAGCTAGTTCCTTTAAATGATGCAGAAGGGATAAGGGAAGTGCCTGAGAGAAGGGCGTGGTCCCTGGCTAGGGGTCTACCCCTACGGACCCAGGTGAGGACAGGCACTTCTGCCTTCACACGCACGCAAATGTTGCGTTTTCAAAGACCCCCCCTAACCTGCCATACCCCCATCCTGGGCCTATAGAAACCTGAGACCCTGGAAAGGTAAAGACATTAGCTGCTGGACTACGAGTGGAACACATCAGCGGAAGAAGACCAGCAACTGGACTTTGAGCGGACGTCGAGGCGAGCACGCCGGCGGAAGATCACACCGACAGATGCCAGGACGTGGGCAGGCCATAGACTGGCGGGATGAGGCAGAGTTTGGGCGGGGCAGTCAGAGGAGAGCGGGGGCTGCTGAGCAGGCCAACTCCAGGGGAAAACCATCTCCATCCTGGCTTCCACATCACTGAAGAGCTACTTCCATTCAATAAAACTTTGCAGCCAGGCGCGGTGGCTCACGCCTGTAATTCCAGCACTTTGGGAGGCCGAGGCGAGTGGATCACGAGGTCAGGAGTTCAAGACCAGCCTGGCCAAGATGGTGAAACCCCGTCTCTACTAAAAATACAAAAATTAGCTGGGCGTGGTGGTGGGCGCTTGTAATCCCAGCTACTCGGGAGGCTGAGGCAGAGAACTGCTTGAACCCAGGAGGTGGAGGTTGCAGTGAGCCAAGATAGCGCCACTGCACTCCACCCTGGGCGACAGAGCGAGACTCTATCTCAAAACAAAAACACAAACAAAAACAAACAAAAAAAACTTTGCACCCATCCTCCAACCCCACGTGTGATCTGCTTCTTCTGGTACACCAAAGCAAGAACCCGGGATACAGAAAGCCCTCTGTCCCTGCGACAAGGTAGAGGGTCTATTTGAGCTGGTTTAACACAAGCCGCCTATAGACAAACTAAAAGAGCACCCTGTAACACATGCACACTGGGGCTTGAGGAGCCGTAAACATTCTCCCCTAGACACTGCCTTGGAGTCGGAGCCCTGTATGCCTGCCTGCCTCTATGCCTCCCTGGAGGTTTGAGCAGCAGGGCACTGGAGAAGCGAGCCACACCCCCGTGGCACACCATGTGAGGGGGTCAAGGGAACCTTTCCAGTTTCACAGTGTGAGGCAGATTCACACCCAACAAACCAGAACAAGAGTTTGACCGTCACAGATGCTTTGAAAACACAGAGAACCCAAAGTTTATTCTCACCAGCAGAGAAGGCTTCACAGAGGTGGATCTGGAGCTGGCAGGGTCGGGGGGAATAAACAGCATTTTGAGAGGCAGGACTTACATTGAAAAATGCAATTCACTCCAATGCATACACTGTAATGCAAACTCTAGTCTTGATTGGTTAGGGTAAGCCTGTGACTGCGGCGAGGTAGAGGTGGCCGGGAAGGCCGTTCCTGCCTGCACTTGGGTGAGAATTGGGACTCAGTCACCTCTTCATCTTGGACAGTCGGTCTGGCCCCCTCTTTCTGAGGCAAGGCTCGTATCTTAAGCTAGTTGGAGATACGGCCGCAATCCTGGCTCTCAATAGGTCGGGGATTGAGGGCCCCTCAACCACAGGTTTTTGTCTGCAAACCCAGTTTCGGAGGTCCCTAAAAGTGTACAAATAGTAAAGCCAGGCCCAGCCGAGCCAATTCTTTCCATCCCTCCAGCGCTGCATGCTGATTATTTGCTCTCCATATCACCTCTCCTCAGGGGGCTTCAAGGAATCAGCAAATCCCCCGCATCAGAGCTACGAATCCCTAGCATAACCCATTCACACACAGCGGGGCGGCTGGGGATTAATTGGAGGGGGAATGTTGTGAATTCCAGAGAGTTCTTTCTTTTCTCCTCACAGTCAGTGGCCGGGGATATTGCTACATGAAAGCTTTGCTGTCAGTATCAATCATCATTGCCCAGGCTGCTACATTCCAAAGAATGAATTGGCCTCATTTGGTAACTCGACTGGAGCGGGGGAGTCATTCCTGAAGGGTCCACATTTGCGGGCCCCAATTCCGACTCCGTAAGTGGTTTCCAAAGACAAACAGAAACCCGGAGAGCCCAGCTTCCTTTTCCTGGATTCCCCATTTTAGTGAACCCTGGGAAGGGAGAGACCTGAAGGGAGGGTGAGACCCGTTAGTGCCTGGGCAGGAAATCAGCCAGAGCTTTGGCTGAGAGGAGAGAGACAGACAAAAATAGCGCATTGCTCTCTCATTGCTTTGATGCAGAGGCCGACTTTCCCCTGCGTCTCGGCAGGAAGGATAAGGCTGCAGGGCTCTCCCTCATCTCTGAGCTAAGTGGGGCCCAGGGCCTGCAAAGCAAAGTGAACCCAAACCTCCCCGTTCAGAGGGAGAGGTGCTCTAGGAAGGCAGTTTGTGTGTGTGTGTGTGTGTGTGTGTGTGTGTGTGTGTGTTTTAATGCAGTATGTCAAACGTTTTCCTCATGGAAGCCGTTGCTGGGAGCCCCTAGAAAAGAAACGAATTTTCCCGGGGATTTCACCTCTTAAGTCTGCATCCTGCATGTCTAAACCTTTCCCGAATTCTTACCTTTTTCAGTGCAAGATTTCCAGATTGCCTCCTCCTCCCCCATACTGTCTGAGCATTTCTCTCAACTTCTCCCAGCCTCCTCCCTCTGCCTTGTTGCAGAATTTCCTGAAACTCCCACCAAGTCGAGTGCTCAGAGAATGTATCCTGAGGGATTGGCAGGCTTCTCCACATGTCTTGGCCTCGCTCTGCTTGCTGTGAGAGGTGCTGCACTCTGACTGTCCCCAGGAACTGGAGCCCCAGGTGGGGCGGCTCAGTGGCTCTGGGGTGGTGTGACCCAAAGTGAGCCGCTGGCTGTCTTACCTACTGCATCCATGAAATGAATGCTCTGCCTCCCTCTAAGGCTGTGCAGGGATTAGTGGGAGAATAGATTTTAAAGAGCTTTGTGATTTGTAAAGCACTCAACATGAGAAATGATTATGAAATTCTCTTATTGGAAACAGTATTGGGTGAATTACTGATCTTTCTAAAGGCTTCACTCTGGATCTACCTGCATAGGAGAGTCTTGGTGAAGGGTATCCTGGGAGGAGTCGAGATAAAAAGATAAACCAAAACACACAAAAGCAAAAAGCAAACAAAACGCAGGATTATTATTATTGTCAAAAACTAAAAACAGAGTGATACGCCTGCAATATTTCAAGTTGCAAATGCCCAGAAGGTGACATTGTCTCATGTGGGCAGCATTCTAGACCACTGCTCCATTTTCTGTAGCTTCTTTGTCATGGCAACAGGCCAAAAGGCAGGTGATTTGACTATAATATTGAGCAAGTTGCCTCCTCCCTCCAGGCCTCAGTTTTCCCATCGCTAAAATATATGAGCAAGACCAGACATTTTTTGCATCTCCAACCCTTCTGCTTTAGATTCCTGGGCTGCCTTGGTTATGCATTCTAACTTAGCAACCAGGAGGCTCCAAGGTCATTTCATACTTGATAAAATATCAGTTTTACCAATCCTCATCTGGGAGGAACAAACTGAGTAAACAATCTAAAATAGCACCAGCCACTTAGGATCCCTTAATACTGCCTAATCATAATGAGAATGTTTCAATATTTGTAAATTAATATGGGGAGAAGTGTGACATTGTGCCTTAAAACACTCTGGTAACAATTAGCACAGGATCTCCAGTGCAATTAGCACAGTTTCTCCACTCCCAAATGCTTTACTACAAAAAGTGCCTACTTCACTTAGTAACTTCACTCTCAAAAACTGACAGCTAAAAGCCACAATCTTGGTGTTGCAAGAATCCTAAAAAAACATGAGGTCAGCATTCTGTGTCACCACTGCACCTCACCAAATCTGAACTCTTATCTACCCAGAGTCTTTATCTCCCAGCTGCACCGTCTGCCTGAAGAGACTCTTTTCTTCCCAGTTGCTGTCAGCTGACTTGTCTGTCCTCAGTGGGAGCCTTCAGGTTCAAGGCTCTGTCTGGGGACTTCATATACAGCCTTGACTATTATTCTGATGGATCATTTTAATTCTCCCCACTTTGATCAAGTCAGTTTCCACAACAAACAAGACTCACCAAAAGCATTCCTGGGCTCACAAAGGCAAACACACTTGGCTTTGCATCACAGACATCAGAGGCCAGAATTCTTCTTCAGCTATTTTAACCCTTGGCTGCATAAGTTTCCCAGTTAACACTTTTTACCTCCCTTCCCTGCAACCAGAGACGAGTTAGACTCCTCCAGGGAAATGCAATGGTTTCCAGCCTTTAATTAAGTAAGGATCCAAGTGGCAGATGCAGTTCACACACACTGGAGCCAAGCCTTGGCTAGGAAGGAAGATCCTTTTGCTCCAAATGCTCTGCAGTTCAGTGAAAGTAACTTCAGCTAATAAAAATAGGTCTGTCTATTGAGGGTCAGCAGCCATTTTAACTATTTAAATATTATCTCATTTAATATTCATGAAATATTAAGTAGGTGAAATAGGTGTGTCAATTTCATAAAGGAAGAAACCAAGGATGATAGAAGTTAAGCAATTTGTCCATGATTATACAGCTAGGCTGGAATGATGCTGGAGCTTAAACCTGGATCTGTCTGGCTTCAGAGGCAGGCCCTAATGTTAAGACATTCAGTGTTACACTTTAGCACTCGTTAGGCTGTAGTAGAGAGACTTTTGAATTGAGAGTAAGACCAGAGTCTAAGTCTGACTACGACTATCTGCAGCAAATCAAATTTCTCTATGCCTTGATTTTTCTACCTCTAAATTAGGGATAGAATTAAGTCATTTTTTCCCCAAACCTCAGTCCTTCATTTTATTACTTTTGCCATATCGTCATACCATTCATACTATTATTTCATAACTATTTTCTTTAAATCACTGTACTTTTTAAAAGCAAATAAAATATTTTAAAATTAAACCTTATTAAATTAAAACCCAAAATGACTTGCTCTAAAAGGATGGTAATAAAAAAATAAAGATAAAGAAAAAACAAAGCCATTAAATTCTAGCTAGATACTCTTATCTACCTAAGGCTCTGAGCCTTAGGCTAACCTTATGTTAAACTGGAAAATACGCAAGTTGGTTAAAGGCTCTGCAAGGTAGTTAGGGTATATTGAAGACATACCAAAAAACAAACTGAGGCTGGGCGCGGTGGCTCACGCCTGTAATCCCAGCATTTTGGGAGGCCGAGGCGGGCGGATCACGAGGTTGGATCATGAGGTCAGGAGATCAAGACCATCCTGGCTAACACGGTGAAACCCAGTCTCTACTAAAAATACAAAAAATTTAGTCAGGCCTGGTGGCAGGTGCCTGTAGTCCCAGCTACTCGGGAAGCTGAGGCAGGAGAATCGCTTGAACCGGGAGGCGGAGGTTGCAGTGAGCCGAGATAGTGCCACTGCACTCCAGCCTGGGCAACAAAGTGAGAGTCCATCTCAAAAAAAAAAAAAAAAAAACTGAAACTTTTCACTCAGTATAACCAGGTGGAAAGAGGATCTAAAAGGAAACAACTTTTTCATTACTCAATATTTTATTTAACATCTTGTCTGTGTACTACCTCAAGTTATCTCACCTAACTTTCTTTTGCATGCTACCAGTGGTCCCATCTCATATGTGACCAAATCATATTGTAGGATTCTCTTTCAGCATTTCCAGCTCTAAAATCCTTTGATTCTAATTAGAAAAGCTAATGTTAATGACTATTAAATTTGAAACTGAATTCACTAGGACTCAATGAGTATTTTCTCACCTGCAGAGAAAGTAAAATAAGAACTTGACAATAAACTATCACTGCTATCAATTTATTTGAACAGAAAAAAATATGAAGACTCTTCCCTGAGCTGGTGTCCTCCAGGACTGCAAACCACACCATATAGCCCTATAGCCATGTGATAATTGTCCATATATACCATGGTGTGCACCATCAGGTTTACAAAACATGGTTGAAGCCCCTGAAGATTCCCAATTCTCTCTCAGGTCAAAATTATTTTCATGATAATACTAAGATGTTCCAGTCTTTTTAATTCTAATTTTCCAGAAACTACCTAAAGTGAGATACTACAGATGGAATGCAGAAATAGATGTGAGAATCCACCTGTCTTCAATTGAGACAGACATTACAGAGCTTCACAAAATGTTAAACAATGCCACGATTCTCACTACATTTTTTTATTTGGGAACTATAGTTATTTTTCATAAAAATAAAGTTATTGGCTGGGTGCAGTGGCTCACGCCTGTAATCCCAGCACTTTGGGAGGCCGAGGCGGGTGGATCACCTGAAGTCAAGAGTTCAAGACCAGCCTGGACAACATGGTGAAACCCTGTCTCTACTAAAAGTACAAAAAAATTAGCTGGGCATGATGGCAGGTGCCTGTAATCCCAGCTACTCGAGAGGCCGAGGCAGGAGAATTGCTTGAGCTCAGGAGGCAGAGGTTGCCTCACTGCAGTGAGCCGAGGTCGTGCCATTGCACTCCAGCCTGGGCAACAAGAGCAAAACTCTGTCTCAAAAAAAAGTTTTTTATGTTAACATATAGTGAATTTATTATTGTTTTCTAAAATAAATATTTTCAAAATGTCTCAGTTTAATTTCAAATATGGGAAATATCAGTAGATTTAATCCTCATAAACAAAGGTTCTTTGGATCCTCAATAATTCTTTTTTTTTCTTTAGAGACATGATCTCACTCTGTCCCAGGCTAGAGAATAGTGGTGCAATCATAGCTTACTGAAGCCTTGAACTTCTGGGTTCAACCAATCTTCCAGCCTCAATCCTCCCAAGTAGCTAGGACTACAGGTACATACCACCATGCCTGGCTAATTTTTTAAAGTTTTTTGTTTTTTTTTTTTGTAGAGATCAAGGTCTTGATGTGTTCCCAAGCTGGCCTCGAACTCCTGGCCTCAAGCAATCCTCCCAAAGGATCAGTTCAACCTCCCAAAGTGCTAGAATTACAGGCATAAGCCACCACATTGGCTGGATTCTCAGTAACTCTTTTTTTTTTTTTTTTTTTTTTTGAGACGGAGTCTTGCTGTGTTGCCCAGACTGGAGTGCAGTGGCGTGATCTCAGCTCACTGCAAGCTCTGCCTCCTGGGTTCAAACCATTCTCCCACCTCAGCCTCCCGAGTAGCTGGGACTACAGGCGCCTGCCACCACGCCCGGCTAATTTTTTTTTTTTTTTTGTATTTTTAGTAGAGATGGGGTTTCACCATATTAGCCAGGATGGTCTCCATCTCCTGACCTCATGATCCGTCCACCTCAGCCTCCCAAAGTGCTGGGTTTACAGGGGTGAGCCACCGCGCCCGACCTCAGTAACTCTTAAAGAGTATAAAGATGTCGGGCTGGGCGCGGTGGCTCATGCCTATAATCCCAGCACTGTGGGAGGCTGAGGTGGGCAGATCACCTGAGGTCAGGAGTTCGAGACCAGCCTGGCCAACATGGTGAAACTCCATCTCTACTAAAAATACAAGAATTAGCCAGGCGTTGTGGCGGGAACCTGTAATCCCAGCTACTCAGGAGGCTGAGGCAGGAGAATCGCTTGAACCCGGGAGGCAGAGGTTACAGTGAGCTGAGATGGTGCCATTGCCCTCCAGCCTGGGCAACAAGAGTGAAATTCCATCTTAAAAAAAAAAAAAAGAGTATAAAGATGTCCTGGCCAGGCATGGTGTCTCAGGCCTGTAATCTCAGCATTTTGGGAGGCTGAGGTGGGCAGATTGCTTGGGCCTAGGAGTTTGAGACTAGCCTGGGCAACATGATGAAACCCAGTCTGTACAAAAAATACAAAAATTAGCTGGGCATGGTGGTGTGTACCTGTAGTCCCAGCTACTCCTGGGGAGGCTGAGATGGGAGGATCACCTTAGACTGGGAGACTGAAGTTGCAGTGAGCCATAATTGCACCACTGCACTCCAGTCTGGGCAACAGAGTGAGAAACTGTCTCAAAAAAAAAAGATTATGTCCCAACTCCAAAATATTGGAGCGTGTCTGAGGCCATTATAAATGGCAGATCTAAAGTATATCTGCTAGAATATGAAAGAGAACTACCATAATGGGAAGAGTAGGAAAACTACACAGTTAGCAATTAATGGATTATTACATTTAGTAATAATGAATAGTTACTATTTCTAAAATGATCAACTTAGTTATATCATCTGTGATCATTACAAAGAAAAATTAAGAAATTAAGAGAAAATGGGCTGGGCATAGTGGCTCACGCCTGTAATCCCAGCACTTTGGGAGGCTGAGGCAGGTGGATCACGAGGTCAGGAGATCGAGACCATCCTGGCTAACATGGTGAAACCCTGTCTCTACTGAAAATACAAAAAATTAGCCGGGCGTGCTGGTAGGTGCCTGTAGTCCCAGCTACTCAGGAGGCTGAGGCAGGAGAATGGTGTGAACCCAGGAGGCGGAGCTGGCAGTGAGCCGAGATCGCAGCACTGCACTCTAGCCTGGGTGACAGAGCAAGACTCCATCTCAAAAAAAAAAAAAAGAAAAGAAAATGTAGCAACCAGAAAATGTTAACATTATATTTATATCAACAGAAGCAGAATGTTGGATTCTGAACACTCTGACCGCAGCAAATGTAAAACATCTCTGTTTGTGTTGGGGCCTGGAAAGGAACATGGAAAATAGAAACTTTTGTTGGAAGTTTGCAAAGGAAAATTTTTTCTTTTACAAATGATTTTTAGTGGTGTCCACTAATTACTTTATAATCACTATCACATGTAGCTAAAATTTAATTTTTTGTGTTGTCAAGAAACTGCCGAAAGGTTGGGACACTACAGTCATGAATTGCTGATCACACACCTGATTAAATCAACAAGTTGGGCCAATATAGCTTAGCAATTTTACTAGCTGAATCCCATCAACTCTATGGCTACAAATTGGTTGTGACTATCAGCTGAGACCATGGCCAAAAAATATAATTGTCAATTAGTGTGTTTCATATAGATAAGGCCAAAGAGTATCCCACCTACATTAAATGTCTCAAGCTCATTCTGATTCTGGGAGTTCAATTTACAAAGAGAATTAACATTTCTCTTTATTTTAAGTGGTTTCTATGGATACTTTCTATGAAGCATTTCATTCACATCTATCCAATTTAAGCTTCTCATTTTAATTTAAATACACTTTCTATTCCTCCAGATCTGTATATGATACACACAGTTCATTTACTGAAGATAATCTATAAAAAGCATTTATGCACACAAAATTTTAAATTAATACATTTAAAGGTTTAAAGAGAAGAAAGAAACTCCTACTATACAGAAATTCATAATCTCAGATTTGGAAGTCTATTTTTATTTCCATAATAATCACTCAAATCCTGACTTGTAAAGAATCATATTTTCTGGTTTCAACATTTTTTGTCATTATTAGGTTCCTCTTTCTTGATCTTATTTATTTTGTTTTATTGGAGTTTTCTTGCTTGTCAGAGTTGGGAATAAAACTTTTTGGGGCTGAGTGTGGTGGCTCACATCTGTAATCCCAGCACTTTAGGAGACCAAGACAGGAGGCTTGCTTGAGGCCGGGAGCGCAAGACCAGCCTGGGCAACATAGTGAGATCTTATCTCTACAAAATATAAAAATAAAGTTAGCTGGGCAAGATAGTGCACACTTACAGTCCTAGCTCCTTGGGAGGCTGAGGCTGGAGAACTGCTTGAGCCCTGGGAATCTGAGGCTGCAGTGAGCAATGAGCCAGCCACTACACTCTAGCCTGGGTGACAGAGGAAGTCCCTGTCTCTAAAAATATAAATAAATAAAAATAAAACCTTTCTTGTTTCTACTGCATTTCAAAGTCAACATTAAAAATTTAATTGATTACTCCGGTTTCTACTTAGTGTAAAAACATTGAGAAAAAAGTTTTATTATTTTAAAAGAATAAATCAGGCGCAGTGGCTCATGCCTGTAATCTCAGCACTTTGGGAGGCCAAGGTGGATCACGAGGTCAGGAGTTGGAGACCATCCTGGCTAACACAGTGAAACCCCATCTCTACTAAAAATACAAAAAATTAGCTGGGTGTGGTGGCGGGCACCTGTAGTCCCAGCTACTTGAGAGGCTGAGGCAGGATAATGGCATGAAAACCCAGGAGGCAGAGCTTGCAGTGAGCTGAGACAGCGCTACTGCACTCCAGCCTGGGCAACAGAGCGAGACTACGTCTCAAAAAAAAAAAAAAAAAAAAAAGAATAAATCTCGGCCAGGCGCGGTGGCTCAGGCCTGTAATCCCAGCACTTTGGGAGGCTGAGGCAGGCGGATAACGAGGTCAGGAGATCGAGACCATCCTGGCTAACACGGTGAGACCCCGTCTCTACTGAAAATACAAAAAAATTAGCCGGGCGTGGTGGCACGCGCCTGTAGTCCCAGCTACTCGGGTGGCTGAGGCAGGAGAATGGCGTGAACCCAGGAGGCGGAGCTTGCAGTGAGCCGAGATCGCGCCACTGCACTCCAGCCTGGGCGACAGAGCCAGACTCTGTCTCAAAAAAAAAAAAAAAAAAAAAAAAAGAATAAATCTCAGAAATAATATTGCTAGTGTTTGCTAATGTAATAAAAACTTTTTATTTGTAAAAACTTCTTTTTTTTCCAAGAAGGCCTATAATACCTAAATTTGTTAGAGAAGAGATCGGATGCCATCTCCAGCTAAAAGTCTTTTGTTTTTTTATCTACTATGCAAACTTTATACACCTCAGCCTAGAAACTTAGGCCTTCCACATTGTGGTTCCAGACTCCTACCAACTTTATCTACCATCCCGCCCCGCACAGACCCACAATGCAGCCAAACAGGCCTACTGAGTTCTCAGAGTCCCCTTGCTGACCTCTGGCCCTTCACTCCCCATTCTCTCCCCACTTGAAATATCTCCTCAGGCCTCCAATGTCTGGTCACTGAATGTGATTCAGGCCCTGTAGTTAAAGTACTATTGTTACTCCTTACAGCACACTGCGCTTCTTAAGATTCATGTGTGTGTTTGCTTTATTCTCTACTTCTAAACAAAAGCTCCTTTACATTATTTATTTATTTATTTATTTATTTATTTATTTATTTATTGATACAGAGGTTCACTTTGTGACCCAGGCTGGAGTGCAATGGCACAATCTTGGCTCACTGCAGCCTCGAACTCTGAGCTCAAGGGATCCTCCCACCTCAGCTTTCTGAGTAGCTGGAACCACAGGCATGTGCCACCACACCTGGCTTATTTTATTTTATTTTAAATAAGTAATATGTATGTATAATAATTACACAATTCAAAAAGCACCAATGCAAAGGTTATGCAAGGAAATGTCTCTTTCCCACCCTCCTCATCCAGTTCTCCTCCCCAGAGGCTCCCAGCGTTGCCAATTCCTTGTGTATTCTCTGCCACATGAGAGAGAGAGAGAGTGTGTGTATTAACACAAATGGCAACACATTTTCATGTCATTCTGCAGGGCAGACATACAATAATCTTGGGCAGGTTGTATCATACACAAGAGCGTCCAGTAGAAAGTGGTTAAGGGCTAAAACCCAGCCCATGCACCTCTTGTCAAGCTGTGTTCTCTGTGGCCTTGCTATTGTAGGGCAGAAAATGTGACATCTTTTTCTCACCCAACCCAAGGTTCATGGCTAAGACCCCTGTAACAAAGACAGAGTAATAAGAGAAAGGCATATAAATGTATTTAGTATAAGTTTTATGTGACACAGAAGCCTTTGTAAATGAAAACTCAAAGAAATGCAGGAATTTGTGTATTTTTGTGGACAATTACACCAAAGTATGACTGGAGGACAAAAGGGTATGATCTAATGGTAATAAACTGGGAGGAACATAGCAAGGCCTGTTTGTTCAGTTTCTTCTTGGTGTCCCCTGATGACATTCTTTCTCTCTGGGAGTATAGGAGTGGACACCTATCACATGAGGGTGTTCAGGGAAGAAGAAATAAAGACAGAGAGAACCTTCTTCAGGGGAGAAAGGCCAGAGAAAGGTGAGGGTGGGCTTCCTGTTTCTGCTGTTTTCTCAAATGCCAAGGTGCTATATTTTAGGATGTCATGTCCTGAACCCTGTCACTAGTTACATCCTAGATACATCCTAAAGAAAAAGGGCTTTCTTCAAATTTCCACAAATACATCCTAGAGACTAGCAGTGATTGGTCCTACTGCATAATTGTATTTCATTTACATTTTCATTTTCTTTTAAAATATCTGTTTTCTTCATTTTGCACTACTTCAAGAAAGGACTTGCATTACAAATTCATGTTGGGAAAAAGATTAATTTGCAAAACCTATTTTCAAACACTAGCCTTTTTTTTAGACTTGCCAATTTACAAGTCATCAGTGAACATACTAAGTGGTGGATATTATTGTTTCAAATGAAATCCCTATGAACTTCTCAGAAGTCATAAAAATATTATCAAAAATCATATTTATCATGGTTATAATTTTTGAAGCAATAATTTTCAGAACTTTGACTAGGCTAAGTTATTTAGAGTTTATTAAATCTTTAAAAAACTTTTATTGTAATAATTACACCTTCCTTCTTTTCCTCAAATAAGTCTAAGACATTAAAAAATTTTTAAGTATTATTTCCATACCGTGAGGGCTCACTGAGTGTCAGTTGCAGAATGTGTCAAAATTCCAGGCTGTTATAGTTCTAGAAAGAATTCATCTTTAATGCTTCTCACTCCAGGGGTCCCCTTTTGATGTGTTTCTGCCCTCATTTTCCAAGAGTTAAATCTACACCTGTGTTTCTTCTCAGAAAGTTCATCATTCTACTTTGTAGCTTGAGATTTGCAGGCCAAGATCGCAGCTTCTGGAAGTAAGAATTCAGAAATTCATTCTTATATCCAATCACCTATTTGTATTTTTTTTAAATAAAGCTATTCAGGTTATAGACCTGAGATTCATTCCTCTAAGAATTTTATTTCAAGTGACCCTGTCATTCTTACTGGACATGTTGCATTGAGGTCAGAACCTCTAGAAGACAAAAAGACATTTCCTCATGGCCTATAAGGTAGGTATATGAGTATTTGTAATGCCAGAGACGTTTAGCATTTACTCCTATTCTATGACCTTAAAAAAAAAAAGCCTAAACTTTTGGATATTTTTTTACACATTTTCAATGAGTATTTTTGTTGTTGGTTGTTGTTGTTTGTTTGTTTTAGAAACAGGGTCTCTCTATGTTGCCCAGGCTGGAGGGCAGTGGCTGTTTACAGGCATAATCATTGTGCATTACAGACTCAAATTCCTGGGCTCAAGCCATCCTCCTGCCTCAGCCTCCCAAGTAGCTGGGACTGCAGGTGCATGCCATCACACACAGCTTCCAATGAGTTGTTATTGCTAGTTAAGTCATGATTCAGGGTCCCAGGATAGGGATCACTATGTACCCAGGTCCCTCTTTACCATCCTGGGAGAAGAACAAAGGACAGAAGAGAGGTGGGGTGGAGCAAGCTCAGATCTTCCCAGGAAACATGCCTTCTGCCTGGTACTTGTCCCAGGCTAAGACCCATAATATAGGGCAGAGAGTCTTGTCCACATGTACCATTCACACACAAAGACATAACCCCCTTTAGCAGTCATTGCCTTCTGGCAGCAGTGGAATTCCAGGTAGGTCTACCAGTAGTTTCTGGTCTAGTTCTGGCTGGGGAAGTTGCTGCCACAAGGGGCAGTCCTGTAGTTCTTGATTTGGCCTCCGTGTCTTCCGCCATGGTGTTAACTCCTAAAGACTCCCCTGACACAACTCGCAGTTCCATGTGACCCTCCAAAAAAGATCAACTTTTAGATTTTTAATATAAAAATCAACTAATATGTCAATTATCATTTGCCACCCCAGTGCTGACCTTCATATCAATTCTTCAAACAGTTTACCTCTGACCTCAGGCTCAAGGAAGAGTGAGTAGGAGATAATGATGATGGTGATGATGATGATGATAATGATGATGATGATGTCACTAGGGCTCAGAAATCATACCCCAAAATAAAGGCCTCAGAAGGAAGGTTCATCTCTGACCTTCTCCTGTCCTCCTGTGTCTCTTCTGTCATTCTCCCCAAGGTAAGCCATAGAAACTAGATTCCTCTTCCCCAAGGCGGGTCATAGACACAAAAACCCCATTTCCTCAAAGCCAGCCTTAATACCTAAAAATATTACTCTAACCTTTCCCCACCTTTCTGGGTAAGAACTAGCCATAAAAAATCTCTCCAGCCCTTCTTGTTAGATTGTAGGTCATAAGACTCCCAGCCGGAAAGAATTCTGCCCTGTATGCAGAAGGAATGAATGCTGCACAGAAAGGCTAAGAAGAACCTGAATCGATAGCCCTTGCTGGGTTTCCCCACTCAGTCTATTGCCATTAGTTCATACATGTTTTGTCCAATCACATTTCTACACAGCTGTTCCCCCTTCTTTTTTTTTTTTTTTTTTCCGAGATGGAGGGTCTCGTTCTGTCGCCCAGGCTGGAGTGCAATGGCACGATCTCAGCTTACTGCAAGCTCCACCTCCCAGGTTCATGCCATTCTCCTGCCTCAGCCTCCCAAGTAGCTGTGTCTACAGGTACCCGCCACCACACCTGGCTAATTTTTTTTTTTTTTTTTGTATTTTTAGTCGAGACAGGGTTTCTCTGTGGTCTCGATCTCCTTACCTTGTGATCTGCCTGCCTCAGCCTCCCAAAGTGCTGGGATTACAGGCGTGAGCCACCGTGCCCAGCCAGCTGTTCCCACTTCTTATAACCTAAGCATTAAAAATGAACAGCTTTCCTTTTCTCTTTTGGTCTTCATTCTGAAGTCTCCTGTGTCATGTAAAATTAGAATTAAATTATTTTATTTTATTTATTATTATTATTATTATTATTGAGACAAAGTCTCACTCTGTCACCAGGCTGGAGTACAGTGGCGTGATCTCGGTTCACTGCAACCTCTGCCTCCCAGGTTCAAGTGATTCTCCTGCCTCAGCCTCTTGAGTAGCTGGAACTACATGCACTGTGCCACCATGCCCGGCTAATTTTTTGTATTTTTAGTAGAGATGGGGTTTCACCGTGTTAGCCAGGCTGGTCTTGAACTTCTGACCTCAGGTGATCCACCCGCCTCGGCCTCCCAAAGTGCTGGGCCACCGCGCCTGGCCAGGATTAAATAATTTTATTATGCTTTTCTCTTGTTAACCTTTCATTATAAGGGTGACAGCTTATGATGTGGAGGAAAGAGATCACCCTCTTTCTTTCCCTACAATGATGATAATGATGACGATGATAATGACTGGACAAAGAAGGAGCTATAAACGTAATGGTTGCTTTTTTGGATTTCTAAATGCCAGGGAGTCAAAAGAGCCCTGTCAAAACATCCTGCTTCATATAAGGTAAGAGATATTCCTGGCATAATGTTCACAAAGTATTAAGTATTACTTATTAGTAATAAGTATTCAGACATTTTTGCCTTTCTCTGTATTAAGGGGGTCTAAAATATTTTATTGTAGCATAAAAGTTGTTTTGAGTTAAAAACATTTGAGAATGTGCTTTTTTTCCTTCATTATCTGCCTAAGAGCACAGCCTCCTATTAGAAGTCAAGATAACAAAACTGTCATTGTAAATCCCCTCTTTGGTAGCAACGAGGGAAGACTGACTCTCTTATCAGCTTCCTACCCAAACAAACAGACATTGTCACAAAACTATGGTGTCTCCCATCTACCCTCCTGTAGAAGAGGAAAGGTGTAATAACTTTTCTTACCCATCATAAGGATCATGGCCAACACTCCTATAACAAAAGGCAAGAGAACAAGAGAAAAGCATGACAAATGTATTTAACCAAAGTTTTATGTGACATGGGAGCCTTGAGAAATAAAGAGCCAAAGACCCAGGGAAAATTGTCTGTTTTTATGCTTAGGTTTGATGAAGAACTGACAGCCATATAGAAATGTGATTAGACAAAAAGGTATGATCTAATGCTAACAGACTGACAGGAGAAACCCAGCCAGGCCTGCCTTTCTGTTCAGATTCTTCTCGGCCTCCCTATGTAACATTCCTTCCTCCTGGGTATGAGGCTGGACTCCTCTGGAATGAGATTCTTCAAGACAGAAGGAGAAGAGTGGACTTCCTAGGTTTTATGGCATGCTTGGAGGAAGAGGAGTTCTGGTTTCTATGACCCACCTTGGGGAAGAGGAGTTCTGGTTTCTATGACTCATTTACTTAGGCGAAGAAAAAGAGACAGGAGATAGGAGGGTAGGAAGAGGTCAGAGAAACCCTGTTTCTGAGGTCCTTCCAATGTCCTTCAGTTCAAAGTACTCAGCATGCCAAGGTGCCATACTTTGGGGTATCAGATTCTGAGCCCCAACACTCCTAAGGGCCCATTTATCTTTCCTAAAAAACATTTGTTTTCCTGTAAGTACCCTTCTTCTCCTGTTAAGATAGTATACACGCTCCAAATTCTATTAACAACTGCCTCCTTGAGTGGTTATGAATGCCAACATACATTTGATATATGTGAACAAAAATCTGTCTTTTGCCTTGCTAATCTGTCTTTTGTCAGTTTAATATGCAGACCCTCAAGCACTAACCATAAGAGGGTAGAGAAAAAGCTTTTTTCTCTCCAACAGCATCATCTCCTTCTGGGAAAATAAGACTCACCCTTCAAGACCCAGCTCAATGCTGCATTTTTCCTTCAATAGGAAGTGTTCTGTCCTTCTTCCAACCTTCTAAGAAATTTGCTGATATCTCTTTTAGAGCATTTCTCTCATATATCTTACAATAATGTACCATTTGTTTCCTCTGTCATATTCATATATATATATATATATATATATATATATATATATATTTAAACAAAGTCTTGTTCTGTTGCCAGGCTGGAATGCCGTGGCATGATCTTGGCTAGCTGCAACCTCCGACTCCCTGGTTCAAGCGATTCTCCCGCCTCAGTCTCCCGAGTAGCTGGGATTACAAGCACACGCCACCATGCCCAACTAATTTTTTGTATTTTTAGTAGAGATGGAGTTTCACCATGTTGGCCAGGATGGTCTCGATCTCCTGACCTTGTGATCCACCCACCTCGGCCTCCCAAAGTGCTGGGATTACAGATGTGAGCCACCGCTCCCGGCCTACTTTTTTCTTTCTTTTTTTTTTTTTTTGAGACAGAGTCTCATTCTGTCGCTCAGGCTGGAGTGCAGTGGTAAAATCTTGGCTCACTGCAACCTCTGCCTCCTGAGCTCAAGCAATTCTCCTGCCTCAGCCTCTGAGTAGCTGGGATTACCGGCACCCACCACCATGCCTGGCTAATTTTTGTATTTTTAGTAGAGACAGGGTTTCACCACGTTGGCCAGGCTGGTCTTGAACTCCTGACCTCAAATGATCTTCCCTCTTTGGCCTCTCAAAGTGCTAAGATTACAGGCGTGAGCCACCGTGCCTAGCCTAATATACATGTTTTAAAGACAAAGACTGGTTCTATCCCACGTTTGGGCTTCCAGTACTTTGTATATCTAATAGACACTTGGTAAATATTCAGTGAAAGAATATGGCCTGGAAGGAAGAAATGAAATATGTCTGTTGGCCTCAGCATCAGGAATCTGAATAGTTCCTAAGCCGGTGGCAGTCACTTCTTAGCTATTAGCTTTGGCCAAGTCCCTTTTCATTCTCAGCCTCAGCTTCCTCATTTGCAAAATGAGAATAATAGCACCTCTGTGGAAACTTTCATTTTCATGGTGATTAGATGAGCCATCTCACTTAAACATCTAGCAGAATGTTTGGGACATCAAAGACACTCCATAAAGTTAGTTCCTCTCTGCTTCCTTCACACCTAACAGGGGTCTGTACTTTGAGGAAACTCAGTGGTCTTCACATCTTCATCCTATCTGAATATCACTTCCAGGAGCCTGCCTCCCTTTCTCCTGCCCAGGTTAAAATTGCCCCAAATAAGAACAACATAGGTGGGACAAATCCCTTCCAGAGCCGTAGAGAGCCAAAAAGCCAGGACTTCTGGAAGCTCCCCTGGTGTTCTAGGCATACTGTTAGATCAACTTGTCAGCTCACTGTTACCTGTGTCAGCTGAGAGAGGGAGGTTAGAATGGTGGTGGTGGTGGTGGTGGAGGGGGCTTAGCTGATAGAATTGAGCTTAGAAGATGAATGGGGATGGGTGAAGTGGCCACATAAGATGGCTAGGCCAAGAGAAAGGAGGGCTTTGGTAATGAGAACAATGTCTTTATATGTGTGTTTCTCTGGGAATATATATAAATCTGTGTGATTTTGTTCTCCGTGTGAATCTGTATGTCTCTGCTTATGTGTACAGGAGAATCACCTAAGAGAAATCCATCCATCTATCCATCCATCCATACATCCATCCATCCATCCATCCATCCATTCATCCATCCATCTATCCATGCTTCCACTCATGTATTCATTCAGTCAGTCATCCGTTCATTTTATTTAAATTAAAAGAGATTTCCAACCATCTATTCATCCATCCATTTATTCATTCAGTCAGTCATCTTTTCATTTCATTCAAATTAAAAGAGCTTTTTAAAATGCTTCAGGTACTAGAGAAAAAAAGTTAAATAAAATATCCTCTACCTGCAAGGAGTCTGACTATAATCTGTTTGCAGTTTGTTGGAAACAGACAAGTAAGTATTTTACAAATACTGTTCTAAGATAGAGGCTAGCACAAGATGCTAGGAAACAGACCAAGGAAAGAACCCTGGAAAAAGAAGTACTAAGTTGGGCTTTTTGGTTTTGTTTTTTTTCTTCTTTGCAGGTTCCAAAAATACATTTAGCTCCATATATTCCCCATCCCACCTCCTTCCACCCCAGAGTTTGTTTAAGGAGATTTTTTTCTTTTGACTTGTGCTAAAAACCCAGTGCCGCAGCATTTCCTCTCTGGTATAGAGGCCATCCTTCTCCACCAATTTCAATAAAATAAAATCAAAGTAACTTTTAGTTATATCACTTCCCCTTGTTTGTTGTGGGAAATTATGAACTCTTTGAGGCACCAGCACAGTTTCTTAGAATATAGAAAAGGCTCAATAAACATTTCCCGAATAGTGGGCAAGTGAATGAAAGAATGAAGTTCTCTACCTGTGCAAGTCTTATGTGTCACATGGAGACCCCTCCTCTGGATTCTCAGGGTCATGAGAGCAGCCTGACACTGGGTCTGGCCATCCAGAAGCACTTAAAAAGTGATAGATAATAGTGTAATTAGTTACTACCATCTATAATTACTATTTAGTGGGTGGTTCCAAAATATTTAACATATTTATTTTTACTTTTAGAGTAAATGGGTTGGGGGGTGGGGCGGGCAATGGAGAGAGAGAACACTTTCAGGCCATGATGAAAACCATGTGAGGCACTCCACAGCTGTTTTTCAGACCTCTGCAGGAGCACCATGCATTGCCTCCTTCTCTCAGCCAAATTCCAAGATCTAAGGGTTACCCCCCAGGAGGGAACATGCCATTCCCAGCAGAGTCCATTATCTCTTGCAACCTGTTATCTAAACAGATTGTCTCCTTGGCTCCATTAGATGAGCAGATAAGCATACCTGAAGCTCCTGGGGCGCTCTGCCATTTACATAAGATCCCAGTGCCTTGGGCCACTGCCTAGTGCCTAAGGAACCCAAAGGTTGTCTCTCTCAGAACTCAAGACTTTCACTCCTTTGCCTCCTAGGCATTTGCCAGTCACAGAATTCTCCACTACCAGGCCTCTTGGCAAACCAAGTGTCCAGACCAGTCTGATTCCCCAGGTTTAATCCTAAACCAGTAGCTTGCGTCTTCCTTTGCTGAGACCTACTTTGAAAGCCAAAAGGACTGAGTTGTCTGCAAATAATTCCAATGCCACCATGAGATTTGGGGTTTATTTTATTTTATTAGAAACAGGCTTTTGTTATGTCATCCAAGCTGACATGGAACTCCTGGGCTCAAGTGATCCTCCCACATCAGCCTCCTGAGTAGCTGGAACTACAGGTGCATGTCATCACACCTCGCTTTTAGGATTTGTTTTTAATAGAAGTGAGTTATCCATTAGCATTTGTGAGACATATCTGGAACGTCACCTCAAGTATGAAGACTGACTTAACTCACTCCAGCTACCTGGATTTTCATTTTGAAAAACTAATGTCTAGGCCTGGAGCTACAGTTTTGCTCCCAGTTCAAAAATGTCTGGCATATAATAGGTGCATAAGAAATGTTGTTCCAATTAATGGAGAAAATGTCAGTTTGGCCTTCATCTGAATGAAACATTTACCTTGTTTGGGTAGAGAGTTATGAATCTGGAGATGGCTGGTCCCTCAGTCTACCCGTTCAGAAAGAACATCACTCAGTAAATCATACCAGGCAGTCAGTCGGCACTTTCAAAAACTGTGCTTCATTATGGTAGGACTGGGAGTATAGAAGGAACAAAGGGAGTGTGTGTGTGTGTGTGTGTGTGTGTGTAAATATATATATATATAACTTGCATAATTTTAAATTTTATACAATAAAGATAGAGCATACATATGACAAAATACTAACATGAATGAACCCTTCATGTTATGGAAATATATACTACGTCTGTTCTTTTCTATATTCTGTATTTTTTGTTGTTGTTCATAAGAGACAGGGTCTTGCTCTGTCACCAACTAGAGTGCAGTGGTGTGATTATATCTCACTATAACCTCGAACCCCTGGACTCAAGGGATTCCTTGAGGCTGGGATCACCTTAGCGTCCCCAGATGCTGGAATTACAGGAGTGAGCTGCCGCCCCAACCATATATTCTATTTCTAGCTACTCTATATTTCTATTTCTGAAAATTGTCAATTTTTTTTTTTTTTGTCATTGTTGTTGTTGTTGTTTAAGATGGAATCTCACTCTGTCGCCCAGGCTGGAGTGCATTGGTGCGATCTTGGCTCACTGTAGCCTCCACCTCCCAGGTTCAAGTGATTCTTCTGCCTCAGCCTCCTGAGTAGCTGGAAATACAGATGTGCACCACCATGCCCAGCTAATCTTTGTATTTCTTTAGTAGAATCGGGGTTTCACCATGTTGGCCAGGCTCAAACTCCTGACCTCAAGTGATCCTACCACCTGGGCCTCCCAAAGTGCTGAGATTACAATCATGAGCCCCCGCACCCTGCCCAAAGTTTTTTGTTTTTTTTTTTTAACTATGTTGCAAGGATTTGATCACCTAGAGAATGTGGATTAAAGGGAACCAGAGCTCTTTCACAAAGGCAGAATGTCTTCTGCTCCTATCTTTTTGAAAATGTACACTTAGTCCTACATCCCTCACAACAACATGAAGTGTTCAATATTACACTAGTCATTTTGCAGATGAAAAAAAATGAGGCATTGAGACATTAATTAACCAGCTCAAGATGATACAGATCTATCTGACTGAACTGGGCTTCAAAACAAGCAGCCTGTCTTCAGAACTCTCCCCTTTAATCATTGTCATAATGAACCAGAACCATCTGTAACAGAGAATGGAGCAGCAAGAATAGCTATCTTCTGCCTCTTTTCTGGAGCCAAAAACTGATCTGGAGAACTTCACACTCTTTCTAAGGCCATGTTATCTCAACCTTTTTCCCCGCTTTTATCCCTACTCTCTGCCTATTAAGTAGACTTTTTAGATCTTTTCTGATCATTCCCTCCCCACGAAATTTTAATACCACATATATGCCTTATATCTGTTTACGTATGATGAGGGGCCACAAAACATTTTTATATTTAAGATTTTTTTTAACCTTCCTAATAACCAACTTTCACCTCCGTGGCGGCAACATTGTCCCCCATTAAGAATGTGTGTTCTGAGGAAACCAATATTGAAGATTTCTGTAAGATCTTTTATGTTGCCATTGTTTATCCATATGTCACAAATACATGGTGTGAAACAAAAATCTCCCACATAGACTCCCACAGGAAATACAGTAATGGGAGAATTTCGGTTCTTTCTCCCTGGCTTCCGAGGTTGTGTCTCAGGAGCAACTGCTGGGGTGTTCATGAGGGGATGGAGAGTGAGTAACACCACAGTAATTGCCTCAGAGCTGGAGACTCCTGTTGTCCTTATTATACAGAGCCAGTTTCCAATTACATGTGCTAATGAGGTCCAGCAGTAAGATGGGTAATTGCAATCCACAAGAACTCCCAAACCTCATTTAGAAAGCTGTTTCAAGCATCTCTTGAGCCTGTGAACCAGACTAGGATAACTATTCCTCTTCTTCTTGAACCTGTAAGAACCAGACTGGGATGACTGTTGATTTTCCATTGTTTCCAGCCTCAAACAGAGAAGGAATAACGATCGGGCCTTGTTCACCTTGCATGTTTTTACTCAGGGCATTCCGTGAACCAAGCACTTTGTTGACCCCATTCACAGAGATGTCTAGTATGTACCCATAGGCTGCATATGTGGTAGGTATCGTCCTTTCTATTTTGAAGATGTGAAACTGACTGATGCAAAGTGTTACCAGTAGGAAGTAGCACAGTCAGGGTTCAAAATCTGGTGGTTCTAATTCCAGGTACATTCCTTCATGGTATCTTCAAAGCCTTATGAAAAAACTGGAAAGACCTGGAAAATGTTCAATTCAATTGAATTCAGTGCAATTTGAATTGTTAATCAATTTAAATGTTCATCATTTGAGCTTTAAAGGTAGGCAAACTGGTTTTTTTTCTTTCTAACTATATGTCCATAAGAAATTTCCTTAATGGCCCTTGCATGTTATTCAAAATTCTAATTAGTAAAACTGTATCGTCATGAAGATTAAATGAGGTAATGTTATCAAGCACCTACTATATCATCTGCATCAAAATATCCTGTTTCCTACTCCATTCATCGGTTTGGTCCTTGTATCATTTTGTATCATTTCTTTGTTTTTTCCCCTTGTGGCCTTATTGTTTCCTGACATTTTAAAATATCTATCTGGCCTTCAGAGCTGAATTGTAAGAACTTCAGGATCAGGAGCTGTTCTCATAAAGATGGTTCTCAAATTTCGAAATTTTTATCTTTTTTTTTTTTTTTTTTTTTTGAGATGGAGTCTCGCTCTATTGCCCAGGCTGGAGTGCAGTGGCACAATATCGATTCACTGCAACCTCTGCCTCCTGAGTTCAAATGATTCTCCTGCCTCAGCCTCCTGAGTAGCTGGGATTGCAGGCACCCACCACCACATCCAACTAAGTTTTGTAATTTTAGTAGAGACGGGGTTTCACCATGTTGGTCAGGCTGGTCTAGAACTCCTGACCTCGTGATTCGCCTGCCTCGGCCTCCCAAAGTGCTAGGATTACAGGCGTGAGCCACTGTGCCCTGCTTCAAATTTGTATTTTTTTAATGTGTGAAATCTTATACATTGCACATTGACACTCAAAGTACTAAATTAATATCAGCTTCCACACATCACCCAATGAGCATGAATTTGAACTCTCAACTAGTGGTGCCTTCGGCCAGGATTCCTAGGTTCAATTCGGATGGCATCATTATCTTTATGCAGCAATTTTTGCTTGTTCTATTATTTGAATAGCTAATCGCATTTGCCCTTCTAATATGTGAAAAGCCATAACAAAAAAGTGATTGTGACATAATAAAAGATATCCCCTAAATGGCAGATCTACATCTCAAATAGATTATTATTGGACTTAAGCTGATATTTGTGTTCAACTGTGAAGAGTAAGAATAAAATTAAGGGCCATGCATGAAGCATTGGAAGTCTGTCTTTTCAGGGTCAGCCTAAGAGGAGAGGAGTAGTGGTGGGGACATGAAGAACACTTTAGAATTTTAATTGTGAATCTGCATAAAAATCATTGACAGAGAAGTTCAAGGGTTTAAAGAGACATAGCCAAGGGTAAAGCTCACACAGATTTCTCAATTAAGTAGAGATTGGCAGAGTTGAATTTTTCTTTAACAAAAATATTTTTAAAAACTAATACCGGCAGGGCGCAGTGGCTCACGCCTCTAATCCCAGCTCTTTGGGAGGCTGAGGCGAGCGGATCACAAGGTCAGGAGTTCGAGACCAGCCTGGCCAATATGGTGAAACCCCATCTCTACTAAAAAAATACAAAAAACTAGCCGGGCGTGGTGGCGGGCGCCTGTAGTCCCAGCTACTCGGGAGGCTGAGGCAGGAGAATGGCGTGAACCCGGGAGTCCGATCTTGCAGTGAGCCGAGATCGCACCACTGCACTCCAGCCTGGGAGACAGAGCGAGACTCCGTCTCAAAAAACAAACAAACAAACAAACAAACAAAAAAACCATGAAATCATTTCATAATACCATGAAATCATCACTATAAGTTCCTGCTCAATCTCTGCACAACAACATTAGCAAATTCTTCTTCCCACAGTAAAATGATTTGGTTGTTTTGTTTACTAAATGTCACTTTTAGGAAGTAAGTTCTGCAAGGGCAGGAATATCTGTTTTGTTCAGAGATGTGTTCTAAGCACACAGATCAGCACCTGGCATGGAGTAATCGCTGAATAAGTATTTACTGAATGGAATTCAAGTAAACTGAAGTTTAAATAAGATATTACTTTGTAAAATTATCTGTTATACATCTGATGAGAGGTTAATATTCAAAATATATAAGAAACTCAAACAACTCAATAGTAAGAAAACAATCTAATACAAAAATGGGTAGATGGTTTGAATAGGTATTTCTCAAAATAAGACACATAAGTGGCCAACAGGTATATGAAAAAGATGTTCAGGATCACTAATCAACAGAGAAATGCAAATTAAGACCATAGTGAGAGATATCACCTCGCAGCTATCAGAATGGCTATTATTGCAAAGATGAAAGATAACATGTTGGCAAGGATGTGGAAAAAAGGCAACCCTTATACACTGTTTGTGGAAATGTAAATTAGAACATCCATTATGAAAAAAAAATATGGAGGTTCCTCAAAAAATTGAAAATAGAACCCATGATATGATTCAGCAATCTCACTACTGGGTATATATCTGAAGGAAATGAAATCAGTATGTGCAATAGAAGAGACAGCTGCACTTCCACATTCATTGAAGCACTATTCACAACAGCCAAGATATGGAATCAACCCAAGTGTCCAGCAATGAATGAATGAATAAAGAAAATGTGGTATATGTACACAATGGAATACTATTTGGTCTTTAAAAGGAAGGAAATTGTGTCATTTGTGACAACATGAATGAGCCTGAAAGACATTATGTTAAGTGAAATAAGCCAGGCACAGAAAGATACATACCACATGATCTCACATGTGGAATCTAAAGAAGTTGGACTCAGAGAAGTAGAGAGTAGAATGGTGGTTACCAGGGGCTAGAGAGTGTAGGGGGCTTAGGAAAATGTTGATCAAAAGACGCAAAATTTCAGTTAGGTAAGTTCAAATTAGTTAAAATAAGTTCAACAGCTCTATTGTACAACATGGTGACTATACCTAATTAAAAAGGTATGTAACTATTTGCTGCCGGGTGTGGTGGCTCACGCCTGTAAACCCAACACTTTGGGAGGCTGAGTCAGGCAGATCATGAGGTCAGGAGTTCAAGACCAGCCTGGCTAACATAGTGAAACTCCATCTCTACTAAAAGTACAAAAAATTAGCCGAGTGTGGTGACAGGTGCCTGTAATCCCAGCTACTCAGGAGGCTGAGGCAGGAGAAATGCTTGAACCTGGGAGGTGGAGGTTGCAGTGAGCCGAGATAGTGCCACTGCACTCCAGCCTGGGTGACAGAGCAAGACTCTGTCTCAAAAAAAAAAAAATTATTTGCTATATTCAATTTTTTTCTCTGTTTAATAATTATGTGATCCTTCTATAACCTAGGAGTTTAAGAAAATCTAAAATAGATAATATGATTAGGATTTTATTATTTAGCTCTCACAGGTTCAGAAAAGCTGAGTACCAAGTTAGGCTCTGTCATGCGTTAGGCATGTAACCTTGATCAAGTCACTAAACCTCCCTGAGCCTGATTTAAGATAGATAAATAGTAACATATTTATGTAACAAACCACATATTTATCTTTGTATCTGTACTGCAGAATTAGGACAGTTTATAAGAATACCTACAATAAACTAAAGTAAATAAATTGCATACAGAAATATGTAAATACATATAAGTTCCAAGAAAAATACAGGTTGAGTGGGAAAACAAGACTAAGTAAAAGGGCTCCGTTTCTTTTTCAGTTCTTAAGATACAACCTTAGAGATTAATGTGAGAATCAAATGATTTAATAGGATGCTGTTTGATAAAGAGTTCATTGACCATGATGCACAGAGAGGCTGTATAAAGAGAAACAAGCCCAGCCATACCTCACATTCCAGCCACCCCCATTGGAGCCCCAGACGTGTGAGTGAAGTCACCATAGACTCTCCAGCCCAGGTGAGTCACCCTGTCCAGCACCACACAGCAGGGATAAGCTGCCACCACCATGCTCTGCCCAAATTGGAGAATTATGGGCAAAAATATGGCTGTTTTAAACCACTACCTTTTGGGTTAGCTTTTTATACAGTAATAGATAAACAGTTTGGTTTCATTTCTTGGTCTCAATAGCAGCAACTTTCGTCTCCTGTCTGGAGCAACTCCCTCTTTATTTCACCAATTATCACTCCACTATCTGTCCTTTTGCATCCATGGATTTTGAAGGAAGGTCAGTGGTATTGTGTGGAAAAGGCTTTGGCCTTTGACTGATACCTCCAAAAAAATTATCATGTGTGAATACTAAACAAAAATAATATTTAAAGCTGCAAATTGTTTGGCAATACAAAAATAGAAATCTGAGCCTTCTATTGACCAAAAATCAGAAATTGGATGTCACAGTGGCTTGTTTGCATTAGGCCAGAAGGAAGAAAAATGATATTAGTCATTCCCAGTGAGCAACAGTGAGAGATTGGCACGTGCACATGAAATGCAATCTCGCTTCCCATAGAAAGTGATTAAAAAGATTAACACACACACAAACACACCTTTTGTATTCCCAATTTTAATATATTGTACAACAAATACGTTAATATCAAGGAAAAGAAAGTAAGCCACAAGCTTTTCACCAAAATGTAACTACAGTCATGTATTGCTTAATGATGGGGATACCGTCTGAGAAATGCATCCTTGGGCAATTTTGCTGTTATTCAAACATCATAGAGGGAACTTACACAGAACTAGATGGTATAGCCTGCTAACACCTCAGGTATAAGGTATAGTCTATTGCTCCTAGGTTATGAACCTGTACAGCATGTTAGTATATTGAATACTGCAGGCAATTGTAACACAATGGTAAATGTTTGTGTATCTAAACATAGGAAAACTGTAAAATAGGAAAATACAGTAAAAATAAAATATCATATAACACACCTATATAAGGCATTTATTATGAATGAAACTTGCAGGACTGGAAGTTGCCGTGGGTAAGTTGGTGAGTGAGTAGTGAATAAATGTGAAAGTCTAGGACATTTCTGTACACTATTGTATACTTTACAAACGCTACACTTAGACTACACTAAATTTGTTTTAAAATATTTTTCTTTCATTAATAATAAATTAACCTTGGCTCACTGTAACTTATCTACTTTATAAATTCAATTTTTTTAACATTGTGACTCTTCTGTAATAACATATCTTAAAACATACATTTTGCAGCTGTTCACAAATATTTTATTTTTTTATCTTTATTCTGTAAGCTTTTTTTCTACTTTTATCATTTTTTTTTAACTTTTTTACATTTTAGTTAAAAACTAAGCACAAAAACACACATTACCTAGGCCTACATAGGGGCAGGATCATCAATATCACTATCTTCCACCACTGCATCCTGTCCCACTAAAAGGTCTTCAGGGTCAATAATACACCTGGAGCTCTCATCTGTGATAATAGTGCCTTCTTTTGGAGTACCTCCTAAAGGCCTGCCTAAGACCATCTTTCAGTTAACTTTTTATTTTTATAAATAGAAGGAGTACACTCTAATATAATGATAAAAATATAGTACAGTAAATACGTAAACCAGTAAGTTTATTATTATTATCAAAGTATTATATACCGCACATCATTGTATGTGCTGCACATAATCATATGTGCTCTACAACTGGCAGCACAATAGGTTTGTTTGCAACCAGCATCACCACACACGTGTGAGTAATGTGTTTTGCTCCAATGTTATGATGCCTACAATGTCACTAGGCGAATAGGAATTTTTTAGCTCCATTTTAATTTTATGGAACCACCATCCTATAGGCAGTCTGTCATTGACCAAAATGACATTATGCAGTGCAAGACTGTATTTTTATCTTGCCAAGTTCCTTTTCGATCCCTTTCCAAGTGCATTAACTGTGAATCCTTATTTTTAGCTGATTAATTATCTAACTCCTCTTTCACAGGCACAAGAACCAATGTGAACCCAAAGCAATGAGGAAGGAAGGCAGGAAAGGGAAAATAAGGGAGTGTTCCTTGTTGCCCTGGAGGCTTGGAGGAAAGCTGCTTAATTCTCAATTTATTTTTCTCCATTTATTCAGTCAATAAATGTTACTACAAAATTTTTAAGTACTTTTCATTTCTTAAAATTCTTCAGCTGTGTAATTACTTGTTCATTGATCTTCTGCCCAGTTAGACTGTAAGCTATGCGTGAGGCCAGAGGCCAGATCTGTTTTTTCTCGTTTTTTTTTTTTTTTTTTGGTTGCAGTGTTGCAGTGAGCCAAGATCATGCCCAGGCTGGAGTGCAGTGGTGCAGTCTCGGTTCACTGCAACCTCCACCTCCCGGGTTCAAGCAATTCCTGTGCTTCAGCCCCCCAAGTAGCTGGGATTACAGGCATGCGTCACCACACCCAGCTAATTTTTGTATTTTTAGTAGAGATGGGTTTCACTATGTTGGCCAGGCTGGTCTCGAACTCCTGACCTCAGGTGATCCGCCTGCCTCAGCCTCCCAAAGTGCTGGGATTACAGGAGTGAACCACCATGACTGGCCTCAGATCTGTTTTTTCTTAATCACTACTGTATATCTAGCGTCTAACCTAATGCCTAGCACAATGCCTTAAGAGGCATTTAGTAAATGTTTGTTGGTTTGAAGTATGGGAATTGCAAGTCCAGAGGACACATTTACCAAACTAGGAATGGAAAGGAAGAAGTAAGGAGAAAATGGTTGTTAAATAGTGGGTGAGAGTCTATACATTAAAAGGAGAGCGTGCATGCTCTAATGTACTTTATAATAAATGTGGTCTATTTGATTAATGCTGCCAGCTCAAATTTGGGTCTTCTGGAAAAAAAAAATGATGAAACCATCTCCGGAGACATTTTGTATTCAGTTCATTTAATATTTATACTGAGTTTCTTAAGTCAGCATCCTCAAGGAGACCAAAAATGATGGTTGGAATATGGAGAGTAATGCTCAGGAGGATGGGGTAAGAGCACTCCCCACTCACCCAGTCCTAGATAAATCAACATAGCCTGAGTTAAATTTAGGTACTTCTCTAAAGGGTGGAGGGACTACTCCAGAATAGTCCAAAAGGAAATAACATTCTTTCTCATCTCTTTCTCCACAAGACTCTAGCAGAGCTTTAAAAAGTAGGTTTCTTATTACAAGGAATAAAAACTATATAAATTAGAATAGAGATCAAAAAGAGACCCCAAAATTCAATGATTTAGTAAGATAGAATTTCACTGTGCTTTCCCATAACAGTCTATAGGTGGGCAGACCAGGCTAGTAGATAGCTCTGCTCAACAAAATAATTAATAGACCTAGATTCCTTCCATTTTGTTGTTCCATTATACCCTATTAAGGCAGTATTTCTCAAATGTTAACATGAATTTAAATCACTGGTGGATCATGCTAAAATGCAGATTCTCATTAGCAGGCCTGGAATGGGGCCTGAGATTCTGTATTTCTAAAAAGCTTCCGGGTGATGTTAATGCTGTTAGTCCAAGGCGCACACTCTAAGTAGCAAGGTGTCAGGGCATTGTCATCATCTTAATGGTCAAGGCTGGGTGACTGGCATATCTGTTCTCCAGTTTTCAGTAAGGGGTTAGAAAACAAGTCTAGGGCAAGAAGTTGTCACTAAGTAAACTATGTAGAAATAATATACACATCTTCTTTTCATATTCAATAGTCAAGGACTTAGTAAGATGGCCACACTTGGCTTCAAAGGGACTGACGAATGTCTTTAGTCTCTAGCTGGGCAGCCATATTACCATCTAGAAGGGAATTGACATTACCATACACAAGGAGAAAACTGATATATTGGGAAACAGTCAGCAGTTCGCACCATGAAAAATAAGGAGCCAGGAGCTTATATAATTAAGCAATAGAAATGAAATGTAACACCAAGAAGTAGATGTATGGGCCAGATATTGCACTGAAACCTATGAAAACAGCTTTGGCAAAAAGCTATTGGATCAGAAGTCAAGGATCATTGATAGCATTCCATTTTTAATTTTCAATCTCTGGCATGCTTTGCTTGCACATCCTCTGTGACTTGTTCGTAAGAGTTGCTGATGATAGGAGAGGTAGCAGCAAATGACTCTGAGACTATTTTAGTGACACTGAGTGGACTCTGACATGTGCTTATGGTTAGAAAAAACAAATATAAACAAAAATCAAGAACATAGCTAAGATTTCATTAAAGACATTAGGTCAAATACTAAAATAATCCAAGCATGAATTAGGAGCTTCTGGATGTGTTAATATATAACATGAATTTATATATCCCTATGGCCAACAGTTTACCCAGAACACATTTCAAAACTTACCTGCTTCTAACAGCATCAGAAACAAAATTTATTGTTCAGCCCCTTGGATATGACACATTTTCTTAGAATATTCAGTTGCATAATAAATTTTAGAAGCTTCCAGCAAAGAAAATTTCATAACTTTTTCTGTCATACCCACATCAATTCAACATGTAAGTATCCTCTGCCTTACACAAGATCTCTTTTGCATCTAATCTCATTAGAGTGACCGTCTGAAACACTTCTGAGCCTGAAAGGGGCATTATTAACAATTATGCTGGGTATAAATCCAGCATATAAATCCAGTTGTGTAACCTATGACTGTCCTGGGTAGCCCAGGATGTATAACTCCAAGTCTAGGTTGTACCTATCGTATTTTCTTTTCATCTTTTTTCCTCAATTATTAGGTAGAAGTAGCAGACATTAATGTATTTGTGAGTAAGTTTCTTTAAGATTGCAATGAATAGCCACGTGTGGAGGCCCACCCCTGTAATCTCAGCACTTTTCATTTCTTAACATTCCTTAAGTGAGGTGGGAGGATTGCTTGAGCCTAGGAGTTCAAGACCAGCCTGGGCAACACAGTGAGACCTTGTCATTCCAAAAAGTAAAAAAATTAGTCGAATATGGTGGTGCATGCCTGTGGTCCCAGCCACTCGAGAAGCTGAGGTGGGAGGATCACTGGAGCCCAGGAGGTCGATGCTACAGTGAGCTGTGATCACACCACTATGCTCTAGTCTGGGCAACTAAGCAAGACCCTGTCTCAAAAAAAAAAAAAACCAAAAAATACCCCAAAAAGATTGCAAATGAATAGTCAATAGCAGATTACCTTGGTAATGAGAGTTTGTTACAAATAATTTAGGTAATGAAAATAAGGTGAGGTTATGACTGGAGAGCTGTACCATCAGTTTTTTGGCTTGTTTGTTTGTTTTGAGACAGAGTCTCGCTCCATCACCCAGGCTGGAGTGCAGTGGCACTATATTGGCTCACTGCAACCTCCACCTCTTGGGTTCAAGCAATTCTCCTGTCTCAGCCTCCCAAGTAGCTGGGACTACAGGCACCTGCCACCATGCCTGGCTAATTTTTGTATTTTTAGTAGAGACGAGGTTTCACCATATTGATCAGGCCAGTCCCAAACTCCTGACCTCAGGTGATCTGCCCGCCTTGGCCTCCCATAGTGCTGGGATTACAGGCGTGAGCTACCGTGCCCAGCCGTGGTGTCAGTTATTTTTGACCCTAATCCTGTACTTTAAAGAATAGGATGTAGGACAGGGTTAAAATTCAACATAATTCAGGATAAAGCCTCCACTGTCTCCTCCTCTCTGTGTGCCTCTGTTGGGCAGAGATTTTGCCAAGTCTTCTCAAGGTACTTGGCCTCCCTCACATCAAGTTTGTCTTCTTCAATCAGTAATGGCCAGGGAACAAGGATGGGTTGACTCACTGAAGATGTTGTTAACTTTTTATAGAAAAAAAATACTTGAGGATCATTTACTCTGACTATAGCATGTCATTAAAGCTGCTAGTGATATATGACTGTAGCATGGACATAGAACTCAGGGACATTTCTCTAGTAAAACAAACTCGGGACATTGTATACTTACAAACAACCATAGGAACAAGCTGACTATCAGTCATAATTAGAATATGCTGAGAATGTATTATGGTTTCCTACTAGGACATCCCTTGTTTGTTTAAATCACAGAGAAATAGTGCCACTAAAAAGTATAAAAGAGTGGACATCGTTGAACTGGAGAATTAAAGAAAGACTAATTAAAACATCATAGTTGAGGAAAAGAGAATAAGCCTGGTTTCCCCTTGCAATTCCAAATTCCAGCTTTTACTGCTAAACAAAAGCCCAACTTATGAAAAGTAGTATAAATAAGATAGAAGTGTATATCTCTCTCATATGACAGTCTAACAATATGGGATAGTAAGACAGCTTCATAAAGTTAAAAGCCCATTAAAAGTTGGAATTTGGAATTGAAGGGGAAACCAGGCTTATTCTATTTTCCTCAACTATGATGTTTTAATTAGTCTTTCTTTAATTCTCCAGTTCAACGATGTCTACTCTTTTATACTTTTTAGTGGCACCATTTCTCTGTGATTCCTTCTATGTCTGCATTCTGGGTGGTGTTGTCCTCTACTACATGGTTGAAGGTAGATTCCCAACCCGTCTCCTCAGTCAACATTTCACCAAGCAGAAAGGGGGAAGGGTTCAAGGGCGAGACATGCTTTTTGCTTCTTCTGCTCATATCCCATTAACTACAAGAAAGGCTGAGGAATATCTTTGGTAGCCAGGAGTTCTAGTAGGGTCTAGCATATCATAGTAAAGGACAAAAAAAGAATGGATACTAGGAGATTACTAGCAATCATGCCATATAATAGAAATAATAACTTAATCTATCAATGAATGACTAGGGGGAACCTGTTGGCATTATTTAGTAACCTTATATCATAGGAAAGTAAGGCTCACAAAGGTTAAACGATTTACCTAAGGTCACATAGCAAGTAATCATGGGAACCAGGACACAAATCCATGTCAGTTGACTGCAAATGATAGGTTATTTCTACCACTCTGTGATGTCTTTCCAACTGCTTTTCATATAAATTTATAAAAAGGAAAATAATGGTAGAAGATATCAGTAAGAGTTATTGTCGAAGAAATGTCAAAAGGCAGGAATACTAACTTTTTTCATTGTATAGATATAGAGCTTTTATAGATTCTGAAGTATTTCGTTGTGCCTTTTTTTTTTTTTTTTTTTTTTGAGACAGAGTCTCGCTGTGTCGCCCAGGCTGGAGTGCAGTGGCGCGATCTTGGCTCACTACAAGCTCCGCCTCCCGGGTTCACACTGTTCTCCTGCCTCAGCCTCCCGAGTAGCTGGGACTACAGACGCCCGCCACCACGCCCGGCTAGTTTTTTGTATTTTTAGTAGAGACGGGGTTTCACCGTGTTAGCCAGGATTGTCTCTATCTCTTGACCTCATGATCCGCCTGCCTCGGCCTCCCAAAGTGCTGGGATTACAGGTGTTAGCCACCGCACCTGGGCCTCATTGTGTTTTTTATTGAAAACTAATATGCAATCATTAAAATTCAAATACTTCAAAAATGGTAAAAAGTGAAAATTTTCCTCTCCCCAGAAGTGACCACTGTTCATAATTTGTGTTTATTCTTGCAAATCTTCTTATGAGGGGTTTTTAAGGTTCTTTTGTCTATTTCCAAAGTGATCAGGTACCTAGCAATATTTATTTGTAGGACTAAGGGAAAAGAAAAGTCGATCAGCAGAACCATTCCTAGTCACTGAAAGTTGGAGTGATCCTATGGTTAGGAAACTTTGGGGGCAACTGAGGCCAGCAACAGAGAATAAGAACCGCGTTGCAGAAGAGGTGAAGCACACCTATGCAATATCAATAAACCCATTGTAAATGAAAAATGTTTTAAGTCAAAAATGCATTTAAGACATCCAACCCATCATACATCATAGCTTAGCCTAACCTACCTTAAACGTGCTCAGAACACTTACATTAGCCTATAGTTGGGCAAAATTATCTAACACAAAGCCTTTTTATAATAAAGTGTTCAATATCTCATGTAATTTATTATATACTGTACTGAAAGTGAAAAAACCAAATTGCTGAATGGGTATTTGAAATAGGGTTTCCACTGTATGCGTATTGCTTTCATGCCATTGTAAAGTCAAAAAATTGTAAGTGGAACCATGTAAGTCAGGGACTGTCTGTACTTGTAATGTTGCCAACAACAGTACTGTCTATTTGGCATCAATTCTTTCCCCACCTCCAGAAACCAACCCCCACACCCAAGGTGGTAATATCCTCAGTGATACCAACTTACTTCTCCCCAAAAGACTGGCTTCCTCAGTCAAGGTTACTAGCTAGAAAATGTTAAAGATGGGGCACGGAGGCTGGGCGCGGTGGCTCAGGTCTGTAATCCCTGCACTTTGGGAGGCTGAAGTGGGTGGAAACCTGAGGTCAGGAGTTCAAGACCAGCCTGGCCAACATGGCGAAACCCCGTCTCTACTGAAAATACAACAAATTAGCCAAGCATGGTGGCGGGCGCCTGTAATCCCAGCTACTAGGGAGGCTGGGGCAAGAAAATCGCTTGAACCCAGGAGGCGGAGGTTGCAGTGAGCAGAGATTGTGCCATTGCACTCCATCCTGGGCAACAAGAGTGAAATGCCATCTCAAAAGAAAAAAAAAGAAAAGATCAGGCACGGTGGCTCACACCTGTAATCCCAGCACTTTGGGAGGCTGAGGCAGGTGGATTGCTTGAGGTCAGGAGTTTGAGACCATCCTGGCCAACATGGTGAAACCTCGTCTCAACTGAAAATACAAAAAACAGCCAGGCGTGGTGGTGCACACCTGTAGTCCCAGCTACACAGGAGGCTGAGGCAGGAGAATCGCTTGAACCCAGGAGGCAGAGGTTGCAATGAGCCGAGACTGCACCACTGCACTCCAGCCTGGGCGACAGAGCAAGACTTTGTCTCAAAAAAAAAAAAAAAAAAAAGGGTGCAAGGGTGCAGTGGCTCATGCCTGTAATCCCAGCACTTTGGAAGGCCGAGGCAGGAGGATCACCAGGTTAGGAGATCGAGACCATCCTGGCTAACACAGTGAAGCCCTGTCTCTACTGAAAATACAAAAAAATTAGCCGGGCTAATATATAGTGTCTTTTGATTATACACTTGACTCAAAAGTGTTTGAAGAAATAATTTGTGAATTGGTATATTAGTTTCCTGTTTTGGTTTTTGAAACATTTAAGGTAGTGACTAATACAACTAAGATTTCTCAGCTTTTTCTTTTCATTTCTTTTTTTATTTTTTTCAGAGATAGGGTCTTGCTCTGTCACCCAGGCTGGAGTGCATTGGTGCAATCACAGCTTGCTGCAACCTCCACCTCCCCAGCTCATACAATCCCCCCACCTCAGCCTCCTGAGTAGCTGGGACTACAGGCAAGTGTAACCATGCCTGGTTAATCTTTGTATGTTCTGTAGAGACGGGGTTTCGCCATATTGCCCAAGCTGGTCTCAAACTCCTGAGTTCAAGGGATCTGTCTGCCTCAGCCTCCCAAAGTGTTAGGATTGCAGGCATAAGCCACCCTACCTGGAGCTGATTTCTCAGCTTTTTCAACCAGACATTAGAAACACTACCCATTTCCTGGACTCTGATAATTTTTTTTCCATTAAGCAACACGAAGAAAAGACAGCATGGGGAAACCAGTAAATTCAGAAATTACTTCCCTATCCTATGTGCATATAGACATCAGACATATAGACATATAGAAGCCAAAGTATGAAGAAAAGAAATTCATAAAGTTCAGTCATTTCTATCATAATTGAATCAAAACAATAATTTTTAAGCCACTATCTTGTCAAAGCTTAGGCATAACTTAATGAATAAAGAATAAAGTTTACTCCAATCTGCCACATTATTCTATTGATATTTTTCCATAACGCACTGAAATATTCACTTATATTTTTAATGTGACATTGTAATTGATTGCTTTCTTTTTACTTCAAAAAAATTTTTGATTCTCACACTTACAACTAAAATTGGTATTACTTTTTAAATTAGAAAGCATACCTCAACATAATTAAAGGCTTTTTATGGAAAAATAAAGGCTTTTTATTGGAAAGGAAGAAGTCAAATTATCCTTGTTTGCAGATGATATAAACTTTTATTTGGAAAAAAATATAAATACTCCATCAAAAAGCTGTTAGAACAGATAAATTTAGTACAGTTGCAAGATACAAAATCAATATACAAAAATAAGCAGCATTTCTATACATTAACAGTAATCAATCTGAAAAAAAATCAAGAAAGTAATCTTATTTACAATACTACAACAAAACCCCATAGGAATAAATTTAACCAAAGAAGTAAAATATCTTTAATAGAAAAACTATAAAACACCGATGAAAGAAATGGAAGAGACCACACAGAAAAATGGAAAGATACCGCATGTTCATGGATTAGAAGGTGTAATATTATTAAAATATCCAGGCCTGGCATGGTGGCTTACGCCTGTAATCCCAGCACTTTGGGAGGCCGAGGCGGGTGGATCACCTGAGGTCAGGAGTTCGAGACCAGCCTGGCCAACATGGCGAAACCCTGTCTCTACTAAAAATACACAAAATTAGCTGGGTGTGGTGGTGGGTGCCTGAAATCCCAGCTACTTGGGAGGCTGAGGCAGGAGAATTGCTTGAACCTGGGAGGTGGAGGTTGCAGTGAGCAGAGATTGTGCCACTGCACTCCAGCCTGGGCGACAGAGCGAGACTCTGTCTCAAAAAAATAAATAAAATAAAATAAAATAAAATATCCATACTGCCCAAAGCAATCTACAGATTCAGTGCCATCCCTATCAAAATACCAGCAACAATTCTTCACAGATATAGAAAAACAATCCTAAAATTCATATGGAAATAACAAAAGATCCCCAATAGCTAAAGCAATCCTGAGCAAAATAAACAAAGTTGGAGGCGTCGCACTATCTAATTTCTAATTGTGCTATAAAGCTATAGTAACCAAAGCAGCATAGAATTGGCATTAAAACAGACACATAGACCAATATAACAGAATAGAGAATCCAGAAATAAATCCACACTTACAGTTAACTCATTTTCAACAAAGGCACCAAGGACATACATTCAGGAAAAGATAGTCTCTTTAATAAATGGTGTGCAGAGAACTAGACATCCATATACAGAAGAATAAAATTAGATTCCCATCTTCTACCATATACAAAAATCAACACAAAATAGACTAAAAACATAAATGTAAGACCTGAAACTACAAAAGTACTAGAAGAAAACATTGGGGAAACAATATAGAACATTGATCTGTACAAAGATATTTTGGGTAAGACCTCAAAAGCATAGGTAACAAAAGCAAAAATAGACAAATGGGATTACATCAAGCCAAAATGCTCTGCACAGCAAAGGAAACAATTGACAAAGTGAGGAGAAACCTACAGAATGGGAGAAAATACTTGCATACTACCCATCCAACAAGGAATTAACAAGAATATATAAGGGACTCAAACAACTCAATAGCAAAAAAACAAATAATCAAATAATCCAATTTAAAAGTGACCTAAATAGACATTTCAAAAGACCTAAATAGACTTTTCTCAAAAGAAAGCATACAAATTACCAATGGGTATATGAAAAAATGCTCAACATCACTAATCATCAGAGAAAATGCAAATCAAAAACACAATGAGATATAATATCATCCCAGTTAAAATGGCTATTATTAAAAAGACAAAAAATAACAAATCTTTATGAGGATTCCACAAAAGAGAACAGCTGTACACTATTGTTGGGAATGTAAAGTAGCACAGCCATTATGGAAAATGGTATGAAGGTTTGTCAAAGAATTAAGAATAAAACTATCATATTGTCCAGCAATCCCAAGGCGAGGTATATATCCAAAAGAAAGGAAACCAGTATATTGCACAGATATCTGCATTCCCATGTGTATTTCAGCACTATTCACAATAGCCAAGATATGGAATCAACCTAAGTGTCCATTATTGAATGAGTGGATATAGAAAATGTTACATATACACAATGGAATATTAGCCATAAAAAAGAAGAGTCCTATTTGCAACAACATGGCTGGAGGTCATCATGTTAAATGAAATAAGCCAGGCACATACACACAAATATCACATATTCTCACTCATATACAGGAGCTAAAATAATGGATTTCAAGGAGGTTGAGAGTAGAATGGTGCTGACCAAGGGCCTGTAAGGAAACCAGTGGAGATGAAGAGAAGTTGGTTAATAAGCACCAAAATACTGTTAGGTAGAAGGAATAGGTTATGGTATTTGATATACAGTAGGGAAATTATAGTTAATAATCAGTATTGTATATTTCAAAATAGGTAGATGGGAAGAATTGTAATGTTTCAAATAAAAAGAGAAGATAAATATTTGAGGTGGTGGACACCCCGTTTGCCCTGATTGATAATTACACATTACATATGTGTATCAAAATATCACATGTACCCCAAGATATGTATAACTACGATACCTCAATAAAAAGTACCAAAAATTTTAGACAGCATGTTTACAAAGGAGATGTGGTGTACATACTGTATATTATGTAACATCCCCAGCAGAGTCTGAGGTAGCATTTTAAAATCTAAAGCATTGTATCAGCTAGCTATTACCTCAATAATTCATCATAACAAAACACTCCAAAACTCGATGGCTTACAAAAGCAACCATGTTTTTCTTATTTCATAGCTCTGTGGGGATGCTGTTCTGTATTTCTTCTCATTCTTTCAGGATCACTGATTCCCTGGGGCAGGCCTTCTCATGGTGAATAATGGGAAGGCCAAAGACCCAAAAAACTCAAATCTCATCAGCACATTTAATGCCTCTGCTCTCATCAGCTCCCCTCACATTCCATTGGCCAAAGCCAGTCATATGACTAAGTCCAGCTGTAGCAGGACCAGCCGCAGGCAAAACTCCTCAGACACCGAGTTAAAGAAAGAAGGGGTTTATTCGGCCAGGGGCATCAGCAAGACTCCTGTCTCAAGAGCTGAGCTCCCCAAGCGAGCAATTCCTGTCCCTTTTAAGGGCTCACAACTCTAAGGGGGTGTGCGTGAGAGGGTCATGATTGATTGAGCAAGCAGGGGGTATGTGACTGGGGGCTGCATGCACCGGTAATTAGATTGGAACAAAACAGGATAGGGATTTTCACAGTGCTTTTCTGTACAATGTCTGTAATCTATAGATAACGTAACCAATTAGGTCAGGGGTCAATTTATAACTACCAGGCCCAGGGTGTGGCACCAGGCTGTCTGCTTGCAGATTTCATTTCTGCCTTTAGTTTTTACTTTTTCTTTCTTTGGAGGCAGAAATTGGGCATAAGACAATATGAGAGGTGGTTTCCTCCCTTACAACGTTAGGGAAATATATTTCTTCCCATGAGGGAGAAGGTAGGTGAAGTGTTGCTATAAAATACTCAAATTAATATACTAACATTTCTTCAGTAAAACATATGAATATCTCTGCATTCAGTGGGATAAATACAAATTATAAATAACCCCAAGATAGTTTGGTTTTCAGAACCTTTTGGATTTTATATTTGAGATGAAAATCTCCATCAAGCCCTTGTGATCCTTCCTCTCTTGTCCTTTTACTCTGTAATTCCTACTCCTGAGACCAAGGGCTTCAGTAAGGATGGCGTTCCCTCTGCTTAAGGCCGCCAAAAGCTACTGTTGCTACATGTCTCCTAATGTCCTTCAAGGCATATATGTCATACACTTCTTTTGTTACCCTCACAGAACCTAACAGAAGCTCCGGATCCATAGGAAACCCATAAGAGAAATGCTTATTCAATTGGATTATAACATCAGTGAAGCCTGTAGACCCAATGCAAGCCAAGCATGAAAAGGTGTGAGGATGCCAAGGCTTAAGGACATTTTCTGTCATTCAGTTCTTGCATCTCATCCACTCCTACTCCATAAGTGTTCTCTTCTTAAAGAATATCTTAACAGTTTGCAGCTGTGTTAATCAAACTTCCCATTGTCTCTTTATTACATAACTCACACTTTCACATTTTTAAACAAAATGAGATAGTTACTTTGACTTCAACAATAGTCTCCTAAAATAAAGGGGGGAAGAGTTGGCATTAGAGTTATACTAACATCTAAGGCCAAGTAATTAGTGACTCCACTATTTTTCTATTCCCTTAACTATCTGAGAATCATGTATCTAAGAAGATTTGAAGTACGGCTGTGGATTTGTGTTTAAAGTGGAACATTGCCCAATAACAGTGCTGTCTACTATATATTTTTCCCTAACTCTTCTGGCCTAAAGTGTAATTAAAATAGAGAGCTATTACAACCGAATGGTTATTACTTGTTTCATATTACAGTAGGTTGGTTGATGTCTTCTTCAGAAATAAATAACTCAACTTCACCTGGAGGACTTTTCCGATGTCCCAATGTGATCCTTGAGTGACGAAATCATGGTTTCTTAAGTTTTGGAAGGAAGATGAAATAAACCCAAAGATTATGAAAGAAGAACAATAGAAAATTGCTGAATCACCAGCAACTGAACCAAACAAAAGAGTTTAAATAAATAATTTATTTTTAAACCTACATCATAAAAAATGACAAATCAAAGATAAATAAATCAATAGAAGCTTTGTAGGTCTCAAAGGAGATTTCTGGGCATATTTCTGGGACTTTATAAGTTGACGCAAATTCTCTATCACTTTTTAAAATTAGCTGGTTTATTTTATTACAGCAGCAATAAGGTTCAAAATTTTAAAATAAACAAAATAAGAAAGCATAAATTAAAACATCAAATTTCCCTACCTTCTATCTTTTCCTTCTCTGTAACCACGGACGTAACCTCTGGTAACATTTTCTTCCATTTATAGCCATTGAGAATATTTCACTTTCAGTGTTTATATTAATTTGCTCAGGCTGCCATAACAAAATACCTCAGTCTGGGTGGCTTAAACAGCAGAAATTTATTTTCTCACAGTTCTGGAGGCTAATAGTCCAAGGTCAAGATGTCAGCAGGTTGAGTTTCTTCTGAGACCTCTCTCCTTGGCTTGCAGTTGGCTGCCTTATTTCTAAGCCCTCACATTGATTTTCTCTGTTTGCTCACATCCTTGGTGTGCCTCCAGTGTCTTAATCTCCTCTTCTTTACAAGGACACCAGTTGGATTGGATAAGGACCCACACTAACAGTCTCATCTTAATTTAACAACCTCTTTAAAAGCTTTATTTCCACATACAGTCACATTTTCAGGTGCGGAGAGTGAGGGTTTTCACATACAAATTTTAGGAAAAGACTGCTCAGCCCATAACACTATCTTAAAAAGCAAAGCAATGCTACAGCAAAATGATGAAATTCCTGTAGACATATCTTTGAACACTTTTGCAGGCATATGGGTAAGATAAATTTCAATTTGGGGGTCAAAGAGTATGCTCAGCAATAATTTGGATAGATGTTGATAAATTTCCTACAAAAGGTTTGTAATAATTTATTCTATCAACAATATATAGACCTGCATAGTTCCCTTCAGCTTTGGGCTTACATAACCTTTTAATATTCTTAATTGGATAAAAAAATACACTTTGTTCTTCAGTTTATGTATTTTAAAATATTATATGGTTAAGTATCTTTTCAGGTGTGAATTGCGCACTCATATTTTTTCCATAAACTCCTTTGCCCACTTTTTTTCTATTGGGTTATATATCTTTGTTTCTGTTTTTGTTTTGGAGACAGGGTTTCACTCTGCCACCCAGATAGAGTGCAATGGTGCAATCATGGCTCACTGTAGCTTCAGACTTCGAAGCTCAAACGGTCCTCCTGCTTCAGCCTCCCCAGTACCTCAGACTACAGGTACATGCCACCACTCCCAGTTAATTTTTGAATTTTTCTTTTGTAGAGGCCATAGGGTCTGGCTATGTTGACCAGGCTGGTTTCAAACTCCTGGCCTCAAGGAATGCTCCAGCCTCAGCCTCTCAAAGTGCTGGGATTACAGGTTTGAGCCACCATGCTCAGCCTTACCTTTTATTTACTTATTTGGAAGAATTTTTTTTATATTAAGGTGCCTTGTCGTATTTGTTGCAAATATTTTTTCCCAATATGTGCTTGTCTTCTATTTGACCTTTTTTCACGGCAGAGTGTTAAAATTGATAGAAATTGAAAATGTTAAGATTAAAATGTAGATATTAATCTTTTTCTTTTGGCTTGAGGACTTTGAAATAAGTTTAGAAAGGCATTTCCTATACCAAGTTTATGTTTGGATTAGTATTATTCATGTTCTTGCTTATTATTTTGGGATTTCTTTTATTCACATCTTAATAGAGAAGAAGGAAGGGTAAAATCCAGGTTTATGTTTTTCAAATGTTCAATCAGTATTACCAACATTATTTATTTAATAATTTATATTTTTCTCATTTATTAAAAATGTGACTTTTATCATTTTATTATTAAACTCAGATAATTACTCCAGATTATTTATGGATTTGTTCATCTATCTCATTGATCTTTTTTGTTTATTTGTGGTCAGAAAGAAAGTTCAGATACTTTAAAGCAACACTTTATCTGATGTACTCAACCCACCTCATGATTCTTCTCTTTTCAAATATTTTCCTACGTGTTTATTTTGTCATATAAATTTTAGCATCATTTCATTCAAATTTCAAAAATCTTCAAAAAACTTTGTTTATATTTTTGATAGGAATTGCTTTATAGTTTAGATTAATTCAAAAATAACTCTTTCAAAATATTGATTCATCAGATGGAAACCATCATTCTCAGCAAATTATCACAAGAACAGAAAATCAAACACCGCATGTTCTCACTCATAAGTGGGAGTTGAACAAGGAGAACACATGGACACAAGGGAAGGGAACACCACACATCCAGACATCTGGGCCTGTTGGGGGGTGGGGGGCTAGGGGAGGGATAGCATTAGAAGAAATGCCTAACGTAGATGACGGGTTGATAGGTGCAGCAAACCACCATAGCACGTGTATACCTATGTAACAAAACTGCACATTTTGCACGTGTACCCCAGAACTTAAAGTAAAAAAAAAAATTGTATGCAGAGAAGTAACATAGGAACATAAACTTTAGAAAAATGTTACTAATCAGATAACTTTGAATAAACCACTTAATCCCACTAAAAAATAGATAGGTAGGTAGGTAGATAGACAGATATAGATAGATAGATGATAGATATAGATAGATAGATAGATAGATAGATAGATAGATGATAGATAGATAGATAGATAGATAGATAGATAGATAGATAGATTCATCTATCCAAACAAAAGATGTCTTTTCATTTAACTCATTTTTAAAAATTTTGACTCAGTGAAATTTTAAATTTTCATGCTTTCTTATTAGATTCATTCCTAGAATAGTTATTGTGAATGAGATATTCTTCTCCATTCTACTTTCTAGCAGATAATCATTATTCTAAAGTAAAGTACTGGACTTTTTTTTTTTTTTTTTTTTTGAGATGGAGTCTCACTCAGTCGCCCAGGCTGGAGTGCAGTGGCGCAATCTTGGCTCACTGCAACCTCCACCTCCCAGGTTCAAGCAATTCTCCTGTCTCAGTCCCCCAAGTAACCAGGACTACAGGTGCGCACCACCACGCCCGGCTAATTTTTTGTAGTTTTAGTAGAGGTGGGGTTTCACCATGTTGGCCTGGCTGGTCTCAAACTCCTGACCTCACATGATCCACCTGCCTCAGTCTCCCAAAGTGCTGGGATTACAGGCATGAGGCACCACATCCAGCCAAGTAATTGACTTTTAATTATTGTGATTAGCTTTATTATTGCTTGAATTATTTTTATTTGAATTTTTAGATTTATAATTGTATCAATCACACATAATTCTAAGTTTGTTTCCTTCTTGTTTCTCTTTTTATTCTCTTCTTCAGTTGCAATGGCTAGCATCTCCAAAATAAATATCAAATAATAATGGTGATTTCAATTCTAGATTGTACTAGAGAAATTCACCAATACAATAAAGCAAGCAAACAAAATGAAAGCTATAAAGTTTGGAAACAGAAGTAAAATTATTATTGTTCATATATGACATGATTGTTTATGTAAAAAAATTGAAAAAATCTACAAACAAATTATAAGAATACATTTATTTTGTAAGGTCAGTGGATAGAAGGTTGATATAGAAAATCAATTTTATTTATATGTACTACACAACTAGAAAATAAAAAAAATTTAATACTTTTTATAATAGCACTGGAATTTTCTGTGTTTGGGTATAAAAGTAATAAAAGTAGTACAATATCTCTTCCTTAAAAATAATAAAATATAGGCTGGGTGCAGCATCTCATGACTGTAATTCCAGCACTTTGGGAGGCTGAGGCAGGAGTATCACTTGAGGTCAGAATTTCGAGACCAGCCTGGGCAACACAGCCAGACCCCACCTCAAAAAAAATAATATATATATATTTTTTAAGTTAGCTGGGAGTGGTGGCTCATACCTGAATTCCTAGCTACAGGGTAGGCTTAGGCAAGGTAATCACCTGAGCCCAGGAGATTGTGACTGCAGAGAGCTATGATTGTGCCACTTCACTCCAGCCTGGGTGACAGAGTGAGACCTTGTCTCAAAAAAGAAAAGATAAAATATGGCCAAGAAAAATTTCTAAAAGACCCTTTTAAATCAAATGGAAGAAATCACATGTTTATTGATTGTAAGCTCAATAAACTTGCAATCTTGATGCCTGTTCCTGAAAAACACCATTAAAAAAAAAAACAAAAACGGAAAAGACAGATCACAGACCAAGAGATGATATTTTCAATACAAATCTTGAAAAAGTATCTGCGTCCAGAATATATAAAGAACTTCTACAAATAAGTAAAGACAAAAATGGTGATCAATTTAAAAAATAGAAAAAAGACTTGGACAGACATTTTACAAAAGAGGATATCTCAATGAACAAAAGGCAACAGCATAGTCATCACAGAATACATATTGAAACTCTAATCATATACCCATATATCCCCACCAGAATGGCTAAAATTAAAAAGACTGACACTGCTAAGTGTTGATGAAGATGTGGAACAATTGGAACTTGATTTGCTAGTGTAAATGTATGTTGGCATATCTACTTTGGAAAATTATTACAGTACAGTAACATTAAATACACCCATATTTCTGTAGCCCAGCAATTCTTCTTTTGCATAGATATTTAACACAATGGAATAGTCATGTCAACCAAAAGACAAATACAACAATGCTTACAGTAGCTTTATTCATAATAGCAAAAACTGGAAGAAACTCAAATGTCATATAAACTGTGATAATATTTACACAACGAAATGAAATAAGCAAAATACTGCTACATGCAATAACAAAGATAAGTATCACAGACATCATGTTAGGCAGCAAATGCTAGTTATGAAAGAATACAAATACATATTATGAAGCTCAAAAAGAAGAAAAACAGATCGATGGTGAGAAATGTGAAAAAAGTTCACACAACTTTAGGATTAAGAAGGAATAATCAACTAGGAGTGAGCACAGAAAAGCCCTTCGAGATGGTAGAAATGTTTTGTATCTTGATCTGGGTGGTTCCATATCTAATATATTTATTTGTTCTGGGCTGAATTGTGCCCCTCCCCCAATTTATATGTTGAAATCCCAACTCCCAGTACTAAAGAATGTGACCATGTTTGAATACAAGGTCTTTAAAGAGGTGATTAAGTTAAAAGAGGCCTTTAGAATACGGCCATAGTCCAATATGACTGGCACCCTTATAAGAAGAAGAGGAAGCCAGGCACAGTTGCATGTACCTGTAAACCCAGCTATTTCAGAACCTGGAGCAGGAGGATCGCTGGAGTCCATGAAACCTGGGTAACATTGCAAGAGCCCATCTCAAAAAAAAGGAGCAGGGAGAAGACATCAGGGGTACAGCACACACCCAAAGGAAAGACCCTGTGAAGAGACAGCAAGAGGGTGGTCATCTGCAGGCTGAGGAGAGAGGCCTCAGGAATCCAAGGTGCCAACCCCGCTGACACCTTGTTCTTGGACCTCCAGCCTCCAGAACTGTGAGAAAATAAATTTGCATTGTTTAAGTCTCCCAGTCTGTGATGTTTTGTTATTGTGGCCTGGTATAGTTTGGATCTGTGTCCTCTCCCAAATCTCATGTCAAATTGTAATCCCCAGTGTTGGAGAAGGGGCCTGGTGGGAGGTGATTGTATCATGGGGAAGATTTCCCCCTTGCTGTTCTCATGATAGTGAGTGAGTTCTCACAAGATCTGGTTGTTTCCCCCTTTGCTCGCTTCTTCCTGCTCCAGACATGTAGGACATGCCTGCTTCCCCTTTGCCTTCCGCTATGATTGTAAGTTTCCTGAGGCCTTCCCAGTTATGCTTCTTGTACAGCCTGTGGAACTGTGAGCCAATTAAACCTCTTTCCTTTATAAATTACTCATTTCAAGTATTTCTTTTTTTGTTTTTGGTGTTTTGTTTTATTTTGAGACAGGGTCTCACTCTGTTGCTCAGACTAGAGTGCAGTGGCGTGATCTCACTCTGTCTCGCTCTGTGGCCCAGGCTGGAATGCATTGGCATGATCCCCGCTCACTGCAACCTCCACCTTCTGGGTTCAAGCAATTCTCCTGCCTCAGCCTCCTGAGTAGCTGGGACCACAGGCATGCACCACCACACCTGGCTAATTTTTGTATTTTTAGTAGAGATGAGGTTTCACCATGTTGGCCAGGCTGATCTCACCGTAACCTCCGACTCCCATGCTCTCTGCCTCAGCCTCCCAAGTAGCTGGGATTACGCACCACTACCACCTGGCTAATTTTTGTATTTTTAGTAGACACAGGGTCGCACCATGTTGGCCAGGCTGGTCTTGAACTCCTGATCTCAAATGATCTACCCGCCTTGGCCTCCCAAAGTTCTGGGATTACAGGTATGAGCCACCACTCCTGGGCCTTCAAGTATTTCTTTATAGCCATGTGAGAACAGACTAATACACAGCCCTAGCAAACTAATACGGTATTCATATGTAAAAATTCATCAATGTGTGCTCCTATGATTTGTGTACTTTACTGTATGTAAGTTATATAGCAACCAATTAATTGTTTTCTTCTAGCAAACAGCTCAAATTACTCCTAACACATCCATTCTACTCTTCACCACAAACCTGTCTCATAGTTTATTCATCATTTTCTGCATGGCCCATTACTATTTCTGATTGTATTTTAACTCTACCTTAGCTTTTTCAGCTGTTGCATTTTGCTGTATTTTTCTAAAGATAAGAAGAGAAATGGTGGGAGAGTGTAGAATTAGTATAATCTTGTTATTTTGAGCACTTCAGTGAGCTATAAATTAGGGTCTGCTTTCTAGATCTACTGATAATTGTTTGAACAACTTTGGATGCTTCTACTTCTGGATTCCCTCACGGAAAATGGTGATAATTATAAATAGCCAGATCTCCAAGGTTGTAAATATTACTAAGATAGCATCTTAAAATTGGTGCTATACAAATATAGAAGGCATCATTCTTCCCAGTTCAGTAATAAACATGGCTTAATCTTAATGAGAACATCATCTCTCCACCCTCGTTGTGTTCCTATCTCACATCACTGTAGATCTCCAAAGCAATATGCTGGAGACACAAAGGTGTGTGCTAACTCTTCAGCTAGACGTATGGTCTTTAGGAGTTACTGCTCCCTGATTTTGCCCCTTGCTTGTTTAGATTTTTCCTTTTTGTCTATCTGGAGAACACCTACTCATATTTCAAAACTTATCTAGAACTCTAAAGATTTATCTGAACTCTTTCCTCTCCTGTAATATAAAATAAGCCACTCTTTCCTTGTTCCTACTTTCAATACCAATGTTGCCTCATGTGGAAATATGAGGATGACTTCTAGTACTGCTAACCATAGCTGCCCCTTAATGTTACCACGTCCCAGGCACTGATCTAAGTTCTTCATATGTATATATATTATATATAACATATATATTATATATATAGACTTGAAATCCTAACAGCAATCATATAATGTTCATACTATGAAAAAAAGAGGCATAAATTGTTTAAATGCATTTCCTAAAGTCACACGTGAAGTAAACAGCAAAGCCAGGCTTTGGACAAAGTCTGTGTGGCTCTAGCATCTGTTCTCTTAACCTCTATGCAATTCTACCTGTCCCATTATTGTGCTTCTTGCTTTTTAACCCCTTTTCTAGACTTTTATGTCCTTCAGGGTGGAAACATTCTCTGATGTATCTAGTGTCTTGCACATATTAGGTGCTCAATAAACATTTGCTGAATGGGTAAATGGTATATTATTCAATAGAGACACTTTCACTCTCATACTGAAAACATGCCTTCAAATTTGTATTAAATAGTCTGAGGAATCTAGAATTTCAAGGAATTCTGAAACAAGTTTCTTAGAAGAGTACATACATACTCTTTTGTAGTGAATATTCACTTCCAGGTTTCTCTGAGAAAACGTTTGAATTTTTATTTGGGTTTATTTAAGCAAAGTTCATTTGCAAAGATAATCAAGGAGAAAAGTATTGCCTACCTCACAGCAAGTATTGGGAAGATTAAATGAAGTAAAACACGTAATATATTCAGAGCAGTGCCTGGTACATAGAAAAACTAAAGGAATATTACCGTTACTGTTATTAGAATCAAAGACAGAAGAGAGTAACTGTTAAGTGCATGGACTTTGATACCACACTGATTGGATTCAAAGCCTAGCTCCAGTGTTTATTAGTTATGTGATCTTGAGTAAGTTACTAATCCTCTCTGAGCCAACGTTTCTCCAGTATGTAAAATAGAATAATAATAGTATGGATCTCAAATGGTTGTGGTGAAGATAAAATGTTCTAAGTGATATATATGAGTTTATTTAGAACATTTAATCCTCACAAGTATTTGAGATGCATACTATTCCTATTTTGCTTCTAAGTGTTATATATTAATATATTTCTTCTGTCTACTTGTCTGTTTATCTCACTTCAAAAGTGCCCATCACTTAGCATGTATGTGTTTGGTCTTATTATTATGCCATATTATTTATGACACCTGACAAATAATATGTTCATTACCTGTTGACTACATTAACTTAAAAGTCTAGGATGATTTCTGGGTTTTCATCTTGGGCCTCTGGATGGCCAGCAGTTTAAAACAGGTAATACAAGAGGAGGAATACCATGGGATCACAGCTTGGTGGTACCACTTTAGGAATGAACTGATCTGTCCCAACGATTATGTTACAAGGGGAAAGATCTGAGCTTGGCTGTGAGTTACACACCACAAAGTACGAGGTCCCACATTGATGAATCGGGGAAAAAAAGATAATCTAAAGTAACTAGATCTTAGAGTACTCTGTGAGATTTTGCTAGATACGAGCTTAAAAAGATAGGCTTTATTTATAGGCAATCAGACGATACTGCCAGCCTCTATTCAGAACAGAGAAAAACAGATCAGTGTTTTGTAATGACCACACTCTGAAAACAGTTTGCAAACTATATTATCTATCATAAGAAACCAGAGATTGGAGGCCTGATAGTGAAGGTCTTCAATAGTCTAAACTGGAGATATTATAGGGGTCTAGACTTGCAGATCAGTGAGGATGGAGAAGAGATGCCAGCTCACTATGAATAAGGGAGGTACGGTCTGGTCAAGATAACTGCATGTGTAGGTAATGAATCTAGGATGACCTTGAGATATGTAAGTCGGGTGGCTAGTTGGAGAGTCAGGAAAACTCTGAGATAGGGAAGGTGTCTGGTTGATTTGGAGGTGCATGTGGTTTATCTAGGCAGAGAAGTCTAGGAAGCAGTTGGTTATATGAGTTTAAAGTTCAGACAAGGGGTCAGGGCTATAGATAAAGATTTGCCCACAGACCCTATGAAAAGAAGAGGTAAAGGAGAGAATACTCCAAAATACAGTATTAACTCTCAGGGAGTTGGTAGAGAAAATGGAGCCAGCAAAAGAGAGAGAAGGAGATGTTAAGAGAAGTAGAAGGGGAACTGAGAGAAAAAAGTTACTGAAGCTGAGGAGGTGAGGAGAGACTTTTCTGGAGGGAGGAAGGTTACATTTCAGAGACCTCTAGTAGGATAAGCACCAAGGTCACTCCATGAGATTCATCAGAGCAGTCAGTAGAATGCTGGCTGTGGAATCTAGATTTTCTGCAGATGGCCAGAGAGGGAATGGGAAGTGAGATTATAAAGCCAGCAAATAGGAACTATTGTTCCTAGAAGTCTTTGTTTTATTTTGTTTTGTTTTGTTTCGTTTTGAGACAGAGTTTCACTCTTGTTGCCCAGGCTGGAGTGCAATGGCACAATCTTGGCTCACTGCAACCTCCACCTCCCGGGTTCAAGTGATTCTCCTGCCTCAGCCTCCCTAGTAGCTGGGATTACAGGCACCCGCCACCATACCCAGCTAATTTTTTGTATTTTTAGTAAAGACAGGGTTTCACCATGTTGGCCAGGCTGGTCTTGAACTCCCGACCTCAGGTGAACCACCCGCCTCGGCTTCCGAAAGTGCTGGATTACAGGCGTGAGCCACCATGCCTGGCCCCTAGAAGTCTTACGGTAGAGGAAAGAAGCCCAAGAAGGCAAAGGGTTAAGGAGCCGTAGAGTTAAGGGAAAGATCTTTTTTTAGGATGAGGAACACTCCAGAGTAAGATTGAGGAAAGGTTTGAAAAAAGATCTCTAAAGATATCATAGAAGGTGACGGGAGGTAATTAATAATAACAACTAACCATTACTACATTCGTGCCATGTGCTAAGCACGCTCTGTAGTGAGTAGTTTTCACTCACTGACTCATTTAATCCTTGCTATCATCCTGGAGGCAGGGACAATTGCTATTGTCTTCATTTGTCACAGGAGGAAATCAAGGTACAGACAGGCTTAGTAACTTGCTCAAGGTTACATAGCCGGTACTGTAAATTGCAGAGCCAGAAGTTCAAACTCAGGCAGTCTGGTTGCAGAGAATATGATCTTCACCATTAAGCTGTACTGACCAACTCTCTAAAATGGGTCTGAGAACTTTGTCCAAGAAGTGGTTCATTGCTTCCTTGGAGACAAGGCAGAGAAGATACTTATCAGTTTGGAGGCTGAGAATGTTTATACTTAATGGCCCCCACCTCTCCTTGTCCCATAAAATAGAACGTCTATTGAGAGAAAAAGATGAAGAAGCATGAAAGCTTAGAAGCCAAGACCTGGAAGAGCCACTGGGATTCTACTAGAATTAAATAAAAAGACTTCTGAGTAAAACACAGTCCTTTGACCTTAAAAAATATATAATACACTGAAGTAGATATGACAAGTGCCCAAATAACTATAATCTGGGGCAATATGTGTGAAGGGACATAATAGACATAGAATGTTAGTTGTACAAGGGTTCACCAAGGGAGACACTGTGTCAGGTTATGGGGTAGAAGGATCAAAAGAATCTCAAAGTATGTGAAATATTTGAAAGACAGAGTTTCAACAAGCAATCCAGGAGTCTTAATATTTTTCCAACAGACAGCTTACTAAGAGCAAGGTTCAATGAAAACATTGTTGATAGCGATTAGAGGAAACTGGAGTTGACGGGAATGTGGCGCAGAGGAGAAAGAGTCTCTGACCAAGGCAGGATGAGAGGGCAGGGGTTGAGGGCATTGAACCTCACTTTTCTAACTAAATAACAGTATCCACCTCCAAGATTATCCTTTTCCTCCTCCACCTCCTCTAGTTTCTCCTTGTTATTGAGTGCTTATCAAATGCCTGGCATTTTGCTAAGCTTTTTATTTTTTCTATCTATCTATCTATCTATCTATCTATCTATCTATCTATCTATCATCTATCTATATCATCTATCTATTATCGAGACAAAGTCTCGCTCTGTCGCCCAGTCTGGAATGCATTGTCATGATCCCCGCTCACTGCAACCTCCACCTTCCGGGTTCAAGCAATTCTCCTGCCTCAGCCTCCTGAGTAGCTGGGACTACAGGTGTGCACCACCACACCTGGCAAATTTTTATTTTTAGTAGAGATGGGGTTTCACCATGTTGGCCAGGCTGATCTCAAATTCCTGACCTCAGGTGATCCACCCGCCTTGGCCTCCCAAAGTGCTGGGATTACAGGTGTGAGCCACCACGCCCGGCCAACTCTTTATATATTGAATATATTTGATCCTCATCACAGATTTTGTGAAGATAACATCATCTCCATTTCACAGGTGACTTAGCTGAGGCTCTGAGAGGTTAAGTTACTTTCCTGAAGTCTCAGAGCTAGATGATGGTTAAGGCAGAATTCCACCAACATCTGTTTGATCCTAAATCCTTGCTTCTCATACTGCCTCTCATAATTGAGTAACAGCACCTGGCATATAGGAGATGTCCAATAAATTTATAATGGACATTAATAATAACTAATGGATATATGTCAAACAACATGTGGTGCTTGGGGTGGGTTATTAAAATGTTTAAAGTGGACAGAACGCTGTTCTGCACATGCACCCCAGAACTTAAAGTAAAATACAAATAATAATAAAATAATTTCAAAAGTGGACAGAAACCAAGGTACCCTTGCGGGATTGGCAGAAGAGGAAAAAACTCACTTTTTTCTCTCCTTTTTTAGTGACTACTTACTTATATTAAACTTACTATGTGTCAGGCACTGTTTTAAACACTTTATACAAATAAACCCTCTTAATATTCATTACAATCTCATTTACAGATGAGAAAACTGAGGTACAAAACATTTAACCTAACTGGCCCATGCACACAGCTAGTAAGTGGCAAAGCCAGGTGATCTGGCTCTGGAGCCCATGCTCTGAACCATGCTGTCTCTGTGAGGGTCAAATGGAGCCAAGCATGGAGGACCTTGTGCATCAAGCTAAGGAGAGCAGCTCTTCATAAGCCGGCGCTCGGCGAGTTCTCCCAGGAGAAGGCCATGTTCAGTTCGAGCGCCAAGATCGTGAAACCCAACGGCGAGAAGCCGGAGGAGTTCGAGTCCGGCATCTCCCAGGCTCTTCTGGAGCTGGAGATGAACTCAGAACTCAAGGCTCAGCTCAGAGAGCTGAATATTACGGCAGCCAAGGAAATTGAAGTTGGTGGTGGTCGGAAAGCTATCATAATACTTGTTCCCGTTACTCAACTGAAATCTTTCCAGAAAATCCAAATCCGGCTAGTAAGTGAATTGGAGAAAAAGTTCAGTGGGAAGCATGTCGTCTTTATCGCTCAGAGGAGAATTCTGCCTAAGCCAACTCGAAAAAGCTGTACAAAAAATAAGCAAAAGCGTCCCAGGAGCAGCACTGTGACAGCTGTGCACGATGCCATCCTTGAGGACTTGGTCTTCCCAAGTGAAATTGTGGGCAAGAAAATCCGCGTCAAACTAGATGGCAGCCGGCTCATAAAGGTTCATTTGGACAAAGCACAACAGAACAATGTGGAACACAAGGTTGAAACTTTTTCTGGTGTCTATAAGAAGCTCATGGGCAAGGATGTTAATTGTGAATTCCCAGAGTTTCAATAGTAAACAAAAATGACTAAATAAAAATATATATATTCATAGTAAAAACACACACACACACACACACACACACACACACTAAAACGCTAAGGAGAGCAATCCTTGTCCTTTTGCTTTCTCCAGTCTGAGGTCTCTTCTACACCTCTTACAGCAGTCATTCTTTTTTTTTTTTTTTTTTTTTTTATGAGATGGAGTTTTGCTCTTGTTTCTTGGGCTGGAGTGCAATGGCGCCATCTTGGCTCACCGCAACCTCTGCCTCCCGGGTTCAAGTCGTTCTCCTGCCTCAGCCTCCTGAGTAGCTGGAATTACAGGCATGCGCCACCATGCCCGGCTAATTTTGTATTTTTCGTAAAGATGGGGTTTCTCCATGTTGGTCAGGCTGGTCTCAAACTCCCAATCTCAAGTGATCCACCTGCCTCAGCCTCCCAAAGTGCTGGGATTACAGATGTGAGCCAACATGCCCGGCACAGCAGTCATTCTTTAAGACTTGCCCTCTCAGCTAATAGAGTCATTGTATCACCAATACCCTTTCATCTACATGAGATTATAAACTTTGTGAGAGTAAAAGATATCTGTCATTTTTGCATTTGTGTCCCAGCACTTGCCAGATACCTGGCATATGGTCAACACATAATAAATATTTATGGAATAAATGAAAGAAAGCTTCATCAAATCATTCATGCTTCAGGTATCAGATAGGACATATGTTCAAGGCCATTCATTTGGCTGTAAAGGAGTAAATGAGACTGGGTAATTTATTTTTGTTTATTTATATTTAGTGTTACTCTTTTTAATTTAACTTTTATTTTAAGTTCAGGGGGTACCTGTGCAGGTTTGTTACACAGGTAAACTCATGTCATGGGGCTTTGTTGTACAGATTATTTCATCACCCAGGTATTAAGCCCAGTACCCGTTAGTTACTTTTCCTGATCCTCTCCCTCCACCCACCCTCCACCTCTGATAGGCCCCAGTATGTGTTGTTCCTCTCTATGTGTCCATGTGTTCTCATCATTTAGCTCCCACTTGTAAGTAAGAACATGCAGTATTTATTTGGCTTTCTGTTCCTGCATTAGTTTGCAAATGATAATGGCCACCAACTCCATCCATGTTCCTGCAAAGGATATGATCTTGTTCTTTGTTATGGCTGCATAGTATTCCATGGTATATATGCACCACAGTTTATCTAGTCCACCACTGATGGGCATTTGGGTTGTTTCCATGTCTTTGCTATTGTGAATAGTGCTGCAATGAACATACATGTGCATGTGTCTTTATGATAGAATGATTATATTCTTTTGGGCATATACCCAGTAATGGGATTACTGAGTCAAATGGAAATTCTGTCTTTAGATCTTTGAGGAATCACCACACTGTCTTCCACGATGGTTGAACTAATTTACATTCCCACCAACAGTGTATAAACACTCCTTTTACTCTGCAACCTCGCCAGCATCTGTGTTTTTTTTGTTGTTGTTGTTGGCTTTGAGATGGAGTCTTGCTCTGTCACCCAGGCTATAGTGCAGTGGCATGATCTTGGCTCACCACAACCCCACCTCCCGGGTTCAAGCAATTCTCCTGCCTCAGCCTCCTGAGTAGCTGGGATTACAGGTGCCTGCCACCACACCTGGCTAATTTTTGTATTTTTTAGTAGAGACGGGGTTTCCCCATCTTGGCCAGGCTGGTCTCGAACTCCTGACCTCATGATCCACCCGCCTCGGCCTCCCAAAGTGCTGGGATTACAGGCATGAGCCACTGCACCCGGGCTTTTTGGTTTTTAATAATAGCCATTCTGACTGGTGTGAGATGGTATCTCATTGTAGTTTTCATTTCTCTAATGATCAGTGATGTTGAGCTTCCTTTCATATGTTTGTTGGCCGCATATATGTCTCCTTTTGAAAATTGTCTGTTCATGTCCTTTGCCCACTTTTTTTAACGAGGTTTTTTTTCTTGTAAATTTGTTTAAGTTCCTTATAGATGCTGAATAGTCGACCTTTGTGAGATACATAGTTTGCAAAAATTTCCTCCCATTCTGTAGGTAGACTGGGTAATTTATAAAGAAAAAACGTTTATTTGGCTCATAATTCTACTGGCTGGAAGATTGGGCATCTAGTGGCAGCCCCAGACTGTTTCCACTTACGGGGGAAGGCAAAGGAGAGCTGGCATCTACAGAGATCATGTGGTGAGCGAGGAAGTAACACCCAGCTCTCCTGGGAACTAACAGAGTGAGAACTCACTCACCACCCACTCCCAGGAAGGGCATTAATCTACTCATGAAGAATCCACCTCTATGATCCTAACACCTCCCATTAGGCCTCACCTCCAACCTTGGGGATCAGATTTCCATGTGAGATTTGGAGGGGTCAGATGAGCCAAACTACAGCAACATATAACAGAAATAGGAAAATGTTTGCCCTCATACATTGTTGTCTTAAGATGAATAGTATTCACAAAACAACTCAAACTCGGGCGAAGAGGGTCTTCACTGGGGATTCATATCATAACAACAAATTAAACAAACAGAAATATTATAAGACTCAATTTGCAGATTACCTAAGACAAAATCAATTTTATGTATTACATGTCTTTTGCTAATGTATATTAAGAATGTCCTCAAAACACTCTAGCATTATGGTTAACAATTACTCTCATGAGTCATTTGACTTGAAAATTGATCTTCAAATTGGAAAAGCCCTTAGCAGCAAATACCAGCAAAGACAGATTATAAAAATTTAAGGCTTAATGGGAGGGAGTTTGCTCTGAGTGGGAGTTAGGTACTGAGGAAGAGAACAGAGTTGAACACATGAACAGAGGAGCAGGCAGAAAACATTAAAACAATGCCTGTCACTGGGCGCGGTGGCTCACGCCTGTAATCCTAGCACTTTGGGAGGCCGAGGCGGGTGGATCACGAGGTCAGGAGATCGAGACCGTCCTGGCTAACACGGTGAAACCCCGTTTCTACTAAAAATACAAAAAATTAGCCAGGCGTGGTGGCGGGCACCTGTAGTCCCAGCTACTCGGGAGGCTGAGGCAGGAGAATGGCATGAACCCGGGAGGTGGAGCTTGCAGTGAGCCAACATCGCACGACTGCCCTCCAGCCTGGGCGACAGAGTGAGACTCCATCTCAAAAAAAAAAAAAAAAAAATCTCAGCTTCCCAATTTGCTAGCAATGTGGCCAAGGGAATATTCCTTAACTTCTCTGAAACAGCTTTCCTCTTTTTAAAATGATTACAATAGTACCTATCTTACAGGATTGTTGTATGGATTAATGGAGATAACATAGGGAAAGCATTTAGAAGAGTGCTTGGTACATAGAAAGTAGTCAACATAAGTTCTCATTCTTGTTATTGCTATAATTATTGGCATTATTCATAGGAGCTATTAACTGCCACTGTATTTGATGTTTGAGGAATGATGTCCTCCCTCACTCCCAGCCATTCCAGTTTCTTTTCACTAATGCAAAGTAGGAGAGGTCCTTGATTTTCATATATATTATCCTCATGCAACCTTTGCTTTTCCATGTTACATATAGGCATCCTAAGCTGTTTTTATGGTACATTGTCCTTCATGCTGAGCTACTTAGTGATGATTTTGAGCTAATCTGCAATGGGGATAAAGATTGGGCTTTGGCTTGAGTCAGCGTCTATTCTTAACACATCTAGGTTAATGCTGAGGTTAAGCCTCAGCTTCTCTTCCTGACATTGGCCGTCTATGGGAGGTTTCCCCAAACCCCTGCATAGCCAGGGACTGGAACTTATTCATTCATCTTTTTTTTTTTTTTTTTTAGACGGAGTCTTGCTCTGTCTCCCAGGCTGGAGTGCAGTGGCACGATCTCAGCTAACTGCAAGCTCCGCCTCCCGGATTCACACCATTCTCCTGCCTCAGCCTCCCGAGTAGCTGGGACTACAGGCGCCTGCCACCAAGCACGGCTAATTTTTTGTATATTTAGTAGAGACAGGGTTTCACCGTGTTAGCCAAGATGGTCTCGATCTCCTGACCTCGTGATCCGCCCGCCTCGGCCTCCCAAAGTGCTAGGATTACAGGCGTGAGCCACCGCGCCCGGCTCATTCATCATTATTCATTACAAAAATTTGTGTGCCAAGTCTGCCACGGTACTGGGTGTTGTCTGCATATCACAGGAATCACTGTCCGGGGCAGGTGTTTCTGGGCCTTCCCGGGTTTTCCACCTATTGCCACTCTGCGCGGAGAGAAGCAGATATCGAGGAACTTGTCAGCATGAGAAAGTTCATGGGGAGACGGGGAAGAAGAGCCATCATGACATGAAGGAGCAGTCAGCTCAGCCCCTATTTGGCTTATACCATGAAAACTGGCAAAAAGAAAAAGCCCTTTTCCCCACCTCTGGTGGAGGAACCCAGCACAGGTGATCTCAAAGGCTTAAACACTGGAGGCTTCCCAGCTCTCTGCTGCAGCTTCTTTCAAGCCTGAGAAACAGGGGGCTGGCTGGCTACTTCAAACTGTTGATTGCCTCCCACTAGAGGCCTCTGGAAACCTGTAAAGTTTCTTACCTGCCCTTCCAGGTTGCCTGGGTTCAAAGAGGCAATTTTATAAGAGAGACTATAATTAGGGGTTTTATGGTTTGTTTTGTTTTGTTTTGTTTTGCTCTCTGGGAACAGAATCCTCCTCCCCTATAACATGCCATATTTGTTGAGTATTCACTTTGTGTCAGGCACTGTGCTAGGCATTTTTTATTTTGTTTAATGATCACAACCCATAAGACTGGTATTATTTATTCTTTGCAAGAAATGAGAAAAGTAATTTCCCCACATTTATTTACACAGCTAGCAAGACATAAAGCTGTGACTGAATAAGCCTAATGACTGAAATGTCTGTGGAATGTAAAAGAAAAGGTGAAATGAAGATCTACAGAGGAGGTGGAGATGCAAAACGGGAGTGGGACATGGGGTATTTATTAAGCAATTGAAGATCAGGTTGAAGTATTGGTTTTCTGAATAGTTCCTACCCACAGTTATTGTGTAAAAGGAGGCATTAAGAAAGGTCTTGTATCTCCATACAAAATAAGACAATGGGGTCCGCAGAAAAAGAAGGGAGGGGTGGTTTTGTTTGGGGGAAAAAGAGCATTTTAAAAGAAGTTGTGTGTGTGTGTGTCTATATGTGTGTGTGTATGTGTGTGTGTGTGTGTGGTGAAAAGTGACACTGAATAATAGAGTGTGAACCCACAGTGCTCGCTCACATTCACAGGTACCAATTACCAGAAAATACCAACAACCATGGAGCCATAGGGATGCCATTTATGGATAAAAGCTATTTATGAGAATGAGAAGACTCAGAGTGGGATTATTCCTCTTGTTAGTTTCCTCTGGGAAGTAAATTAGATGTTTCAGGAGATGTATTCAATCTTTTTAGAACTCTACATTACATTTACTGCAATGCCAATAATAATGTGCTGCTCTTGGCTTCCAAAGGAGGCTTTCTCAACTTCAGAATCTAAGCCCTCCTCTGTGCAAGGTGCTGTGCTGGGACTGTGAGGCACACAAAGGCTCAGATCACACTCTCCTTGTGTTGAAGGAATTTGCAAGCCAGTTAGGGTAACAACACATCACATATATAGATACATGTGCAAAATGCAGTCTAGTGTATAGGTGCCAGGTAGGAATATAGTCAGTCAATTATATATAGGAACTGGGGGTGAGGGAGGAGTTATATCTACCTTCAGTTAGATATCCATTTATCCATTCATTCATTCATGAATTCATGCATTCATTCATCTATTCAATACATACGCATGGAACATCACTATGACCTTCCATATCCCAAACACTTTTTTTTTTTTTGAGATGGAATTTTGCCATTGTTGCCCAGGCTGGAGTGCAATGGCGTGATCTCAGCTCACTGCAACCTCCGCCTCCCAGGTTCAAGTGATTCTCCCGCCTCAGCCTCCCGATTACAGGCATGCCTCACCACGCCCGGCTAATTTGTATTTTTAGTAGAGACAGGGTTTCTCCATGTTGGTCAGGCTGGTCTCGAACTCCTGACCTCAGGTAATCCGCCCACCTCAGCCTCCCAAAGTGCTGGGATTACAGGCGTGAGCCACCATGCCCGGCATATCCCAAACACTTTGAATAAAATGATGAATAAATCAGAATACCTAATATAAAGTCTAGTGGAATGGAGTTGAAATGATCAGTTTTTATTGACAGAGTTGGATTTGCCCTTGGATCATTTCAGTCTCTGGGATAATCTACCTAATGACAATGACTCAAAACAAACATTTCCTTGGCAGCTGGAAGTTTTTAGAACAGATGTTTCTATGTTAAAAACCACTGAGTATTGTCAAAGTTCAATTCTAGATGTTGTCCTTATTAACACACTTGTCAAGTAAAGTTAACCACCTAGACTTCTCCTAACATATGCTTCAAACAGTAATCACAATATGATAAAAATTTTAGAGCTGAGCAATAATCAGTCATCAGTTTTACTAGTTTTACTAGTTTTTAAACACAAAATTATTGATTTCCCTTAGTTTCCTAAATATAATAATAAATATTCATATCTTACAAGAATACCATGAAATAGTACTATTATTCCCATTTTACGGAAGGGAAAACTCTTCTGTAAAGAGTGAAGGTTTTACAGAAGCCTCAGAGTTGGTCTGTGAAGCCTCAGAGGTGGTAAGTAACTGCATAATGGCCTATAATCACATGAAACAAGGGGCAGATGGGATCTGGGTTCCAAACCAGATCCAGCTGACTCTAACTGTCATGTTCTTTTCTATTCACCTGTGTTGTCCGCTTGGGAAATAAAGATTCACAGTCACTTTTAATGTTTAAAAAGATGTGATAGAAATTCAATTTTTTTAAAGCAGCCCATGGTGATGAATACTACAGGTGTCTACATCCCACCAAGTTGGGCATTATTGGTAATCTCATGACAGAAGTACTGATTAGCAATTAGAAATATCCCTTTTTAATTAAAATAACTATTTAATAAGTGCTCTTTTAAAGCAGGGGATCATCTTGGTGGAGAACCAGCAACTCATTTACAGATGAGAAAACTGAAACCTAAGGAGTTAGGCTAGTTACTCTGCAGAGATGCATTTCAGAGCAGAGGGGGTGGGGTGTATTGTAGCAGCTCATTAAAAACTAAGTCAAGGAGTTCACTAATCTGAATAAATCACTTCTACCACTCCAGACATTTTTTATGGATCCAGTTTATATTTGAAGTGGACGGGGGCCAGGCGTGGTAGCTCACACCTGTAATCCCAGCACTTTGGGAGCAGAGGTGGGTGGATCACCTGAGGTCAGGAGTTCAAGACCAGCCTAGCCAACATGGCGAAACCCCATTTCTACTAAAAATACAAAAATTAGCTAGATGTGGTGGTGGGCACCTGTAATCCCAGCTACACAGGAGGCTGAGGCAGGAGAATTGCTTGAGCTCAGGAGGCAGAGGTTGCAGTGAGCCAAGATCGTGTCACTGCACTGCAGACTGGGCGACAGAATGAGACTCTGTCTCAAAAACAAACAAACAAATAAATAAACAAAAAACCCACCATTTTTTCTCTACCCTCTTATGCATAGTGCTTGGGGGTCTGTGGACTAAACTGACAAAAGACAGATTAGCAAGGCAAAAGACAAATTTTTGTTCACATATATCAAATGTATGTGGGCATTCATAACCACTCAAGGAGGCAGTTGTTAATAGAATTTGGAGCTTATATTCTATCTTAATAGGAGAAGAAGTGTATTTATGAGAAAACAAATGACTTTTAGGAAAGATAAATGGGCCCTTAGGAGTGCTGGGCTCAGAACATGATACCCCAAGGTATCTGAGTACTTTGAACTGAAGGACATTGGAAGGACAACAATTCTGTCTACTTCATCCTTTCTGATAGTACCTGGTGTTTGCCAAAGTAGAGGTAATTAATTACTATTCAGTGAATAACATTTGGACTGGGGGGGGGTTCCTCTGGGGCAGGTGCAAGTACTTTGACATCTTGGTATCCTTGAGTGCTTAAGAAAGAAAGCCTGGAACATGTTAAAGGCTCAATAAGTGACTTGGATAAAGAGTTGAATGAGAGAATAGATAAACAGCAACCACAGTCATGCATTGCTTAATGATGGGAATACCTTCTGAGAATGTGTTGTTAGGTGATTTGTCATTGTGCAAATGTCATAGAGGGCACTTACATAAACCTAGGTAGCATAGCCTACTACAGACCTAGGCTACACCGTGTAGCTGATTGCTCCTAGACTACAAACCTGTCTGGCATGTTACTGTACTGAACACTGTAGACAACTGTAATGCAATAGTAAGCACTCTGTGTATCTAAACATATCTATAGAAAAGGTGTTGTAAGAATATGGTATTATAACCTTATAGGACTACTGTCACACACACGGTCTGTTGTTGACTGAAACATCCTTATGTGACACATAATGATGTGTATATCCTCAGAACTGTTAAGAACTATTAGATGTTGAAGAGATGGAGTTTTGTATGCATAAAGTTTGGTGCTTGTCCTTGACAAGTCTCTGTTCTATTTGGAGATTAGAAATGAATGCTTCTATTAAGTGTAACCTGCATGACATCTTTTATAAGGGCAATGAAAATTCAGGAACAGAGTAGAGGAGGAGAGAGGACTGGGAAAAATAGTCTCTTGGCATGAAGAGGGTGTGTAAGGATGGGAGGGACAAGAAACAAGATGTGTGGGTGGTGGTGGTAGAAACTGCACGTTTGGGGAGCAGGGTGGGGTATTTACCAAACCAAGGGTCTATTGAGTAAGGTGAGTTGTACTGGCCAAGCGGCCAGTTTATGAAACATGGAAAAACCAGGCCCAGAAATTTAGGCTTGATAGAGCAGGAAATCTCTATCGGGAGCCCCGCCCCTCTTTTTATGGAAGTTAAGTATAAATATAAATATATGATTTCTCACAAAGAGACAACAAACATTGTAACTTAATATAGGTACCCTCTAAACCAACTAAGATCTCTTTAGACCTTTGAAATACAAACTGTGGGCTTGCTTTCACATTCACTTATTCATTCCACAAAAGATTATGGGGCACCTACTAGAGCTAGCATTTTGTTAGGCACCATGGGGGGTACAAAGAACAAAAAAAACTTGGTCCCTATTCCCCAGGAGTTTACAGCTCAGTGGTGGAGACAAACGTGTACACAAATCCTTACAATAGGAGGTAAAAATGTAAATACAGGATTGTAGGGGCTCAGTTCCCAGAGATACTGCATGGAGGTGGTGTGGAAAATTAGAAAGATTTTTTAACACTAGTTGGTTTTGGATCAGGTTTAACATTGATGGAGTAGAACATGTTCTCTTTAAGGCAATAACCAGGGTTAAGGCTGTGGAAGCACATGTGCTGGAGTAACGAACAGTGGTCTGATTTGGCTGGAGAGCAAGTTTCCTCAAGGGGCGCCGTGGGGAATTTAGCTGGGTATGTGCCCAATAACCGAGGCTGGGAATCTGGTAGAAAGAAGTCGAGCTGAGACTTTATTCCGCATCTCTGTGTTTTGACTTAGGCATCTATTGGGTCCTTTTAAAAAAAATTCTCCTCCTCTTTCCTAAAGAGAGTTCTAGCAGTTGGGGGTGGGGTGGGGACCATTTCCTAAAGTCAACGCGTAAGTTAAAGGTCTGCAAGGCGGTCCACCGGTGATTTAAATCTCGCACTTCGGAAACCAGAAAAGGAAACCTGTGAGAAGCTGGGCAGGGGGAACCCGCTTAACATCAACAGCAACCCCTAAATGGCATCAGACCTTGGAGAGACAGGTTGCAGGCCAGACTCGGGAGCCAGGCGCCAGCACCCGCCAGAGCTCTGAGCCCCGAACTGGTGGGCAAGGGGTAGAGGAAGAGAGGGAGGGAGGGAGGGAGGAAGCGCGAGAGGGAGGGAGGAAGAAAGGGAGGGAGGCGGCGTCATGTGATCCGCTTCCCTGCTCCTTTAAGCGTCCACAGGCGGCGGAGCGGCCACAATCACAGCTCCGGGCATTGGGGGAACCCGAGCCGGCTGCGCCGGGGGAATCCGTGCGGGCGCCTTCCGTCCCGGTCCCATCCTCGCCGCGCTCCAGCACCTCTGAAGTTTTGCAGCGCCCAGAAAGGAGGCGAGGAAGGAGGGAGTGTGTGAGAGGAGGGAGCAAAAAGCTCACCCTAAAACATTTATTTCAAGGAGAAAAGAAAAAGGGGGGGCGCAAAAATGGCTGGGGCAATTATAGAAAACATGAGCACCAAGAAGCTGTGCATTGTTGGTGGGATTCTGCTCGTGTTCCAAATCATCGCCTTTCTGGTGGGAGGCTTGATTGGTAAGTGCGGAGAGCTGCAAACTTTTCCCCCTTTCTGTCTTTTCGGGCCCCTTCCCTCTTTGCCTCTTGGGCTACTTGTTACAGTATCACTGCCTTGCTTCTATGATCTAATTAGTCCGGCTATTGTGCTTAAGAAAGCAGAGCTCCATGGGGCTCCGTGGGGCACAATCCAGTCTAGTGGCTAAGAGAAAAGGAGGGGAAAAAGTTTTGGCCTAGTTTCAGTATCCACTTGAAAGGCAAGAGGGGGGCGGCGGGGGTGGGAATCTTAAGCATGGCGACGGATCGCGCGAGGAAGCGCTGGGTTACAAAGTTGATTGCTCGCCCCCCCCCCCCCCCGCTTTTTCCCGCGTTCCCCCCCTTTTCCTCTCGGTTCCCTTCCAATCAGCTCCGGGAGGGCAACGTAATCGACTTTATTAGGAACAACAGAAGAGTCGGGGAACTGTGCCCGGCGCAAACCCGGAGCTCTGTTACAAGGCTGAGATACTTGCACGGTTGTAAATGCATTTGGTCGTCTTTGCTAGGGGCTGAGGGTTTGCAATTTGGGGTCCCGACCTTCGCGCCCTCTGCTTTCCCGCCGCACTCCACCCCACGCTCTGCCGTGGACAGGTCCGAATTGTCGGCCGGGAGGTTGGGTGGGATGGGGTGGGGTGGGAGGGAGTCCTTGACCAGCGCCGCGGGAAGTTGGAGAGGTCGGAGGGGAAAAGCGTATCCGAAAGGTGTTGCTTTTGGCCTCCTGCCCACTCGTGAATATCCCTTCCCCCACTACTTAGAGCCCCGAGAGCCGGTGACTGTGAATGTCCCCGTCCTCTTTTGGCGCTTAGGAGAGCGCCCTCAGCTCCCACCACAGCCCCCCGCAGGTGACAGCTCGCCGGCCTCCTCGGCGACAGCGCCCGCCCCGGGAGACCTCCCCTGGCGTGCACCTCCCGGACCTCTCTGAGTCAAACAGGCTTCCGGGTGAAGAAAACCGCCTCACGGACCGTCCACTCGGAAAAACTCCCTTCCCCTCACTGTCTCCCCATCTGCATCCATCCTCCCGCCTCTCTGCACACTCGCGCCCCCCGCCCCCTCAAGATTTGGGACATCCCGGCACAAACTTCAATGCCAACTTTGCAGCGGGCGCGGACGGGAGGTTCGGTTTCCTTACTTCACGGCTTTGTTAAACTTTGCGGAGTGGGGAGTCCACGGAGGGGCTTTCTCCGCGCGTGCCTTTACGGGCGCCCACGCGATGTGGGGTGCGGGGAAAACGCCCGGGGGCGCCGGCGGCGTCGCTGCCAGAGCTGCACAGGCTTGGGCACCTCCAGTCGTGTGCTTGGCGTTTTGTCTCCAGACTTGGGTTTGATGGGAACAAATTAAAGGGAGTTTGGTACTGTAAATCACGGTAACATCCAAGCCAATTGTCTTAAACAAAGGAGAGTGGGTGAAGCTTCATCAAGGAGAGAAATACCTAAAGGAGACAGTGCTCTTTTCTCTGTGTGCATTTATCCACAAAACAGAAAAGGGTTCAGAGTTTTCAAACAATCTCTTATCCCCAGTGTGGGCCAAACAGCTTCACATTTTCTTTCTGGAACCCTCACCCTCAACACACACACACACACACACACACACGCGCGCACACACACACACGGGTTGGCTTTTGTGTTAGGAGCTTCTGTTTGGCTACATGCAATCTCGTTTCCCCGTATTGGATTTTTCGAGGCTCTTAATACCTTCTCTGCTGGGAGCTGAAGGCAGCCTTCCCTGTGCCCTCACAGTGATTATGCAGCGGTTACAATTACACCTCTTGTCTCCCTTGATGAGCAGTTGCAGTTAGATGCCATTGGATCTTGTGTGATTTCAGTGGCAGACCATAATTAAAATTTCTTGCACCTTGTGCTTTCAGAATTAAATTGGCCTATTATCCCTGTCTGACCTTCATCCTCTTTGAGGTTTTTGCACAAGCAGCAAACCATTACACATAGTTTCCTGGTGTTTGTTGGTGTGTTTCTTTTTCTAGGCTGATCTCCTAGCTTTGCAGACAGAGCCCATTATCCAAGAAGTAGGCTTCCTAGGGCACTTCTGAAACTAGTAGGATTTCTGGGATGCTACCACCAAGGAGAAGCCCTAAGGGCACTCGTGAGTGGCTGGTGGACATTGGAGCGACTATAGGGTCAGAACACTTGTCTGTTCCAAACAGGGTTTGTCTGGAGTAAGTGGTGCCAAAGATTGTTTTTCCCGAAGAATTTGGTTAATGACGACAACCTCAAAAAGTCCGCGGCAGGTGCTAACTGTAACTAGCTTCCCCTCAATTAATAAACTGCTTTATTCCAATTTCCTTGAAAAATATCTATGTATAACACTTCTTGGAGGAAACTGTATAAGTTTACTGCTTACCTCTCCTTCCTCAATTGCAAAGGCTGTGTCTCCAATTCAGATCAGATCTAGCCCATGTTGAACAGTGACTTAGCCTTTCCTCTTTCACTTAAACAGTAATTTTTTTTTGCTCTTAAATCTAAAATTTGGGTAGGACCCAAATATGGGAAATAAATATCAACAAAATGTAAGTGAAAAATTTTCCCACCAAACTTCCCTAAGCTGGAAAACAAAGGAAACTAAGGAAAGAATAGCAACAAAGTGGGCAAGCGGAGACAGTAGTTGAAGGAACAGTTTGTAGGCTGGAAGTCAAGGTAAAGTTCAGAAACCTCCTCTGCTCTCTCGAGTGAGAAGAGAACTCCTCCGCTGCTCATTGTTATTGCCACTTAAAAAGTCAGTTGTCCTGGGTGTGAAGTGTCTCTCTAATATATCTGCAGTAGGCCAAGTGAGAAAAAGAAATGTCCCCTTTGAACTGGCCAGAATATATTTTTCTTTTTGATCACTCTTTTTGCTGATGAAAGTAAACTTAGGAAGAGCAACTTAGGAAGGGGAGAATATAAATGGCAAAGCTCTTGTTTGTAAGGGTGTGAGTACTGCATACACCACACACACAAATATACAGCACAAAAACAACCACCCCACCAAACAATAACAATCCGTGAACCCCAGAGTGACCAGGCAAGTGAGTTAACTAGCAGGCTTCAGGCTCCTCATTGGTAGAGGAAGGAGTTTAAGGTCCCTTTCGGTTCTAAAATTGTGTAACTCTTTCAGTACTTAGAGAATTGTACATGACATTTAGGCTGTTGTTTCGTTGTAGCCTTCTAGATTTGATGGAGAAAATTTAAACATTCACTATAAAAGCAACTAGCCTCCAGGAATTGGCTTTGGTTTAGCCAGCTTAAATATTCTCCTATTTCAACATCCTTCTTACCAAAAAAAAAAAAAAACAAAAAAAAACACATTTTTTTGCTTGCTTTTTTTTTTTTTTTTTTTTTTTTTTTTGGCACCAGTGTCTGTAAGCTAAACCTTTAATGGGATTTTGCAAAAAGGCTCTGAAAGCAACATCTTACATAGTAGAACTTAGGGTATTTATAAATTCACTGATTTATATAATGCTTTTTTAAAAACTTTGAGCCACTATGAAACCATACATCTGATACATCTACTATTCTAAATACATCTAAATACATTCTAAATATTTAGAAATTATTTAAAAATGCGGTAGTACCTGAAGGAAAAGATAAATATTTTTAAAAATATAACTTTATCCTCCTTAAAAATAAGCCTGCAGAAAACTTAAAAATAATTCTCTTTTGATTTCATGTTGGGTGAATTTAGCTCCTGAAAAGGCAGCTTTGGGGGTGGTGGTAGAAGCAGGGAGGGAAGGAGACCATGTACCCTGAAAAGAGAGTGCAGACTAAAAATCATGAACTTGAATCCCATTATGTGCAATTTGCTCAGCTTCAAATTAGTCATGTCTCAGAAATATAATGGTTGAAAAAGCAGGTCACTGTTCTCAGCTCTTCTAAAACTGCTAAGAGTATGAAGATCAGAACTGGATTAATAGAAAATTGTTGCATTGTTTTCAGCATACCCATAAATGAGACTATTCCAAACATAAACTGTAAGTATCAACAAATCACCAATTATTATTTCTTTAGAAAAGATCATTGTTTCTTCCAAAAGGTAACTTATGTGAGTGGCCTTTTTAAATTTTTAATGTTGAGGATGTAATGTATACTGTATAAGATATAACATACACACATATGTAATCAATTTTCTCAAATTGTGCATGGATTATCTACTTCTTTCAAGGATGTAGCCCACACGATTGTGCTAGTATTGTTTAAGTGGAGGCAACTGGTCTTTACTGTGACCCATTTATGTGAGCTTTTGTTTCTGCTGCTGTTGTTTATTTGGAAGTTGCAGAATTTTAAGAAATTAAATTACAGTTATGCAGAGTATATGTGTTTACTCTCCAATTTATTAGATTTTAAGCTTGTTGCATTTCTTTTAATATATCTTAATGATGCAATAGTTGTAATCCTTCAGTATTTGGGTGTCTGGTGAGAATCTTGACAAGAATCTTGACAAGATTAATCAATTGGTTTTTGGTTGATGTTAAGTCATATTTTTCTGTATTCAATTCTGCTTTTTATTTTGTAAAATGTCATTGTTTTCCTCTTTGTTAACTACTAGAAGTATCTAATGTGGTTTGTAGGAGTACTGTGCAACCTTATAAATTAATCTTTTTTAAAAGAGCATGTTTTTAATTTACTCTTTTGTAAACTCTTAAAAAGAGTTTTCAATTACTCTTTTTTAAAAGAGTAATTGAAATTACAATATTTGACTTAAAAAAAACTTAACTATTTGGTTCTTGCAGTGTAATCATGCTCATGCTAACAATCTCTAATTGCTCTTTTTTTTTTTTTTTTTTTTGTGACGGAGTCTCGTTCTGTCAGCCAGGCTGAAGTGCAATGGCTCACTGCAACCTCCGCCTCCCGGGTTCAAGTGATTCTCCTGCCTCAGCCTCCCGATAGCTGGGATTACAGGCACCTGCTACCACGCCCAGCTAATTGTTGTATTTTTAGTAGAGACGGGGTTTCACCAGGTTGGCCAGGCGGGGTTTCACCGGGTTGGCCGGGCTGGTCTCAAACTCCTGGCCTCAGGAGATCCACCTGCCTCGGCCTCCCAAAGTGCTGGGATTACAGGCACAAGATGCCCGGCTTGAATTGCTCTTTCATCTGATTGTTCTTTCAGTACAACCTGTCTAGACTTCTATTCGAACTTTCCCTTTTCCTGTTACAGTGAGAAACATTTCCTTGAGCTAATAGTGTTATGTGTGGCTTTGTGAGGTTTTCAGGTTCCCTGCCTGAAACCCAGATTGAGACTTCAGGCCTTCCCTTCCTACATGACATTTTACAATGATTTGACCTTAAAATGTTTAAATCCATATAAACTGCAGAAATATTTCTTACCTTATATTCCTCATAAAGGTGTTTCTATGGAGATTTAGAATTTTGAATTTGTTGAAATTATATAAAGGTCCTTAAAACTCCTGTGTGCTACTTGCCTGATTTGCAAAATATCTATTAGGGTGTACTGTGTGCTCAGGATGGGGCTACATGCCGACACGGGGTTGGTAAAGAGGAGACATGGAGCTTGAGTAAACTAGGGGAGCTGTGGGTAGAAAAGAGCCCCTCGTCATCTAAGTTTACAACAAAAGATTTCCTAGGATGTAGTTTTCTAGCATCAAGATAATTTTCACTTATTTATTGGGAATTCGAGAATGTATGAAATTAGAACCCCTACTAATTATACCATCAACTAATTATATTAATATTTCATCTTGAAATAGATATATTAATAAAATGATAAAATGTTTAACATGTATTGAATGTGCAATATGTGCCAAAGCCTGTCTAATTTCATCTGTACAAAACCTTGGCAAATTGGTATTTTTGTACCCCTTTTACATGTAAGGGAACTGAGGTGCAGAAAGATCTAGTAAAACTGCACAAGATTACCTAGCTACTCGTGGTCAAAGCTGGGATTGAACTCCAGTCAATCGGACATCAGAGCCTAGATTATCAACTTTAGGTGATCCTCCCACTTTCCCCAAAACCTTGACTTTTAGGCCTGAATAAAAATCTGAATGCAGGGAAACATGAGAATAGCACTAAAACTGATTTCTCATTTTTATAATCAGGTAACATCAAAAGGAAGAAAATATTAAATGTGATGATAAATGAAATGGAGTCCAGCTGTACAGACCCAAAAAGTGCCTTGCCAAGGCTGAGGGGAGGACATGTCTTGAGAAGTTTGCCTGTGCCAGTCCAACCAATTCCATTCAAGTTCTAACCAGTCCCCATAATTGTATGAATCATCCAATTGACTAAAGCAGCCAAGTTAACCATCAAATGTTTGAGATTCTGCTACTTGCAAGAATATTACTCAATTTTATTTTCTCTAGTTGGTGATTTTAACATATATGTAGTTATACAGTAAGTCCGGACTTTTTCAAAGGAGAGGAAAGAAAGAATCAGTGGAGGTTGGAGAGGTTTTTAGAGGGTGTAGGTTGGTAGTGATGGTGGAGGAATTGAGAAAAGAGCCTCTTACTGAAAGCTGAAAATTCTTTTCCCATGCGGAGAAGTTTTGTTTGTATGCACACCCATGCATAATAACGAGGGCCTTTTAAACCAGAGACTCCTACAAACAGCAGCCCTGACAGCAGGAATAGGTACATTTTGTTCTTTGGAAAATATGCTAATAGATTTCTCTATTGAAAGATTTGCAGCCCTTGATTTTGATAGAGACCCTGAGAGGTAATGAGACACAGGGAGCATCAAGACACGAAATGATCACGACTATTTCATTTAGGTCTTACTTTTTCTCTGAAGGGTTGTGATGGTGGCCTAATAAATGTGCCAGCTCTGCACAGTTCTAGAGAAAGTGCCCGTATGGGGATGTGGGAAGGAGAGGAGGAGCTTGAGACATGCCAATTCTCAAACTTAATGATCTCAAACTTTAGTGTTTTCTAAGTTTTCTTCTCATAAAATGATGAATCTAAAAGGATTGCTAAATTAAAGAAAATAATGATGTATAATTTATAATATAAAAATACTAAATTTCTATAGCCTCTTACTACCACCTCTTCCCCCCACCCCCCACATTCTATCCCTGACTAAATCTTGTAGGGGAGCAAAAGCAGTAATCATATTGGAAGACTGGGGGACTATGGAAAGCGTTTCACATGTAAAGATTCACTTAATGATCACATCAACCCAAAGAAGTAAATACTTTACTTTCTTCAATTTTCACATGAATCTGAGGCTCATTTAAGAACCTTTTTTGAGGTTGCAGAGATAGTAAATAAGAGTGCAGAGATAGTAAATGAGAGGGCTAAGACTCAAGCCCACAGTCCTTGATTGAATCCTAAGCCATATTCTTAAGCTTAATGCTACCTTCCTCCCATTGTCCTTTCCATTTCTATGGGAAACAAAGGGATGAGTGTGGTGAAACTGATTCTACACAGATAGAGCAGAAGATGAAAGCTCAATCCCCCCCACCTTTTCGTTTTGCTTCCACCCCTTCCCCAAACCATGCACTCATATCACTGCATGGTTACTGATCATTGGCCTATTACTTCCTTAACAAGGGATCCCCAACTCCTGAGACATAAGAACTGCCTACACCAGCCATTGTAAATATTGGCAGTGTTTCTGGGCCATGCTAGGGAGGGCTGAACCTCAGAAATTACATGCCAACACTCCCCAAAGGAAATTATTGCATACAGCAAAAGATGGCTTAGAGTTGTAATAGGAAATTTGTCGAGATAGTGGGCCCTCTGAATGTTCCCTGGATTTAGCATACATCGTAGGTCCTGAAGGTAGCTGTTGAAGAAATGGGAGTGTAATGAGGATGTGGAATAGGAAGATGGGGGTAGAATATAGACTGAAGAAAATGAAATGAAGGGCTCTGGAAATATATGAGACTGTCTTTTCAAGGACACAGCTTGTGCCTGGATTTCCAAAACCTGCTTCCAGTGTCACCCAATCCCCCAAAACTGAGCTAACATTTCTATCTGCTATGCCTATTTAAATCCTGGGCCTTCAAGTTTAATTTTCTGCTCCCCCTTTCTCCTTAGTACTCCATTCTCATAATGTGGCCAAGGGGTATTCTTTCTTTGCTGGCCCACAGGAATCACAGGGTCTTCTTAAACATCTGGTTAATTCCCTGGGTTAACTCAGAGGTTTTATCCACAGATACACATTTCCAAGAAAGCAGAGGTAATTGAAAGAAAAGGCCAAGTTATTACATTTGTTTTGGCAAGGCATTATGATTTTCCTTTAGAAAGAAGATAATAAGTCTGTAAATGGTTGACTCAGTTTTTCTTCAGACCTAGTTTAATAAGGCCAGCCTCATGAAAGTTGGTTGGAGGCCAGTTAACTGCTGCCTTGGTCCTGGCTGACCCCCTCCAAAAGAGAGAGCTTCTGGTCTCAAAGCAGCGTCATTTAGTGGAGAGAAACTTGGCTAGGACTCTGCAGACAACCTGTGGCCTCAATGATCCCAAAAAAGTCATAAAATCTCATTGACTCCCTCTCTCAACTGCGATGTGAAACAGAGCCCTCCTTCCTCATGGGGATTGCTACAAGCATAAAATATCACTGGAATCTACTATCTTGAGGACTTGACACTTGTTGGAGTGTCTCATTGAGCCAGGCCTATCAGAGATGTGATTTCCAGAGGACTTTGCACTGAAACCATTTGATTAATCCCAAATCCATCTCTCCTACATTTCTTTGTCCCTCTCTGTTCTTAGATCTGGGGAAACTTACACACGACACTGTTTATTATCCATTCTTTTCCTTCTTTGAGTCACCACCACTTTGCCCAACACCTACAGATTTGTAGATCTGTTGAGGCAGAAGGAATGGGAATGACCCAAAACCTTACTTGGTTTGGGTTTGAAAGTTTAAGGAGGTCATCCTGCTTTCTAACATTAGTTCCTGTGCTATAACCAAGTATTTCATTATGAACCTCCCCCAAATGATAAATATTAATGTTATTGCAGAAAACTAACAAATAAGAACACAAGTCCAAATCTTCTCCTAAAGCATGCACATTTTACTCCCAAGAGAATCTCTCATGCTTTTACTCAATCTATTACTTTTACTTTATATACAGTGTTAGTGAAGCTTGATTATGCCATTTTGTAAGTCTGTCCTTCTGAGTTGGGATGATTTGCCAACCCTCACTGGCAGCACAGACTTGTAGAAGTATGGTAACATGAGGACATAGGATGAGACAAGAAATTGATTAAAAGTCTCTATTCAGAATAAGAATGCCTGGGATTCAGGGGTCTCTGGGATATTAGGCAAGTCATTTCACACATCAGTGGTACCTCACCCCTGCCCCCCACCCCCACCCCCACCCCCACCCCACACCTTGGCAGCATCAATACATTCTAGGCCAATATGATACTTGATTCCACCCTAAAGCTGTGGGATTTTGTCACTGTCCATGAGTGTGGCTACTTGAATCCATTGTATCCATACACTTTGGTGGTGTTTGTCCTGAATAGAAGCTGAAGAGCTTGTCAGTATTAAATCGTAAGGATGAAAGGGCCTTCAAGACTATCTTGTTCTACCTTAATTTAGAAGGAATTCGAGTCCCAGGAAAGGGAAGCCATTCAGTTCATGCAATTAGAGGTGGAGCCATGGCTTGGACGCAGTTTCTAATGCTACTCAGTGCCCCAAAGATATATGTCCTTCAGAGTTTCAGTGTGAAGATCATCTGATTTCTGTCTAAGGCTATTAAAGAGTTAATGTGCAGAACATTCCCAACTGGTGCTTCTTATAGCTCGATTGATTTTTCTGTCACTTGAAAATAAAATAGCAATAACTTTGTCATCTCCCCCTTCCCTTTGTATCCTTAATATACTTAGCCAATCCCTTATGGAACAACAGAATTATATAGAATGTTATGCTATGCTATGTGGATTTTAAGGAACACTACAGAATTTAAAAAAAATCAACTAAATTCCTTCCTTGCTTGCTGAGGGTGTGGTACATTCCCTTCCTCCTGCTTGGGGAAATGTAAATTTAAAACTCTAAAAAACACACACCAAAACCACGCAGTATAGTCATTACTTATCCAATCCAAAGCACAGTCCTTGCGTCTAGTTTTAAGACTTTATCAGTCTGAGGCTTCCTTGACTAAAAAAATCTATGACTAATTCTTGTGCTTTCGGAGGATGTTTGTGGCAGGCATAATTCCGAAGTTCTAGTGAGCTTGGGGTAAAGTCACATAGCACTATATATTTTGGTCGAATTTACATACAAAAGCAGCAACAAAATTCCTCATTCTTCGTCTCTGCCATTTCTTCACTTTGAAGGTAATTGCAAGCAGAAAATTCACATTGCCAAAATAAGGCTTACAATGTTATGGGCCCCTCCTTTGTGACTAACAAGTGTATTTTTGTGATTTGAGTGGTGCAAGTATTATACTGTAAATTCTTCCTCCTCTGTCTTTTCATTTTGTTGAAACTGAGCAGAGTCACGAAGCACTATGTTTTTCTGCACCATCTAATTTAGCTGAAATAAATCTTGACTTTTAAGTCTCTGTTTAACAAGCTTGCCTTCAGGTGATCACTAAAAAAGTTACGTTCCATGTTTTATGAATTCCAGCCTTCTTTCCAGGCAGAGCAGCCCTTTTTGAGGTTCTATTTCTTTTACTCAGTTCCCATATATTTTATCTGTTCTTATTTAGGTTGTAATTTGCCCCAGAGCAGAATGCCTCAGACATGGAAAAGATATAGAAAAGACATTCCTTTCTTTTTTCGGTTCTGTTGAGCTAGTTCTGGCTTGTGTGAACCAGGCTTTTACCTTTTAGCTCCTGTGTGTCTGGGCTAAGTGAAGTCATAGATAAGATTTTTACTGAGGCTTTGAAAAGACTGCACATTGGGCCTTGCTGTCACTTATAGAATATCTCAGAAAGGTTTTGCTTCTTGAGGATCATATGAGGATGTGGGTGGGGTGGGGCTTGGCTGTGACAGGCAACTGTGGGACCTCAGCTATCTTTTTATTCATGCCTCCCCCTGAATTTCAGAATTTGCAGGTCCATGAGCATGCCAGTATTAAATCCCTGGCACTATTCTTTGAACATGCCCAAACAGGACAGAGCTTTGCTCTATGAGAATGTGGTATTTCTGGGTAATAGTTGATGAAAGAGAAAAAAAAGATAATTTGTAAATGCTCAAGATTTTTAAACTGAAAGGGCACTAAGGTCATCTTTTAATTAGCATTTGTTTCTGTTTTTACAGATATCAGAAGAATTCCTCCAATACCTTCCTTCCCTCCCCCACCTACTTCTTGAAAAAGAGAAAGTTTAGGAGATCGATGAGCAGTATGTTTGGGATTTTAACAAAGTCAAGATTAATGTATATATGAAACAGTAATATTTCTATGTTAAAACTTCGGCTAGTTACATAAAGCAGCTCTGTAAAGGAAAGGCATTAACTCTTCCCACTTGACAGAACTGTTACTTTTGTAATTTTGAAATTTTTGAAATTTTAGTAATTTTGAAAGTTGCCTCTTGATGTGGGCTTCTTACAGGATTCTTGAGAAATAGTCACGCTATAAAAATAAGTGTTGGCTCGAGGTTTTCCATTTGATAGTTCATGTTAAATGAGAAGCTTAATCCTTGAGAAACTTGATCTCTCCATTCAAAGTGATGGATTTCTATAATAACTGATGGAATGTGGTTTTATGGTTGATAAATGGCAGTGATCTGATTTATCTCTTTGTTATCAAACTTGCTTTGTAACCTAGACTAACCATTTAAATTCTGTGAGCCTCAGTTTCCTGAACCAAAAATCTCTGAGTCACGGGGGTTGTGGGATTTAAATGAGAGAACGAGTTCCATCTTCTTGGGAGCCTGCACATAGGTGTTAGATCAATTAATATATGTGAGCCATTTCTCTGAAGGAGAGGTTGCCCATAATTAACTTTTCAAGTCTGTTTGTTTGTTTATTCTGGAGTCAACTTGTGTCTCGTAAGGTCAATGGGCAGGTTATTTCTGCCTCTTAATTGATTGGATAAAATTAGAAACCCAGCCACCCTGCTTGATAGCCTTCCTATTAGGCAAGATCTATGCTAGCCAATAGTCCAATAAGCAGGTCATTCATATATTCGGTAAATTAGAGTAATTAACTTGGGTTGTTTTTCCTCTTTTTAACCAACATTTAATTTGAATCTAAATGTTTGTCTTTTAAAATTCTGGGCCAGTATTCATGGCTCTTTAGAGCATAGATAAGCCCAGGTAGCATGACTTTTTTAAATGGATATCACTCATTATGTGGAAGAGATTTATTCCCTCTTTGCTTGCTGCGAAGTGAATCCCAGTTGTACTTCTGTTTTACATTATAAAATTGGAGTCATCATCCACTGGGAAATTTTTTTGCTTCTAGATAATAACGTGAATGACAAAGACTTCTTAAAGTCAAACTTTGAGGAAAAATGATTTTTAAAAATAAAATATTAATTACTTCTGAAACATTAGCTAGAATTATAGTTTATAAGAAATTTTAAACAAAAAATAATGATTAAAATATAACCTCTGTCAAACTGTAAGCTGTATGAGAATAATGATGGTCTAATATACTCACCTTTATGGCTGTTACTACAGATCAATGCAATGTAGGTACCCAATAATATCTGTTGAAGAGGTGAATAGATGAATGCCTTGCATTTTGGACCTATTGTGGAGGTAACTAAAATGCTTCTACTTTAAGGCTTTGAGGTCCTCCCTAAGTTTTATAACATTATATTCCAGGCTATTATTATTTAAATGGGAGGAGGGTTTTTATTATTCACTTGAACATAAAAGATTGTGTTACCTTCATAATATACATGCTTACATTTCTAAAATGGTACAATTTTGGAGTTGGAAAGGGACGTTTTTCCATTATATTGTGGAAACTAAGGTCCAAGGAAGACATAGTGAGAAATAAGGTTTGAACTGAGCTTTCTGACCACTAGCGGAGAGTTTCATTACCTATGCCTACTGTTATGCTGATTGTTATTATGTCTGGGTTATATATTTTGGTCCCTACTTGGCCATAAAGCCAGATAATTGACTGTGGCTGGTTGTCTATACTAGTTGATTAAAGTTTAGTGGGAAGAAGGGAACACACAGAAGTATATATATTTCCAAATTTTGAATATCCAAATGGAACTGTTGAACTGTAATGCAAATTTTGAGATTTACTGTCTTTAAGAAGTAAATGTGTTTCTTCTGTTCCGTGAGGGCTATTTTGAAGGGGCTTCTTTTAGAAGAGCCACATAGTTTGCTTAATTTTCTATAAACTTTTAAAGATGAAAAACAAATCTTTGAAAGTTATCCTTCTAAGAATTTTGTAGATTTATTTACAGTTGTACTTAGAGACCAATAATGTATTTATGATGTCAGCTTTTATAAATGCCCTTGACAGGAAAATATAGTTCATTCAAGTAACTACCTCTGCATTCCACTGTCTTCAGCTTATAGATCTGGTGAGTGGGAATGAATTCATTCGCACATTCCTTCAGGATTCCTCCAGGTTCCTGCACACAAGCTGTGCCAAATGTCTGCCTGCAGGCAAAGAGGAACGGAGGCCTGTGACTTGCAAGTAGAGCCAGGCAGAGGTGCGAGGCGGGAACAGGGATTAAAGGAGCATATGTAAACTGAAAGGGAAGGAAGCAAGTATGACAAGGCCTCAAAACGGCAGTGCCTGGCAAAGAGTACACACCTAGAATGTGATAGGTATGATTTTATCATTAATCTTATTCTTTTGATCCAGAAATGAGTTCTTAGAGGTAAATCACCCACCCAGGGTTCTTTGGAGGCTGGCATAAAAGGTCTTTGCCTGCTGTGAACCTAGTTGTACTGGTTCAGAGAAATATAGATGATTCCAGTTCCAGACTTGGATGTACGATTTCTTGTTTGAATTTAAAAGCCTGTGACTGGAAGTAGGTATTTTTGTCCCCTCTCAATATCTATTTATATTTTTGAACAAGAATAAAATGATGTTAAAGTAATTAAAAACAAAGAAAAAAGAAAAAAAAATCCACCATTTTGATACAACCATTCTATGTTAATGTTTTATTCTTTCCCCTTATGTGACTGAATATTTCCAATTTTCTATAAAAGAAATGTATAAGCCTACTTAGCAGAGGCTCAGAAGTTTATTGTGTATGCTGCTTCTACCAGTTGTATGTTTACTTTGGAATTTCAGCAGTCAGTTCCTCTTCTCTTCCTTCAATACTCTTCTCTGATACTTAACTCAAGATTGTGGTTGAGCCATTGAACCATGGGAAATTCATTTTCAAAATCTGCTTAATTGCTGTGAGACTTTTAATTTGTTCTGGATGATGGTGCTAATGTCTGGGAACTGGGACTGAAGCCCTCCAAAGTTGTTAATTTAATCAACCGCTGTGTCCTTGCCATGCCTAATGAAGCAGGGGGCGGTGGGGGAACCAGACCCCTCTCACAAAGGGGCTGGGTTCCTCCTGACCACCTTGTCAAAGATAAATAAGAGGGGCCCCACAGTTAAGCTGAACAGTTGGAGCAAATTACCAGAGTGTCAGCCCACGTTATCCAAAGCCCAGGGTTATGCTTCCCAAAATAATTACTGAGTAGGTTTTATGTAGGACCCCGGAGTTTTAAGGCATGGGTTTTGTGTGCGTGTGTTCACACCTGCCAATCTGCAGAATTCTTCAGTCAGTTTGGGGTTCTGTTATGGCTTTGTCCATAATCTGTAAGATCATAAACATCACCCCCAGACTATTGATGTTCCCGTTAACCACTGAAGTTTTCCATGGCGAGACTGGTGAAAGCTTGCTCTGTCCTCATGATAAATTAGCTTGTTTATTCCTCTTCTGCTTATTTCTATCCTGCTGTTGGTTAGTGTAATGAAGCAGAAGTCCATTGTATGTGTTCATTGGGTAGCGATCCTCTGGCACCAAAGGGGGTAATTGAGTAGAAAGGCGGAATGCTGTTGGTGCATGGGAGAAGTTAACACCACATGAGGTCACCAGGCTTCAAGCTTTAATCAATGTGGACACAATGCAATTGAGATTGTGAAAAGGGTTTGTTTATAGTGTGAGAGTAAGGGTCAGTAGTTAATTTGAAATGCTGTAGGTGTGTTTTCCTTGAACCAAGAAGGTACAGAGCATGTGTCATAGAGGACTGTAAATATCCTCAAGGGAGGGACGTAATTGGGGTGGGGATTTAAAAAGAAGGGCATTTAAGAACTTCAGTGTACTTCTTATTGCTCCATCCATGTTTTATTGAAATTTTTTGCCATTTTTTAAAATGAGGAGACTGTAGAAGAAAAGTATTTAAGTCCATGGTATAAACGCACAGCCCTACCAACAAAGAACTTTGTCTTTTTCAGCAGTGATTTCCTTTGGGAAGATATTTGGAGTATATAAAATATTGCTAATAGGACCCCTGTATACTAATTCTGAAAGAATGCTCACTCTCAGAAGTTTATATCTTTAGAATCTGTCATTGTTGCGGCTTGAATTAAATAATATGAAAACCATTAACCCTCTACTTGTTCATGCTGCTGCCTTTTTCCATCTCAGGGCTCCAGTCTGTAAAGTGTGCCTGTCTGCTTTTTGGATTAATTTTGGCATCTCCCCCATTATTGTCTAAGTTTCAACAGCTAGAAACACAGCTTCAGCCAATTTGAATGTAGAGAGGGCCTGCCCTTTTGCTGCAGAGAAACTTTGCAAACAAACATCTGGTTTTCTGAAATGACTGCAGGGAAAAGGACATGAGGGTAATGGAGGAGCCAGAGGCTTGCCATGAACTCTCCCATGCTCTGTTGTGTGTTTGTGAAATCTGCGTAATGCACTGATACACCTGATACCTCACATTTGTATAGTGCTTTTATCCTTCTTGAAGGTACTTTAGTAGAAATCATCTTATTTGATCTTCCCAACAACACTCTAAGATAGGCCAGTCCATCAGGGATATTTACATTTTAAACTTATGAAAACTGAGATGGGGAGTAACTGTTTGTGGTATGGTTTATTTGGCAAGGCAGTAGCTATGTTTGTGGAAGGAATAACTCGGGATTTGAATATTAATTGCTACATTATGACAAGTTGAAGAACAAGAAAAAAGAGTAGTTTTAAAAAATATGAACTACTTGTGATAGAAATCACTGTGTATTGGCCAAACATTTCTTTTTGAGCTCTCTTCCAGGACAAGTAAATGACAGTTGTGGTCCATCTTCTTCACCCTCCTCTGTGTAGCAAGCCATTCCCATGAACAGTTGTTGATTCTCTCTTTACATATTTATTCAACACATTTTAGCCTGCTGAGGGTGTCCAGAGTTTTTCTCTTTCCCCGGGTGGAATCTGGGTCTTTAGAACCCCAGGGTAAATCTTAAAGAAGGAACCAGGGAGTGCCTAGGAGATGAGGGTGAAACTAATTTACTGGGTTTAGTTAGTGAATGATGCTATTGTTGCCCACTTTATTAATTCTTTTGTATAGTGCCTTTCTACTTATTTAAGCCATGCTAATAAACATGCATTGAAAGGTTATTTTTAGTGTCAGTATGATAACCCATAGTATGGATAAAATTAAATTGCTCAATCTATTGTTGGACATTTAGAATAATTCCAGTTTAAGGCTATTATAAACAATACTGGAGAAATCTTCTTTGTATTTAAATTCTTATGTACATCCTTTATTATTTCCTTAGTAAATTCACTTTTGTGAATTTATCTTAGGTAAAATGAAATGCACATTTTTAAGGATTTTGATGGTCAGTGATAATCATCATATCACCCATTAGCCAAATCTGGGAATGTCTATCTCTTTGCATGTTAGCCAGTACTGGTGATTACTTTTGTTTAAAAAATGTTTCCCAATGTGCTGATAATATCTTATTCTTTTAATTTACATTTCGTTGATTGATAGTAATGGTAAACCTCTTTTCATGTGCCTACTGGCTACATATATTTTTATATGACTTGCGTGGTTGTTCCTTTCTTTTAATATACTATTTTCAAAGTTGGATCATCCCAGTAATACAACTTCTTGGAGATTAGGAAAAGAAGGAAGATTTATTGGAGAGGATGATTGGTGTTTTTTGGCTGCCTAGTGTTTCGCCTATTTGTTTTGGCAGCAGGATCTGCCTGAATCTCCTTTGTGGAGCATTTTTTTCCCCACTCTCAGTCCATGTGCCTTAAGAGAATCTTCACTTCTGATTCCAGTGATGGACATGTGACCAAGCCAAGCACTAGCCACGGTGGATTTATGCCTCAAGTTAGTCTAATTAGAGTGAATTCTGAGACTTGTGTGGAGGCTACCAGGAAGAGATGTCCTCTCTTTTTCTTACTGAATTTCAACTCACAGAATATAAGCCTGGAATTGTTGGAGTCTTTCCAATGAAGCCTGAGAATGAAGCTAATAAAATACAGGGTGGAATTCAATGACTGTAGAGAAGTGAGATCTGTTGACATAATCTGATTTCTCAAAACAACCACTAGAAGACTGCTTTATCTCTAGATATTTTTCAGTATCATCTTACTAATTTAGTTTTTGCTTAAGTATCTTTGAGCAGGCTTTCCTGTCTCTTACAACCAAAAGAAACTGATACACTTGTTATGCCTTCTTCAGTTTAAAAATAAGTTGGTGGAACCAGATGTGGTGGCTCACACCTGTGGTCCCAGCACTTTGGGAGGCCTGAGGTCAGGAGTTTGAGACTAGCCTGGCTAACATGGTGAAACCCCATCTCTATTAAAAAATACAAAAATTAGCCGAATGTGGTTTCACCTGCCTGTAGTCCCAGCTACTTGGGAGGCTGAGGCAGGAGAATCACTTGAAACTGGGAGGCAGAGGTTGCAGTGAGCCAAGATCACAACACTGCACTCCAGCCTGGGTGACAGTGCGAGACTCCATCTCAAAAAAAAAAAAGGAGTAAGTTGGTGGAGGCCACTGCTGCATTGCAGAGTGTATTTGGACAGTTAGCTTATTTTGATGAAATAAGTCCTCTGTAACAATTAAAGAATAAAATAAGTTATGGAACCAACCTCTGTTAGGCAGCTCCTCTAACTAGAGCAGTATTGGAAATGGGGTGTGTGTGTGTGTGTGTGTGTGTGTGTTCAGAGATCACTGTTGAGCACCAAGTTGCTGGTGAAGATCATTAGTGACAATTCCTGGAACTTGGCCAGGCTGCTGGCTTTGAAGCAAAGCTCATTGCAACACGGGTTCCTGCTGGGCTGGATGTCTGTGTGAAATGGATGGCAACAGGATGTCCCAGCAGCTGAAATGAAGATCCTGAAGGCAGAAGAGAAGCTTTAATGACTGCCCAAGCCGAGCAGTAGTGCTGGGGATGGTTGGGAAATTCAGTAGATGTTATGATGACTCGAGGTTTCTTTGGGACATCTAGAAGGCTGTGAGGCCGAGGAAGCAATGAGCAGCACACGTTGCTACAAGTTCTGAACTAGGTTAGCCATGGGCTACAGAAGGAGTAAACACATGGATTTTGCCCTCCAGCAACTTAAATTTGGGAAGACAAGATCCATAAAATAAGACAGTTTGTTGTTAAGGGCTAAGGGATCTAGGCATTTTTTAGATCAGATAATTTTTTTTTTTGATACATGGGGGTTTGGTATGGGCCTTTAAAGTATGGGACAGCCATCTGAAATACAACTTGATGTGCATAATCCAAGGCAAGATTCATCTCACTCAAGGTGCCAAATTAATAATGAACTTAATACAGAAAGCCATGAGCAGAGTATCAAGAGTTCTGGCTCTAGCCCCATTTATCTCTTTGGTATATCATTGAATCCCTCATGCTTCCTCGTCTTTCCTTTTTTTTTTTTTTTTTTTTGGAATGAAGTTTCGCTCTTGTTGCCCAGTCTGGAGAGCAATGGCGCAATCTCAGCTCACTGCAACCTCTGCGTCCCGGGTTCAAGTGATTCTCCTGCCTCAGCCTCCTGAGTAGCTGGGATTACAGGCGCCTACCACCATGCCTGGCTAATTTTTGTATATTTAGTAGAGACGGGGTTTCACCATGTTGACCAGGCTGGTCTTGAACTTCTGACCTCAGGTGATCCACCTGCCTCGGCCTCCCAAAGTGCTGGGATTACAGACATGAGCCACCACGCCCGGCTTTACTTCCTCTTGTCTTTCTAAATGGACCTGGTAATGCTTTCCCTTGGCAAATAAAAACAGAGGCATGTCTTTCCTCAAAGCCAAGTATGGTTGGGCTTTTCCACCCATTTCTTTTCTTCCTTATTAAAGGCACTAAAATAAATCTTCAGACATGTTAGGTTACCTATCATTAGAAATTTATTTTAGATGATCATTAAGGTATATCTTAGCGCTTAGCTAAATTCTGAAGAATACAAAGAGGCACGAGAGATGATAATCTGTTCATCTGTGGTGTTATTGAAATAAAGCACTGGATGTTAAATTAGTGAGTTGAGATCTCAGTATGGGAATCTACCACTTGCCAGCTATGAGACCTAGTCTTGCTTTTACTGTCTCATCTGTAACCTACTATAGATCTGAAAGCTTAAATAAGATAATTATATGAAGGCATTTATCTTTTGGATTATACCAAAAACAGATAAGGTGGAACTATTTAGCTGAGTAGACAGGCAATGACATATATAAAAACATCATTAATAAAATAGAGCAGTGTAAGATGAAAATATTAGGTAATATTATTTGAGTACTTAGTATGTACCAGGCAATGTATTAAGTATTTTATGTGCATTATGTCAACTCCCGATCTGGTAGTGTTGGAACTAAAATCTTCATCTAACTTGCTATTTTTATGTTTAAAGGTCTAGAGAAATTGAAGGATCCTTAAAGCACTGATTTGGACCTCCTTAACTTGTTAATTGTATTTTCTTTTAAAACCCTTTGTTCTAAAAGTAATGGAATTTGGGGGATAAAACCTGGAGGTGGCTGTGAATTGACCAGAAGGTTTACAAGTACCCATAAGGGCTGGCATTGTGTTAGACATTGTGGGCAAATTCATTCAGCTCTGGGACTCCATCTGTATTTCCCTTCGTGAACTCTTTTGCTGAATGTCCCATCATCCTTTGTCGAGATGAGGTCCTGTTCATCCTGTCTGCTTTCACAACATAAATGTTTTAGGAACTCTCCACAGACTGGCTGGATTGTCTGTTTGGGCTGTGAACAGATTGTGTGGGTGATGAGACAAGTAGGAAAAGACTCAGCGATCAAAAAAGGGGGAAGGAAAGCTCTTTCTCTTTCTCTTAGAATGGAGCTCGGATACAAAGGGTACTTCGTTAATCATGCCTCCTTTGTAATCAGAATGGGGGAGGTATTTTTTTAAACCACCACTATTTTGTCCTCTGTCTCATCCAAGTTAAGCCAACTGTGCAATGGCTAATCGAGGGGTTAAAAATTTCCCAGATGCAGCCAGGCAGAATCAACTTCACTAGATAAAGGAATCATTTGATGGTGATTTGAAAGCTGTCAGGTGTAGCACCAGGCTTCTTGCAGACATGGCACTGGCCTGGTAGGATACCCATGTCCAAGATCCACATGGTGGCAGATTTGTGATTAGATGATGAAAATCTCATGAGTGGTGAGAAATGGGGAAGAGATCTGTAAGACTTAGGGGTTTTGGTGAGTTTAGAGGATTCAGTCACTTTGCACTATGTCCCTAGAACAATCACTGAATGGAAAATCCAAGCATCTCAATTTACTGAACGACCTTGGGCAACTTGTTTAAACTTTCTGTAGTTGCTTTCTTAGAAATCAAAGAAGGGTAATAATCTTTGGTGCCCACTTAATGGGTGTTGTATAAAATAATGAGATTGTAAATGCTTTGAGTGCCCTGGAGATGAGGCGATAGGGAAAATTCTCTTAGGTGTTCTTCATGCTGAATATGGAAAGATGAATAAGATTTTGTTGTTTTTTAAGAAAAACCTGTTGTTTTTTAAGAAAAACCTGTCATTTTTTTAGCACCTCTTTTTTTTTTTTTTCTTTTACAAAGGAGGCTGTGTGCCTCAGTAGAGGTTGACTTTGTAACAGTTTTACTTTCCTGGACAGGTCTGCAAATTTACAATGTAGTCGGTTTTCCAAGAGGAATGTTTGGGTTTAGACCTGTCCTCTCCATTCACTAAATCTAGTGGTGAGATGTTTTTAATGAATTGTTGGTGTACAGCAAATAAAGAGCAATGAAACAAAAGACAGTGTTTAGAAAAGGACTAATCAACTGTTACTCTAACTGTCCCCTAGCTGGATGGTTGCCTATTTTCTTTTTAAAATTAAATGCAGTCTTTAGGCCAAAGCAGTGGGAGGTGGCGGTACATTCCAAGAAAGAGGCATCAGAGTGTCTGAGGGTTGGAAGACAGCAGAAAGCTGCTTGATTCTTGGTGGGTTTTTTTCTGTTTGTTTTGTTTTTGGTTTTGCCCTTACTGCCTTACCCCTTGATCATCTATTCAGAACAGAGGGGAAAAATCCTCCACAAGGTTTCTCCTCCCCTTGGTTTGTGTCACCTAAACAACATTTTCTTCCCAGGTGAGATTGTAGTTTACCTCTCCTCTTGTAGTGATGAGCGGCTGGGGCTTTCCGCCCAGTGGACCTTCCATTTGTCTGTTTTCAACAGGGAACCCCAATTTACTAATTCTCTGGAGAAACAGAGATTTTGCTTGGGGAGGGGGCCTGAGAATTTGTTTAGCCCAGTCTCACCCACACTGGGTCTCCCAAGAGAGATGACCTTCCTGTTAGGATCTTTCTATTTTAGCGACCTATTGCTCTCTAGACAGCTTGTTTAGTTTTTCAATCCAGTTGGAACATTACGATGGTTAAATGTTCTTTCTTATCATTCAGTGGAAAACTGGCTTCCATGACTGCATTGTAATTTCCACTCATGAATGCTGGATTTTCCATTTAGAATAATCTTGAATGTATGCTTCACTTCAGTTACACAGTAGCCTTTCAAATAACTAAAGATGACTATCATTTCTCTCCTTTGACTTTCTCTTCTCCAGTTAAAATACCCCTGGTCTGGTTTAGACTCCTGACCATACTTGCTGTCCCTTTCTGGTGATTGCCTTCCCAGTCAAGGTTAAGTTTACCTCTGCTACCATGGCAACCAGCTACTGTTTGTTGTTTCTACTTAAAGGAGAGCACCATTTTCCTATTTTCTGCAGAAAATTCATAATTCAAAAATCAGCTTGTTGATGTCCCTAGAACAAAGACATCCATACTGCTGAGTCCACATAGTGCTGAGATCAACAACCTCTACAATAGTCCATACAGTGGAATTGCCATTTGAACTCATGTAACTTTGGGTAAATGTATTTCTTGTGTATCCCTGCATTAGTTTTTCTCATCAGGAGAAACAGTGTGGCCTGAGACAAGGAGAGACTATGGACCTGGGACAGATTAGGTTCAAACCCCAGTTCAGCCACTTATTGGCTGTGACCTTGGATGAGTTATTTTAATTTTTCAGGGCCTCATTTTACTCATCTCTGAATGGAGATAATAATATCTACCACTTCTTTTTTTTTTTTGAAACGGAGTTTCATTTTTGTTGCCCAGGCTGGAGCGCAATTGTGCAATCTTGGCTCACCGCAACCTCCGCTTCCCAGGTTCAAGTGATTTCTCCTGCCTCAGCCTCCTGAGTAGCTGGGATTACAGGCATGCGCCACCACACCCAGCTAATTTTTTGTATTTTTAGTAGAGACGGGTTTTCTCCATGTTGGTCAGGCTGGTCTCAAACTCCCGACATCAGGTGTTCCGCCCACCTCGGCCTCCCAAAGTGCTGGGATTACAGGCACGAGCCAACGTGCCCGGCCACACTTACTTCTGTATAAGAATGAAAATCACCCTGTTAAGTCCCTAGCACAATGCCTAGCACATAAAAAATATCCAACAAGTGGTAGCCATTATTATAATTTCTAAATGACAGCCTGATGCAGTCAGTGTAACATGAGGCAAACTGTAATGGTTATGAATTGCTGAGAACTTGGAATCTCTGTAGTTGGAAACTCTGAAAATGAAGTGTTGTAGAATGGCTTGATGGAGTATGAATTTTTCTTGTAAGCCTGGATGATTGGGGTAAAGCAGAGGTTCTCCACCAGAAGCAGTTTTGCTCCCCAGGGAATATTTGGCAATGTTTGGAGAAGACTTCCCCCACCCACACCCCCCCTGAACTTGCCAGCAGTGGGGATGAAGATGCTACTGGCAGCTAGTGGGTAGAAGCCAAGGATGTTGCTAAATATCCTCCAGTGCACAAGCCAAACCCCCACAACAGTTATTCAACCCAAAATGCCATTAGTGCAAAGCTTGAGAAATCTCTGAGTAGAGGGATGGGGACCGGGCAGCCAAGAATAATAAGAGGAAATTGGTAGGTATAGCTCTCTGATTGTGAGAAGCCCAGAATTTGGACCAAATATTAAAATAAGATGATGGCCCAGTGCAGGCATATCTCTAACCTTATGCATTCTAGACCCACACTCCTAACACGCCTTTCTAAGACATCAATCCTTTCAATGTTCCCCATGTCATGTATGAACACAATAAATTCTGCCTAACGTTTGCATGATGTGTTTGCACCTCTCTTACTTTCTCATGTTGCCTCTATGGAAGACATAGCCTCTTTGGTCCAGTCTCCAAGTAGGGATTCTGTCAAAGAAACAGGCAGTCAACCAAAGGTGAATTTAAAGTGACCTAACAACTTCTGTTCTTTAACTGTCAAAGCATGGTAAAGGGGATATATAATCTGTAGCAGTACTTCTAGCAATCCCTATTTTCTTTCCCATCTACTTTGATGTTTCTAACGTCTCTTCCAAAATCTCCCCAACACTCCCGCTGGTAAACCGCCCCCCTCTCCCTGCCGAGCTCAAGCCCATATCTTCTACCTATCCCCTGTCTTTTGATTGTGCATCATGAAAACTCAAAGAATCCATCTAGCAATAGTTGAATCCTCATCGGGGGGCAGGTGAGGGGGTTGTGACAGAAGAGGCAAAACCAGCATTCTCTTTATCTGAAGAGAGGAGGGGAAAGGGTAGCAAATACCCATGTCAATAGTTTTTGCTCTGCCATAACTATTTTATAATAATTTGTGAAGATAATTGTGAAAAAAGATGTTATCATCCCATTTTTCTAAGGATAAAACCAAGGGTTAATTCTGTGTTCCCTCAAATAACAGGCTGCTTAAGATATGCCTGGGATATTTCTCAGGGTTATCTTAGATGTTCCAGTTAAAATTTGTATAGAATCATCTCTGGTATTGGGGCTGTTCACTGATAGGTGAGGGGAGCCCCTGTTTTTAACATCCAAGATGCACACCTTCTAGTTCCTTAAATATTGATGAACACACCCCTCAGGGCAAGAAGACAGAACAGAGAACATGGAGTAGGTCTTCATCTCCCACCAGATTCTAATTCTTCTCATGTGTTGACAGCACTATTATTATCAGCTAACATTCATTAAGGCTTCACTATTTTCATGGTACTGTAATAGGGTTTTTATATTAATCATTTTATCCTCAAAATAAATTTAGGAGGCGAGTACCTTTTAGTACACTTTTACAAAAGGGAAACTGGCATTCTACAAGGCTAGGTAAGCTGCCCCACTAAATTGCTAGTGAGTAACAGAGTTGGGATTTGAACCCAAGTTTTTCTGAGCTCTAGCTCTTGCTTTTAATTTTTCTTACTCTCTTTTTGTAATTGCCTTCAGCAACATAAAGCACCGTTCCTGTGAAAGTAAGTCCCTTGCTACTCTGTAATCATTGTTTTCTCTTATGACATACTTTTTGTAGAGGGTAATCAGTGTAAATTTTGAAATATATTAGGAACCCAGCCGTTTAAATGAAAATCTGAAAGAAAGTTATGAATTGATTTCATTAGCAAATTTTGTCAATGATCTCTTGGCTTAGAAGTGTATGCTATGACTTTCATTTCTTCTGAATAATAAATAGACTTAGCTCTCTTGAGCTTATTTCTATCATCCTAAAAAATAGAGGCTGGACATGATCCAAATTATTTCATTGTATTGGAATGTCTTTGTGTTGTATTAGGCTGTGAGTATTCAGACCACTGGCTGGAAGCTGGAATGGTGTTTTTTGTTGTTTTCTCCTAAAGGTCTTTATTATTATTGGATTAGACCTACCTTCTCATATTATAAATTATGGGGGTATAATTCACTGTGCTAAATACATCAGTATGAAAGTTTACATATGCAGTTGGCTGTAGCTTGTCCTTGCTTTTAGGAACAGTTCTTTGATCTCTCCAGCTGTTGGAAGACAGAAAACACTCAGAATACATTCAGATCCCAAACAGTAACAGAACGAGAATAGGACCATTAAGATCTGTTCTTCTAACAGATGTGAAAATATAAGGACAAGGAGGGGGAGGAGGGGCCTGATAGGGACAGCCAGAACTCTTGGAATATAAATTGACCCTAATTTGTAGGAACTTTTTCTTTAAACTTAAAAGAGTGACTTTCATCATAACGTAGAAGTACATACATTCTTTTTAGAATCCTACAATTGCTGAGTTAAAAGTGCTTAACAGTTTAAATACTGCCTTTTACAGTTGAGAAAACTAAGGCCCAAGATTGATTGAATAATTTGCCTGATTAATGCATATCCATTGCTAGAACCCAGCAATCATGAGTCCTGGGATAATTTATTCTGCCAAGATTCTTATGCTCAAATTTGTAGTAGTTCAGGAATAGCAGATCAACTTGTGGCCCAGAATCGAAGCTCTAAATATTATATATGAAGAATGCCCATAGAATAATAATGATAACAAAGACCCTAAAAGTCACCTTTCCATCCCTACCCGGTGCTCAAATGCCCTCTGCATTCTTTGCACTCACCAAGTGTTAACTGAGGAGCACCTCCACTCACACAGGTGCCGGCAGCTCATTTTCTTCAACTGGTGTGGTGAACTGTGGGCCAGTTTGATTTTATTGATCTCAGATTTCCTTCCTGAGAACTTGCAAGATTGGAACCACTCAGGGTAAATCTAATTCCTCCTCCACATTTAGTCATTCACATATTTGACCTTTTATCTTCAACCCTCCATACTAAACCCCCCTTTTAAACAAGCTATACATCTCCAGCTTCTACAAATTCTACGTGTGATATGACATGTCATTCATTTTTCTTTGATTCCTGTCTTAGTGAATGACATCACTCATCTGCTGCCTATGCAAGAAATTTGGGGACATCCTTGACTTCTCTTGTACTTACATCCTATGTGAATCAACAGGGACAGTAAATTGTTCATCCTACATCGCTCTTTCCTCTAGTAAAAACTGCCCCTGCCTGTCACCCTTCTGAATCTCTGAGTCACTTCAGAACTTCTGATACCAGCTACACTCCACTGTTCCTTCAACACCAAGAAGATTTTCACCATTTTTCTTTACTAATTCTTTGAGAACTTTCATATGTGATTCACTGGGGCAGAGAGAAAAAAATCATTTACATCTCTGGGAAATAGTACATACGTGCAGCAGAAGGTTCCTTTGCCCAGGTTTCTGTCTGAGCCTGTTTTGTAGTTTTGATCTCAGAAGTAGAATATTGATGCTTTTAGAAGGGAGTGTTTGCTTTTTCTCTGGTAGGTACTGTTTAAAGGGTGTTAAAGAAATGGCCAAAATCTTCCCTACATGTGTTCTTAAGAAGACACATTTTGTCATAAAATCTTCAAACATTAGTTATATACACTAAAGGCTGAGATGTGAACATTTTATTTCATTTTGTCCCCCATTTGCTTTCTATTCATTTAGGCCTTAAAACCCTCAGGGCAGTGCTGGAAGAAGGTAAATAACTGTAAGTCCTGGCTTTGAGAACCTGTTTCCAGGAACTATGCTGAACAGCAGTTATCTAAACATGTTCCTGCAATATTAATGTTGGCCACAAACCCTTTGGGAGCAGTTTTTTTTAAAAAAATTACCATTGTTTTGTTTGCCTACTATCTAATTTCTTTTGATGTGTAAATTACTTGTGTGGATTGGGTTATAGTTTAGGAAAAGTTCATTTTGATCTTCAAAATTCAGTATTTCATTTAATATATTGCTTGACACGGATCTGGAAGAACCGTCATAAGTATTTGTAGGAAGTGAGTCTCTGATGAGCACATGTGTGACCTTGGGAGACTGACCTCACGGAAGGCAGCTCTGGCTTCTTCCCAAACTGTCACTGAGTGCCAGTCTAAGTGTACTTTGATACAGGCGGGACAAGGATTAATCCACTATGGCATTTAAAAAATGATGCTTAGTAGGCATTTGATAAAATTTTGTTAGTTACATTGAGCATAACTTACATTAATATGTTTATTATGACACAAAAGCCATATAATAAATAGTTCAGTTCAGGTCTGGAGGACTTGCATGTTTAAGTTTCTGTGCTTAGTGGCACAAGGCAGAATAAGATGTAGTCCTTCCCCTTAGGAGCTTATAATTTTGTAGGGTTCAGAAGTGATGCCTGCAAATAAAGTAGAATGCTATAATAAAGACATAGACCAGGTGATACTGGCACCAAAGGAAGTAAGGATCTTTTGTCAACTGAAGGAAAATCAGAGGAGGCCTCCAGCTGGCACACTATAGGCATTTAACAAATTGAATGAAGGAGAGACGGCCCTTGAGCTAGAACCTAAAACTGATGAAATTTAAAATACTAAATAATTGCATAGACTATTTAATTTTGTGATTTCAATGTTTTTTAAAAAAATATTTCCGGCCGGGCGCGGTGGCTCAAGCCTGTAATCCCAGCACTTTGGGAGGCCCAGGCGGGCGGATCACCAGGTCAGGAGATGGAGACCATCCTGGCTAATACGGTGAAGCCCCGTCTCTACTAAAAATACAAAAAATTAGCCGGGCGCCTGTGGTCCCAGCTACTCTGGAGGCTGAGGCAGGACAATGGCGTGAACCCGGGAGGCGGAGCTTGCAGTGAGCCGAGACCGCGCCACTGCACTCCAGCCTGGACGACAGAGCGAGACTCCGTCTAAAAAAAAAAATTAATAATAATAATAATTCCTAAGAATGTGAATGTTAAAACTGCAAGTTACCCTTAAAATGTACCTCTACCCTCAATTCTAGGAAATTTGCAAATTATAAGGGCCTGTGTTTTCTTTGAATAATCAATCAAGGAAGGAAATATGATTATTCTTGGCATTTGTGAAATTCCAGATAAAGACATTAACAGGTCTTACTTGCCCTTAGCCTTAACTTACAATGTACAATACTAAATTTTTGACCATTCAGAATGCCCTGTACTTTAATTGCTTTTATCTGTTTATCTGGAACTGGTCAGAAAATAGAAAACAAATCAATAAACTATATGCAGCTCTTTGTTGGACCTTAATTTCTCCATTCCCTGACATACCATATGCATGGATAGGAGACTTATTTTGGTGTGACTGAGAGGAACTTATATTTAGTTCAGGCTCTTGCTCTTATCTATCCATTTACTTCCCAAATGTTTCCATGGTTGAGGAACCCACCCTTTCCTGAGTCAAACTGTGCCATTGTTTGCCTACCTGAATTATAAGTAATTCTTCCATAGGTTGCTCTGGAGTCAGATTTTCTCTAACTTGAATTCCTGTCTCTCACTATGCCTGCAAGTGCTGTCATAGACTTCCATGGCAGCGCTGTGTTCCTGAGTCAGATCTTCTCTAGGCTAACATCCTAAACACTGCCTACCTGCAATATGAAGTCATAACCAAGACCCGGTAAAAACTGGGAGGGTATCAGATTCAAGGGAGTTTAGTGCATTTTCATGAGCCTATTACTCCATCATTTCTTTATGGAAGTCTTAGAGGTACTCTGTCCCTGACTGTAAGTCTCCCAGAAAAGCTATCTTGCTGGCTCCCTTTGAGTGACACCCAGCCCAGTGCTGGTAGTGCCTTGCCTGTGGAGCTTCAGCAAGCTACTTATGGCCACAGTCGTCTTCATTCATCCCTCAGCTCTGCAACTATCTCAGGTAATCTGAGAGTGCTAATAAATAGTAACCGTTAATAAATAAACAGATAGTTGTATTGGAAAGGAGCATTAGATATGAAATCAGACCTGGGTTCCAGTCCTAACTCTATTTACTGATGAGACAAAAACCACTGATCTTCTGAATATGCAATGGTGCTAATTATGTTACTTGTTAACTAGGTGGATTCGATAATCTATGTATGTGAAAGTTCTTTGCAATTCACTTACTAGTTGTTCATGTTTATTATTAACAATAATATTGATAAAAGAATATATGTAATTTATGAATAATAAATGTCTGATTATTTTAAATAACAAATGTTGGAAACTTGTAGAGTGTAATAGGCACTTTAGAGCAAAGCCACTGACTGTGTTTCTTCTAGAAGATTTAATTTTGGTATTTTCTGACCCTAAAATTCCAATATAAATGTGTGCCCATGGTGAGCTGATTTAAGAAGGAGAGCCAGGTGTCCCCTTTTTTGTTACCTCCACCCCTACAGCTTTGCCAGAGCCACTTTGGGGGCCTCCATGGGGGCTCTGAGAGATTTCCCACACAAGAACTGGTGCGCCCTCCATGCTGGGTTTCTGACATCATAGCCCAAGGTAGTAAATTAAAGATGCTATAATTCACTTTCCACAGGTGGTCTTGGCTGCATTCCACAGTCTTTTGGCTGAAAGGTTGCTGATTTTGAAGCACTGGCCCAAAGTCAAAACTTAGCCCAGATGACTGGCCAGCCGAGCAATGAGCAATAGCGTCAACAGATGAGCCACTGATTTTTCTGTGGAGGTCTTTTGTGTTCACTTCATATGTATTTAATTTTTGCTGTTTTGAGTATTTCTGGAGTGATGGAGAAACAGAAATTGCAGGCATTTTTCAGGGATAGAGAAATTCGTAATTTGATATACTTCCATCAGTCTTTTCGATTTAGGCTGTCTTTGCTGCAGGACACCAAGGGTGGTAAGGGTCAGTTTTTGAGTCCTAATCCAGGCCACCACTGGATTGCTACACCAATTAGCACATCCAATGATTGGCAGATTTTATGAGCTAAACCTCTGGCAGGGCCCTTTATGTGCATTTTACTATTTTTTCAAAAAGAGGGTAAAAAACTAGCACCAATCTTGAGCCTAAAATAATTTCATGTTTGCCACACCATTTCAAATACTATGTAAGAGTTTGGCTCGCTGTCCCAAAGCACTTTAATTTTTTTCCTCTTGGTTCCAATGCTCCTCCATTCCATGGGATCCAAGCCAGGCAAGTAATGTAAGCCAAGTGGCGCTTGTTTGCCACGTAGATCCTGACAAATATAGAGTAATTCTTCTATTCTTCAAAGCTGTTGCATCTTTGGCTCCACAACAATTGAGGTTGTAGGCGAAGCATTTAAAATCCTCATCTGCCTAAAATGTAAACATATGATATTTTCAATATTTTTGAGTCGGAATGTATTTACAAGTGTTTGCTACAATTTTTGGAAAATTGCTGTCAAAATGTCCATAATTTCATAAGTTTATATTGTAAAGAACTATTTTTAAATAAGTGCTTGACTTTTGTGTGTACGGTACAAATTATTTTGCATTCAACTCTGCTATGTAGTATGTATGTTTGTGTTTTGGTGGTAGTGGTTCAGTGTAAAGGAATGTTCTGCTGTATTAAAAAAAATTAGCTTTCCTAGAACAGATGTTAGCATAACTAACTGACTGAAAGTGGCTGGCAAGAATGAATTTCATTTCACTTAGCGTACCCCATTTCATGCACAAGGGCATAGCTTTGATAATTGTAAAAATCACTTCTGGTCTAGTCTCTGTAGACACACTTTCAGCTCTCCAGTAATTGAGATTGAATTGTGAAATAATACTTCATTTAGTAAGCTAGTAAGATTTAATGGGTATGGTTGAAATATAGGAGAATCTTCTCTTCAAAGTAGGTGGTGGAGAAAGCATAAGTGTCTACTATAACTTCAGAGCAATTTCAGTAAAAGAATTAACACACTGAATCATTTAAGTACTAAGTCAATTTAATGCAAATATTTGCACTTTCTTTAGCTGAACTTTTTGAAGAGCTCATTCTAATTAGCCACCCAAAACTTAGATAAGTGGTATGGCAGATATTAAGAAATCTTTTTAGGAACTGACTTTCAGTGAATGGTAAGCAGGTTTGGCTCATAAGACCTCACAGCTCAGCCAGTTAATATGATCTGGCCACTGAAGTTGTGCAGTATATTTCACATGTTTCCTTTTAACCAGAATTAAGGCTTTTGAGCTGGCGAAAGGCATGTGGAATGTCTAAGGAAAATCAATTGAGCATATTTAAAGCTAATTTCTAAACTTAGCTAAAGATTTTCTTAGGTTAAATAAGTACTTTGGGGGCATTTGAAAAAGTAGTTACATAACAGGAATTCATCTAGTCTTTTCTGACACCTGTGTTCCCTTTCTCCCTCTTTTCGACCCTCCCCACCTTGATACTCAAAAAATCCAAAGCACACTCTGCAATTGCCCAAGGGTTTAAGTGCTCAATATGTTTTATATAAGTTCTCATAAGGCAAGCAGAGATATTTAGATAGGCAGAGCTTAGAACCAACTTGGGCATATGCCTTTTAGTTCTTATAAATACCATTCATAGTGCAATGGAGGTTTTCTCTACATTTCAAAGTAAAATGGATATTGAGCCATTCAACTTCATAGATCAGGTAAAAGTTTTGGGAGCTTATATTCATTCTTCAGCTATTGCTTCAAAAGTTTGAGGAGCTTATATTTCCCAGCTGTTGTTTCAAAAGCAATAGCTGGAAAAAAAAAAAAAAAGCAATAGCTGGAGAATATAAGCTCCCCAAACTTTTGAAGATATAGACATAGACCAAGTAATTTGTAGTCTCTGCCCACCCCCGCCCCAACATTAATTCTATCCGTTGAAATCAGTCCCAATTATTTTTAAAAAATAAAGGCTAATAACCAGTTCTAGTACCCCAAAATGTTTTATGGAACAAGATAGAGAATAAATAAAATGAAATTATAAAATATAAATAAATATTCACATTTTTACAGGTGGAGAGATGGTGCTGGCAGCTTTTTAACTGAGATTAGTTTTCAGGTGTTAAATCAATGTCTCAAGTCAGTAGGAGAAAGTATCTGCTACCAACTTTTTGTATGTTTTTAAATCAATGTGTATTGTTCCTATCATTTTTGTTAGATAAATTCTATTGTAAACATAAAATTCTCTAAAACATTTCTGAAATCTTTGACCATTTTTACTTTAAGTCATTACTTTTTAAAATGGTGCTGTTCTGATTATTAATTCTTATAAACAGGAATTACCTTTTCAACTGGTCTATTCTCTGCATTCCTTCCCCTTGTACCCCAAAGCAGATTATTCTTTAAATATCATCTTTGTTGCAAGGCAGACATTCTTCCTCTAATTTAGAGGAAGGCTATTATTACCTGATGACTGAGACTTCAAAGGCTCTTTGGGGCCATTTGTGGGAATAGGACGGGGAGCTTCTTCATTCCCACCTGACTACCCTCTCACTCCGCCTCCTTCCAGCAGATCTCTGGTCTGGCCTTGTGGCTACTTACAGGGCAGAGATAGGTGTCATAAAAGGAAACATTCCTGCCAAATAAAAGTTCTTTGTTATGTGTGGCTCTGTTTATTATTCCTTCTTTATGGTGCTCTATAGAGTACAGCAGGGATGATTGGGAGCAGAGGCCAAGGCACTCTAGTAGAATTATACCACTGATTAGAAAAGGCAAGGGTGGACACAGAGATAAGAGTAGTACTACAGTTTTCACCGTTAAATGATCTCTTTTTAATTTTTAATATTCAAGCACAGATATCTGCAGAAAATATGATTGTTTTAGATATTCTATGACCCAGCACATGTTCTATCTCTACCTCAGCACCTTCCCTCCTTGGCCATCCCCCATTCTCCCTTGGCTATTACCTGCTCTCTTCCAAGGCTAAGCCCTGCCGAAAGCTACCCTCAGCTCTTTTTACAACTGGAGCATCCTGTGCAAACCTCTGTCAAAGAAATTTCCAATCAGGGTGTAATTCTTTGTGAACTTCTCAGCCTCCCACACTAGCCTGTGAGCAAATGGGGGTCTGGGAGGCCATTCGTCTCTGTCTTTAGTTAGTACGGTACCTGCATAATAGTAATGCTCCTAGGTGATTGCTAAAGAAATGTTCATTACTCATAATAAAGCAAAGAAATAAATAGTCTATGTTGGCTTAAATGGAGACAATGTGTCATGTCAGCCTGTTGTTTTAGTTTTATTTTAACTTTTCTAAGAGGCAACCAAGTCTTGTCTCTCTCTAACTCTTAAATTACAGGTTCTGGAAGGAATAGGGGCTAATGATTTAATGTTGACTCAATTTTAAGCATGATAAATGCTAGCGGTTGGCTAGATAGTAATTTGTAAACTGGATAGCCATTTGAAGTGAAATAACAGGAAGCTGACTGGAGTCAATGAATATTCTTCCAAAAGAAGTACTACAGGTTTAGTCATTGTTCACTTACATTTTTATTCAAGGTTATGTTGTAACGATGACTGGATTTTTCTGTCATTCTGGTGTATTCATTTCTCCCACCTCCCAAATATCTGACTGTTGCCCTTTCTCAGGGAATGTCAGGTTACATATAACATTCATCAAAATTATTTTTTCCTGAAATTGTTTATTTATTGTCTGCTTCCTCCGTTATTTGTACGTTCCATATGGTTGGTGCCTATCAGGTTTACTCCAGAACCGGCAGTGTCTAGTGCATGGTAGATACTCAAGACAAATTTGGACAATATACTGTGAGCCATAGTAATGTGTGTAACTGAGGGACCACTGAATTTTCATAGAGACTTCAGGTTGTGTTTGTACATTTCTTCACACCTTGAATTTGTTAGAAGTCTTATTGATTTCATATCACTTTAACATTAAATGTTATATAGAATCACATTTCACAATTCATGTGCTGTAGTGGAAAAGTGGAGGCCAAAAATACTGTATTGAAATACAGACAAAATAAAATGGTCATGTTTGATAAAGTAAAAAGAACTGAATTCATAATGGACTGCATTTTCAATGAATAGCTCATGGTTTTATAACTTCTGTGCATATTCCCAAGGCTATCTTAACCAACCATGAGTTAACCAGTTTACAGTGACTAGGCATATTTAGTTTTGGCCAAATTATTCTGTCATTGAATTGGTCTGGTGTAGAAGTAGTTTTTGGCCTACTTGTTTTCAGTTAAACCTTATACTATGGGTGGGTGGAGGAGACATTTATAATGTGTGCTGAGGCAGCTGGGTAATATTGCATTACTCTCCTAGGAATACTGGGGAGTGGTTATTTTTAGCTTTCACCTGAGCAAACATGACTCAGTTTGTTGACCTGAATCTATCCAGCCCCCTCTTGAATACACAAACTCTATTAATCCCTAGAACCACGCAAGTGACTAAGTAAGGCCTTCATTACAAATACCTGTTATTGTGGCTTGTTCAAAGGTTGAAGATGATTTAAACTTCCTCCATTTAGCTCTTTTCTCTTAATCCCACACACTTTAAAAAAATTTACAGACAGATCAAACTTTTTTTGATTCTAGACACAATTTGTGACCCATGTAGCTAAAATTTTGACTATAGCTAATGAAAACACATTCTATGGTAGGTGACCAGCTACCAGCTGTAAGCTTTGCTTTTGGTTTACGTGATAATGCTGTCTATATAAAGAAACACTTGGGAATTCACTTTTAGCTGGAGTAGGACATTGCACTGAGCTGTAAATATATTATTGGGGGAACATTAACTGTCCATGTTTGAATATCAGGATGTCTGTTTACTTTCTCAAGCAATACTTGTGTTTTCTCTTTTGAACACTATTAGAAAAACGGAAAATGTTGAATTATCTTCAGGTTTTGAAGTTATGGAAAGCATTTTTGAGACTCAAGGACTAATTTATTCAAGTGAAAAAAATTGTGATTCTCACAGTATAGCTTGAGATGCACTTGAGGCTTCTCCAAGTTCACTGCCATGATATTTATGAAAATATTAGTATTTCTGGGATTTTTTTTCTTTATAGAAGAAACACTAGACTAATGAGAGGATGAAAATAATGCAGGCCCCTAAAAAGGCAGGCGTTCACTGCATTCATTAAAAATGCGGACTTTGTGACCATAAAGTGTTCAGCTTCTCTGTTATTAAGTTTGGAATGTGGTTTTGGAGCTTAGCTGAGGAACTCAGCTAGTTATTTTTCGTTTTGGCCTGAGAAGTGAGAGACTTGTTTTTCAAGAAGGTAAAAAATAAAGAAAAAAAGGTTAGGTTCATTTTGGAAGAATAGAAGTTTTAAAATGTAGTAACTATTTTCTGCAGCAAATAGTCAGTTTGAGTATGTTAGCCGAAAATAGAATTCATGACTTTTGTCTCACTGTTTATTTCTCCAACCACATTAAAAAGGGTTCAGTTAAATGTGCCATTTGGCTTTTCTAATGTCAGTGGGCTATTTAGCTGAGTCAGGATAACCAAAGTTTGATTGACTCATATTTCTAAGAATAAGTCAGATGTCTGATTTTAGATGGATTAGATGTGAGGTCTTCGTGATACAGTTTTGAGTTTTAAAGAAAAACGTCTGTAGCAGGGGTTAGTGGCAACTTGTATTGCAGTGTTCAGCCTTCTACATGAAGGATGTTCAGCTAGAGCTTAGTAGTGTTGAGTTTTCTGGTAAGTATTAATAGGCATTGTCCTAACTTCTTACAAACATAACATTTTACTAAAAATGTATCATTAAAATAGATGTTTAATAGAATAGAAAAATAATGTGGATTCGAACATTAGAAGTAGGGCAGAATATTAATAATACACATTTTTCCCGTTATATAACTTTCTTTTTGCTTTTCATGTTTCTCCATTGCTATCTGATCTCTATTAAATAAGAGAGAATTTCTGCAAACATAATATACCAAGTATCAGATGCACAGAAATACACATATTTAAACCACACACATAAACCATAATTGATGACACTTTCTTTTAACTACTAACTTTCAAAGGTTTATAGATGTATCTATTTTAAAATATACTAGTAGGACCCACATAAAGAAAACAATGAAAGTTTTCCAAGAAATTTAAAAACAGATTGTAGACAATGGAGAAACAAGTACTGTTCTTGGATGGGAAAACTAAACGCTGGGGAAGGATGCTAATTCTGTCCACATTAATTTATTATTATATATTTATTATTTATAAATTTAATTTAATCTTCAATATCCTAGCAAAAAGATGTAAATTTGAAATGGATTGGGGAAGAGAGTTACTCTAGCAGATATTGATAAAAATAATAAATTTATAAAATTCAAAGCAATGTTGTGCTGACCCGTGAATTGACAGTTTAATGCATGGAAAAGAACAGATGTTCAGAAACATGCTTACATACATAAAGATTAACAGTGATATGATAAATCAACAAAAGGGAGGGTCTGTTCAATCAACTATAATTTAAATATTTAAGAAATAAAACTAGAACCTCACTGCATCTCTTATAGCAATTTTCAGATGGATCAACTGTTTAAATATTAGAAAAAATGAAATTGCAAAAAATAAATAGAAGTCAATATAGATGACTATTGAATTTTGAGATGAAGAAGGTCAGTTTCTCTAAACACAAAAGCATGGGGGGAAAAACATAAAAGAGGGATTCCATATAAGATCTGGAACTTCTCTATTTAAATGTGCATAAACAAATTTAGATAGCAGATGGAAAGTTTAGGAGAAATTTCCAACAAAACATATTAGGCAAAGGATTATTCTTATAGATAGCCTTTACAAACTGATGAAGGAGAAGTTGATTTTGGTGTATTGTGTGATTGACTATTTTGCAACTACTAACTGAAAGATTTTAATTATAAAGAAAATATGATATAATGGCTAATATTTTATACTTTGTGTGTGCCCAAGCACTACTCTGAGTGCTTTCATATGTTAACTTGTTTAAAATATGCAGTGACTTGGAAAGATCAGTACTATTATTATTGCCATCTAAGAGATGATAAAACCGATACAGAGATAGGCTTAGTAATTTGCCCAAAACTTTCCTAGTGTGGATTTGTGGTGACACAACTAAAAATGAGAGAGCCAGGATTTGACACCAGACAGGTCGCCTCCAGAGCTGGTGTTATCACACAATACTCTGCTTTTCTAAGTGAATAAAAAGAAAAGACTACAAAACTATGCATGATATAACTATTTTATAAATATGTGTTAATATTTGCGTATATTTTAAAGTTACACAATTTAATTCATGTGTAAACTTTTTATCTAATTACACAGTCATAGAAAAGACAGATGGCATTTTGACATTTTCCAACAGTGGTTACTTCCCTCTAGTGGGATTTTGGGTAAATGTTGTTTTGAACTTAAAATTTCTGTATTTTCCAAGTTATTAATATTATAATCATATAACCATTATATAATCACAAAATAGTGTTTTTAAAGTTACACATTTCAAAGTTGCTTTGCTGTCTTGAAGTGCATCGTTTATATTTTAGTACACTTTTGAAGTATCAGTCAGTGTTTGAGTTCCCATTCTCTGCTAGGTACCAAGCTAACTGGTGTCCCCTAGTTCTTTATCTTAAGCAAAAGCAATGTTGTACAATTTTAGAGCCAAAAGGAATCTTAGAAACTCTTCCGTTTCTCAGATGAGGGTCCTGAAGCTATTACAGATTTAACTGACTTACCCAAGATTCACTGACAGTAGGTTTTTAACCAGGCTTCGAATCCAGGTTTGAAGACTAAGGTCTTCTGACTTTAGATACTGTTCTCTATGAAGCACCAGAGCTCTCCAAGACCTCAATCAGGTGGGAACTGTAGCACAGTTGATTTTTTGTGACATTGTTTTGAAGTGGGGAAGTATAACTAGACTGGTTACAAATGTATTCTTTCACAGCAATTGAAAACATAATGGGAAGGTTCTCAGAGATACTGTTATGACACCTCTGGAGGTCAGTGAAAGATCCTCACCCAGATTTGGAAGATCCCTAAGTATTGCTGAGCCCCACTTGTAGAAGGCGATACAAAAGCTGGAGGGAACACAGCAGTGGAAAGAATATTAACCAGAAACAGTAGTTTCAATAGATGGCTTTTCTAAAACAGACAAACTTTCTCTTTTCAGCTCCAGGGCCCACAACGGCAGTGTCCTACATGTCGGTGAAATGTGTGGATGCCCGTAAGAACCATCACAAGACAAAATGGTTCGTGCCTTGGGGACCCAATCATTGTGACAAGATCCGAGACATTGAAGAGGCAATTCCAAGGGAAATTGAAGCCAATGACATCGTGTTTTCTGTTCACATTCCCCTCCCCCACATGGAGATGAGTCCTTGGTTCCAATTCATGCTGTTTATCCTGCAGCTGGACATTGCCTTCAAGCTAAACAACCAAATCAGTTAAGTGTACTCTCCTCTCATCCCTTTCTTCCCTTTGAGCATTGCCCTCTTTGGGTTCTTTTTGAGCCAATTCTAATAAAAGTAAAAATGGTAATAGTAATAGCAAACAATTATTGACTACTTCCCAGGCACTTTCTGTGTACTTTACCTGTATTAACCCATTTAATCTTCCCACCAGGTTCCTTGAGGTAGTCTTATTATTTCATTTTACAGATGGAACACTTGGGCACCAGTGAGGTTACTCATGATCTGAAGACTAGAGAGTGGAAAAGCTGAGATTTCTGACTCAGAAAACTGCCCTAACCACCAAGCTTCACCACCTCTCTAGTGTCACAGGGGAGTTCACCCCAATGGAGTGACTTGAGGGTTCCTGAAAGGTTTTTATTTTTTTTTAAATGTCTTTTTCCACTGGGCTTTGAGTAAAGCTATGGCCTTAGAAAAAGATGCCTACCAAAATGGAAATGCCAACCCATGAGCACCCATTTCCCCACCAAACCAGGTTTTTTTTTCGTTTTTTTTTTTTTTTTTTTTTTTTTTTTTTTTTTTTTTTTTTTTAGCTTATTTGCAGTTAAAAACTCTGAGGGCATGAGACATATAAACTTTTCATGGGGAGAAAATCACTGGGTGATTTCTGGGAGGCCAATACATGTATGGCATCTGGGGACAGTATCAGGAATCTTAGGCTGAGAAGTAAGAAAACTTTTTGTTTTTTCCTTTTTGACTGAGATGGGATCAAGGATGTGAGGGAAAGGGAAAAAGATGTGTTAAAGGCAGCTCTGTCTAGGGCCTGTCCATAGATTGAAACATTATTTCTTTTTCTTTTCTTTTCTTTTCTTTTTTTTTTGAAACAGAGTTTCGCTCTTGTTGCCCAGGCTGGAGTGCAGTGGCTCAATCTCGGCTTACTGCAATCTCCGCCTCCCGCGTTCAAGTGATTCTCCTGCCTCAGCCTCCCACGTAGCTGGGATTACAGGCACCCACCACCACGCCCAGCAAAATTTTTTTTTTTTTTTTTTGTATTTTTAGTGGAGATGGGGTTTTACCATGTTGGCCAGGCTGCTCTTGAACTCCTGATCTCAGGTGATCCACCCACCTTGGCCTCCCAAAGTGCTGGGATTACAGGTGTGAGCCACTGTGCCTGGCCTGAAAACTATTTCTTTCTTCTTCTGTTTTTTTTTTTTTTTTTTTAAGAGACAGAGTCTCCTATGTTCCCCAGGCTGATCTCGAATGCTGGCCCAGGCTGGAGTTCAGTAGCATAATCATAGCTCACTGCATCCTCGAACTCCTGGGTTCAAGCTATCCTCCCACCTCAGCCTCATGAATAGCTAGGACTACAGGCACGCTAATTTTGTAATTTTTTATTCTTTTTTTTTTGTGTGTGTGACAGGTTCTTTCTCTTTTGCCTGGGCTGGAGTGCAGTGGTGTCATCACAGCTCACTGCAGCCTCAACCTCCCAGGCTCAAGCGATCTTCCCACCTCAGCCTCTTGAGTAGCTGGCATGAGCCACTGCACCTGGCCTTAAATTTTAAAATTTTATGGGGGTCTCTCCTGAGCTCAAGCAATCTTCCCACTTTAGCCTCCCCAAATTTTTGGTTTACAGCTGTGAGCCACCATGCCTGATCTGAAGTACTATTTCTAAATATGATTTTCATGTATCTGTAATAATCTTGATGTACAATTATTTTTACTCTGTTTAGGAGTTGGAGCACTATGTATACCTGACTGATAGCTTACCTGAAATAAATAGATTGTGCTGAGATAATTTTCTAGATACAGTTTTCTTTTTCTCATTCATTCATTCTCTTGCCCATTATTTTAAACTGTTTTTGAGTGCCTACCACTGCTAGGCATTCTGCTGTTAGCTGAATATGCTGTCCTTTAAGGAACTTACGGCTAAGTGGAAATGACAGGCAAATAACTAATCATTACAGTGTGGTATGCTGGGTGCTGTGACCAAGTTATGCCCAGGAGGATATGGAAACTTAAAGAAAAGGCTTCACAGCAGAGAAAAGGAAGACTTCCCTGGTAGGGTGTGTGGGTGTGTGTTGGCGGGGAGAGTTGTAGAGAGGCAATCAGACAGCTCTTTGAGGTGAATGTTAAAGAGAGAAAAGCCTGGTGAGGAGGTGAGGATGAGCAAAAGAAAGAGCATTCTATATAGAAGGAAATGGCTTATATGAAGGTCCAAATTTGCACAACAGCCTCAAGCTTTTAAGTGGTGGTTCCCATGTCCCTAAACTCTTGCTTATTGACTCACTTGTTCACTCACTCACTCATTGGTTGTGCAACACATTTATTCATGAGTTCATTTAAACTTTATTAAGTCCCAGCCATACGAACACTCAGTACTGGGGATATAAGATCACACGAGACATGATTCTTGTAACGGGTTAGGGAAGAGGGTGCCTGGAAAACAGACACTTAAACCTACAAATAAGAAAAAACATGTTATGTGCTATAATAAGAATACACAATGTAATGTGAGGAGCCTTGGGAAGGAAAGAGTTTGCTATGAGATTCAAAACTGTATGTCTAAAAATTTTTTTTTGAAACCTGCAGGTTTGGGTTTTAGCATTTCTATTCCTAAGAATGCATTCAAGCAAAGGAGAATAAGGACAACAAGAAGAGCCATGGGAGGATGAGATAGGTAGATTACCTGATTTATGTATGTTTGGGTGGAAAGGTAAAGGACGTGGTATTCTGTTATTTGGGCTGGTTGTGGTTATTTCAGGTATAATCTCTCCTAGACAGATCCCTACTTCTAGCTCCAAGTATAAAGAAAAAGATTTACCCTGTAATAATAAATAATTACTGTCTACTGACTGTATTAATAATGCTGGGTAACAAATTACCCTAAAAGTTAGGAGCTTTCAACTATAAACATTTTTTTTTTTTTTTTTTGAGTCTGAGTTTCACCCTTGTTGCCCAGGCTGGAGTGCAATGGTACGATCTTGGCTCACCACAACCTCCACCTCCCGTGATCAAGAGATTCTCCTGCCTCAGCCTCCCGAGTAGCTGGGATTATAGGCATGTGCCACCACGCCTGGCTAATTTTTGTATTTTTAGTAGAGACGGGGTTTCTCCATGTTGGCCAGGATGGTCTAGAACTCCCGACCTCAGGTGATCCACTCACTTCGGCCTCCCAAAGTGCTGGGATTACAGGCGTGAGCCACCGTGCCTGGCCACCTATAAACATTTCTTAGCTCCTCATTTCTGTGGGTCAAGAATCTAGTTTGGGAGTCTCTGGCTCAAACTCTCTCAAGGTTGCAATTAAGCTGTTGGCCTGGTCTGCAGTCTCATCAGGCATGAGGGCTCCACCGGGGAAGGGGGATCTGCTTCCAAGCTCTCTCACATGGTTGTTGGCAGGCTTCCATCCCTCCCACATGGGTCTCTCCATAAGACTGCCTCGCAACATGGCAGCGGGCTTCCCCCAGGGATAGTGAGCCAAGAGAGAGCCTGAGCAGTGCTGGAGAGGGAAACCGCTGAATCTTGCAAACGACATTCCATCACTTCTGCTGTATTCTGTTGGTTAGAAGTGAACTAGTAAGTTCAACCCACACTCAAGGGAGGTGATTACAGAAGAGCATGAATGCCAGGAGATGGGGATCATTAAGGACCATCTTAGAGGCTGACTACCTGCTGGCATACTTTTCAATGGAGTCACAGTTTCATTTGAAATGTGATCCCTGATTTATATCTAGATTAGGGGGTAAGATAGAAAGTTTTTTAAGAGCATGGACTTAGGAGTCCTACAGCAATGGGTTTAAATCCTTGTGCCACTTTTTAAAAGCTCTGCAGTATTGGGGAAGTTACAGAACCGCTCTTAGCCAGTTTCCTCCCTTGTAAAATATGGATAATAATGCCTAATTAACCAACTCACTCTAAGGAATAAATTAGTTTATGTAAAACTTTTAGGACATAGTAAGTACTTATTTTTTATTTATTTTTTTTGAGACGGAGTCTCGCTCTGTCACCCAGGCTGGAGTACGGTGGCATGATCTTGGTTCACGGCAATCTCTGCCTCCTGGGTTCAAGAGATTCTCCTGCCTCAGCCTCCTGAGTAGCTGGGACTAAATTTTTGTATTTTTAGTAGAGACGGGGTTTCGCCATGTTGGCCAGACTGGTCTCGAACTCCTGACCTTAGGTGATCCACCCACCTCGGCCTCCCAAAGTGCTGGGATTACAGGTGTGAGCCACTGCACCCAGCCTGGACATAGTAAGTACTATTAAAACAGTTAAAAATTAAAAGTAGCTATTACAATTATCCAATTATATTTATCCTTATTGCTGAAATTCAGCCATTTTTCCAATTCTTACTTCTACACCTTGGTTAGTGAGATTAGTCTTTATAAAAGAAGCACGTGGTAGAGGTAAGTCTTCCTTATCCACAGGGGATATGTTCTAAGACCACCCAGTGCCTAAAATCACGGTACTGAACCCTATATACATACATGATGTGTCTTCCTATACATATATACATACTTAGAATAAAGTTTAAATTATAAATTAGGTGCAGTAAAAGATAACAACAATAATTAATAATGAAAGAAAAAATATACTGTTCACAATTTTAAGGACAGAAGATTCATTCTTATTGTAGATCTTAGCAACCTCAGCATAAGATTTTTTTTTCTTTTAAGTTGAGAACTTTCATCTTCTTAAAGGAAGCACTTGACTTATCTCTTTAGCACATCTGAAATGCCAGCATCCCTACTCTTGCACCTTGGGGCAATGAGAGAAAATAAGGATGACTTGCACACAAGTACTGTAATACATAGCAGTTGATCTAGTAACCTAGATGGCTGCTAAGTGACTAACAGGCAGGAGCAGGGAGATGCTGGACAGAGGGGTGATTCTTATCAGGGGACAGCACAAGATTTCATGATGCTACTCAGAACAGTGCACAATTTATAACTTAAGAATTATTTCTGGAATTTTTCATCTAATATTTTTACACTGTGATTGACCTCTGCTAACTGAAACCACTGAAGGTGAAACCTCTGATAAGGAGGAGACTCTTTTAGCTTTAATTTATCATTTCCTTGCTCAAAACATCTTCAGTGACTAACAAATAAGACTCGGTGTTCAGAGTCCTCTCGCTTCCTGGCTCAAGGCTTCTTTCTAGCCTCCTTCCTCACTGCTGGCCAGTAACCATTCTCTGCATCCTCAAAAGGAGTAGTTTCCTGCCCTGTAAACACATCCAGAGAGTTTCTCCCTTTGCGTCTTCGCTGATATTGATCCTGCCTGCCTCTTCCTCTCTTGTGATTCCTCTTCTCACAAATGAAGGGCTCCTCCCAGATAAACCTACTCATTCTTCACAACATCCCAAATTTTACATTCCCCTGGAGCCTTCCTAGGTATTTTCTATATTATCTCCCGTCCTCATTCCTTCCTGGATATAATCTGTCTTTCCTTACGCATTCTTCATTACTGGCCTTGTGATGTTTACTTTATCAGCCTTGTGTTCTGCACAGTGAAATTGTCTTCTCTGAGTCCTTACTAAACTATGAACTCCCAGTGGGCAGATTACGCAGTATATTTACATTTATGAAATCCACAGCTTTGTGTTTAGGGAGCTGTGGATGAAAATACTGGATTGTATCATTCTTCTGCCACTAAAAGGAACATAAAGCAACTGATTGAGGTGCTTCCTCCCCTCCCACACTTCAAAATAAGAGTTCTGTTGTTTAACATTTCAGTATATGTAAGTCTGGTCCCCACTGCTCCTATATTTTTTACACTGATGAAATTGTGGTTAAGAAGTTAAGAATTGACTATAGGAGTAGTATGTTGCTGCTTTCGAGCAGCCTGTTACATGACAGGCAGTTGTTTAGAGCATAGTCTGACACTTGGGCAGGTACTTGCCACAGGTTCCGTTTTCAGGTTGTGAGGAAAGTGCTGGATTATCTTGTGGTTCTACCTTTTACATCACTGAAGGTGACTGGCCTATAATTTGATTTCAAAACTTGGCATCAGAATCATTGAGTAACATAATGCAGAGCCTCAGGTAAGTTTAGGTGAAATTTTAAAAGTCAACGATAAATTTCTAAAATTATACCACCAAAATTGAAAAAAGGATAAATATGTTTAGTGAATGTTATTTATAACTGAACTTTTTAAAAGAAACTTTCCCAGTAATGTGAAATAACTCGAATACTTTTAGCTACTTTTTTTTTTGCCAGTTTCTAATGATGTTTTGTATTCATTATAAATGGATTGAATATTTTAGAATTCTCCAAACTCATTTGAAATGTATTGAAAGCTCCCTGTTTACATTTTTCAGCTTTAGCAGTGTGAATAAAATGATTTTAAGCTCAACTCTTGAGCATTTCTCCCAAACCAGAAACTAAGAAATAATTCTACATGTTAAATAATTTCACAGATGAATTACTTCCCAGCAAATACTAATCCTAAACAACAAAAATGCCCATGTTGGCAAAGCTTTAAAACATTTCTATATATAAATATTAATGTCTTATTTTTTTCTCATGTACATCTTCATGCTTTAAAATATTTTATCTTCATCTACAAAAATACTGTACTCAAGCTTTCTGACTTAAAAATAATCCTTAATTTTCTTATAACATGAGAACTAGCACTTAATAGGGGGCATACTAAAAAGTTAACAAGATGGACCACTAATTATTCATTTGATAAATGTATAAAATAACTTTCTTAATAGAGCTATCAAGAAAACCACACCAAAAAATACTTTTCATGAGTAGCAGCAACACATTTTGGCTGCTAATTTTTTTTTTTTTTTTTTTTTTGGAGATGGAGTCTTGCTCTGTCCCCCAGGCTGGAGTGCAGTGGCACGATCCCGGGTTCATGCCATTCTCCTGCCTCAGCCTCCCCTAGCAGCTGGGACTACAGGCGCCTGCCACCACGCCCGGCTAATTTTTTTGTATTTTTAGTAGAGATGAGGTTTCACCGTGTTAGCCAGGATGGTCTCGATCTCCTGACCTTGTGATCCGCCCGCCTCGGCCTCCCAAAATGCGGGGATTACAGGCGTGAGCTACCATGCCTGGCCAGCTGCTAACTATTATATGAGAAGTTACATGTTGTGTTTGTGGGAATATTCATTTCCTTAAATTTATCCTCTCTACCTTTGCTTATGGACACTGAGCAAGGCATTGATTATACAGATTATATATATTATGTTATATATATTCAGCAATATACATATACACACATGTTTTAGTATAACAGGCACATCAGGTCTAGATTTCTCTCTGATTTTGGTATTAAGAATGCATGAGACTCTCTACTTTTTATATTGTTTATCATTACTTTGGATTCCTTTCTGACAGCAATGAACAGGACTTCAGAGAAGAGTTTGGGAGTGTGGCAAACAAGATCCTATTACACATGATGGCTTCCTGCTTATCAGAGATTCACCTGTAACAATATTACTTCATATGTAAGGAAAAGTCAAGACCAATCCATTTTTTTTTTTTTAACTTTTCGTGGCAGTCTTTGAAATGAGTTTCAGATTTCAAACAATGAGAAGAGATTTCATGTTTGGGCTCTGAAATTAAAGCTTGGGTTTATAATATATATCTGGTTAGTGTTTTCATCTACTTTTGAAGAGTCTTTGAGTAGATAAAATAATCTAAGTACTACATATTTTAAATGACTTCTAGTCACTTGGGGTTAAATGTTTATTCCCTTTAAATTTTTCAATTTAAAAGTGATACAGGTTTTAGCTAGGATTTGAGTTTCCAAACCCTCAGAAAACTAGAAAAGCATTGACTTACACTATAGAAGCTGGCCATTGTTTTAATTTCTGAATTTAATCAAGCCAGTGCCTTTGGGAGAAAAATGATGGCATTATAAGGTACTTTATAGTAATAAATTTCCTGATACACAGCTTCTAAAATTCTTGGAATCTCCTGAGTGATAGGAATGCCTCTTTGCATGCTAATGAGTCAACTGATGGCTGGGGACTCCCAGATAGCTTCAGAATGGTCACCTGAAAGACCAAGGCATGATTAGAAGGGTGGGGAACTAATTTCAGCCCCACCCACCAACAGCCAGGAGGGAAGAGGCCTAAAGATTGAGTCACTCGCTTATGGCCAATAATGTAATCAGTCATGCCTAGGTAATGAAGCCTCCATAAAAACTCAAAAGGACTGGGTTCTGGGAGCTTCCAGACAGCTGAACTTGCAGAGGTTCCCGGAGCATGGCACCCTAGAGAGGACAGGGATGCTCTGTGCCTTATCATAGCCATCCTCAACTTTTTGGGCACCAGGGACCGGTTTCATGGAAGACACTTTTTCCACAGATGAGGGGATGGGGGATGGTTTGGGTATGAAATGGTTCCGCTTCAGATCATCAGGCATTAGATTCTCATAAGGAGCATGCAGCCTAGATCCCTTGCATGAATACTTCACAATAGGGTTCCCACTCCTATGAGAATATAATGCCAGCTGATCTGACAGGAGGCAGAACTCAGGCTATAATACTTGCTCACCCACCTCTTACCCCCTACTATATGGCTCAGTTCCTAACAGGCCACTGACTGGTACCTGTCTGCTGCCAGAGGGTCAGGGATCCCTGCCATACCACATGCCTTACCCTATCAATCTTTTATCTGGTTGTTCATGTGTATCCTTTGTCATATCCTTTATAACGTGCATAAGTTAAGTGTTTCCCTGAGTTCTGTGAGCCTCTGTAGCAAATCAATCAATCCTAAGGAGGAGGGTCATGGGAACGCGTATTTATAACAGGCCACAACCTGTTTTTTCGATGGGCATCTGAAGTGGGGAGCAGTCTTATGGGACTGAGCTTTCAACCTATGAGACTTGATGCTATTTCCAGGTAAGTGGTGTCAAAATTGAATTTTTGGACACCCAGCTGATGTCTGCTGTGGAAGTGATTGATTGCTTGCTTGGTGTGTGGAGAAACCTCCCCCGACTCTGTGCCCCGCTCCTTCCATCACACCTGGGTCAGAAGTAGTCTGTGTTATGTTGATTATGAGTGGAGTGGGAATCAAAAAGTGTTTTTTTTGTTTGCTTGTTTGTTTGTTTTTCCCCTCACTCGGAGTTCAACTTCTAAATGGTGGTAGTTTTAAAACAATAGTCTGTAAGAGCTGAGGAAAAGAGGCCAATTAAGAAAATCTAGAGACTCATAGATACTTGGGAACAGGAGTCATTGACCTTTCAGTGAATACCAATTACAAATATGAACAGACCTGTCTGTGGAAATCTATGATTGAGTCAGTGCTGGCTTTTTGCTAAATATTTCAGAGGTACAGAATTAATGAATTTGTCAGGATGTAAACATGATGCTTCTGTCTAGTTGTTAGGGATATGGGATTTCAATTTTTACTCTAAAGGAGTTAGGAAATGGAGTATGAATAGGCAGAGAAGAGTGTCAGAAAAAAGTCAGCCTTAACATTTAGAGTCTGGATGTATTATGAATCACTGATAAAAATGATTATTTACCTGATGGTATTAGACCTCTTGGTAAGGCCAAGTTCTGTTATTTGAAAATATATTCTAGAGTGTTTTTGTTTTGTTAACATGCCATTCTAAAATACTTTCCCAAATATACCATTTTTTAAAAAGTCACTCTATGCATTAGGAAAAGAAAGGTTTGGGTTGGCTAAAACGGTACCCACTGGAAATGGGTTGTCACTCTAATGATTACAACTGCAAGTCATACACTTAGTATACCCCAGACTCTCCAAGGGCTTCTTTTGAGAAACCTGGGTGCATAGATCAAAGTTAGAGAATTTGTTTACATATCTCTCTTTCCAGCTTTCAAATCTATAAGCTGTTGAAATAGAAGCACTAGAGCCATTGGCAGAAAGCCTCAAGATGGATAGCTGTGTCTTGAGTAGTAAATCTAGGAGTTTCAGGGGTTGAAAAATTCCTGAGACTGAAAAAATATTGGTAAATGATGAAGGGTAGGGGAAAGCCAGAATAATGTCAGTCCTATTCTTACGTAATGAAAGCATTATGTTTCGCCTTGATCCTTGTGCTGTACACTGGAACCCAGTGTTGTCTTACTTGTTTCATTATTGCAAATGGTCACATGAAGCAGAATTCTTTCTATAAGTGGCAAGTGATTTTTCTTTCCCCACACTGAAAGCATTTCTGTATAACAAATTTCTAGTTAAAGTAATTAGAATGATATTATTACCAGTCAGTTTTCAAGTTAGATGGCTGAGTGTCCTGGGAGAATGTTGACTGACTTTTGGCAGAGTAATTGTGCTTTTCCATTTGTCCATTTATTATGGAATGTTAAGTGGACATCAAGGGAAGACAACTGGAATAAAGGGAACAATCTATTGATCATAAACAATTCTCTGAATTTCATCCTTCTACAAATTCACCCCTCACATTATCTACAATGGTGATGGGTGAATTTGTAGAAGGATGAAAGTCAAAGAATCCTTCTGGGAACTAATTTTTGGCCTTCAACAAGAATTGTGATATTTAATTCTGTGTTTTCTGATGCTTCTGAGGAAAGCTCCATAAAGAGAGCTGAATGGGGCAGAGGATTTTATACACTATAAGAACTATCCCTGCTATGATGGAACAGGCCATTGGTAGTATGATATTCACATAATTGTATTTCTGTGCTTCAGCAGATAGTCCTTATTAATAAAATATGTTGAAGCAACTGCTAAGAAGAAATGTATAACTCTACTCTCCCACCCCTACTACTACTCCCACCAAAAAGAGGTCTTCTTTCATTTACGACCATGTCTTCTTTAATTTATGACTATGTTATAGCCTGTGTTAAAACTATCTAACATTTTGGCTGGGCACAGTGGTTCACACCTGTAATCCCAGCACATTGGGAGGCTGAGGTGGGTGGATCACCTGAGGTCAGGAGTTCAAGACCAGCCTGACCAATATGGTGAAACCCTGTCTATACAAAAATTAGCCCAGCATGGTGGCGTGTGCCTGTAATCCCAGCTACTTGGGAGGCTGAGGCAGGAGAATCACTTGAACCTGGGAGGTGGAGGTTGCAGCAAGCCGAGATCGCACCACTGCACTCCAGCCTGGGCAACAGAGCAACTCTGTCTCAAACAAAAAAAACCTCTAACATTCTAATTAGATAGTTTTCATTGTTGGCTAGTGTCACTAGAATTTTAAAGTTACCTTTTAAGTTTCTTTACCACAATTTGAGTCAATGCAAGCAGAAATAAAAACTTCAAATTCTCCCTTTGTTCTCCTCCTCCCTCCTCTCCCACCAAAAAAGGCAAGTTGAAAAGCTCAAAATACATCAAAAAGATCTCAGAGACTTAAATGGAGTAGGGTTTGTAGTGTTAGGTAAATGGTACGGAAGTTGTCAGTATTCAAGATGGGCTTACATGGCCAGTCTTCTTTACTCTTATTGAATTGTGTGCCCCTTCAAACCAAGGCTGGAACCTGGAAGTTACCAGTATGAATCAGTTTTACTTACTGACTTGGTATAGAAAGCAACTGAAATCATGGGAGAAAACTATATTTTGTTTACCCCAGGATAGAGAAGATTAGGGACATGATGTTTGTTTGCTCATGAATTATCTCTCCCTTTGAGGAAATCTTCAGGCACTTCTTGACAGCTCTTCCTTTGGAATTGACCGTTGTGAGCATGTTATATTGGCAGGAGCATGGGAACCTTTGGCTTTGAGTGTGATTATTGTTAAGCACATTACTTGGACAACATCATTATAAGGCTCCTCCATAGGCATCGCTATAGAGCTCTATCTGGCTTGGTGGGTTTTGTTAAGTATTTGCAAATGAAAAATTCCAATTCAGAAACAGTAGGGCTCCTCCAAAACCTTTCCAAGATTTTAAAATTAGTATCTATAGTTTGGTATATCTAGTTACATACACTTTCTTCTAGTCATCTATTGGTTACTGGTCAATTTAACATTGTTGAGTAGATTGTGTTAGATTAGTCTCTAGTCTTAACAAAACACTCTTCTATGGTGTTGAATAATTTGCAGAAATTGTTACTAAACATCAGCTGTTTTATTTTAGCTTGGAGTGCTGAAAGGAATACTAGAGGGCTGCTGGTCTAACAATCATCAACCAAGCAGTTTAGACTGGAGTGTAAGGGCTAAGAGAACCCCTTGATACTCTACATAAAATTTCAGTGGTATTTGCTTATATGCATTTTTGAAGTAAGAGTGTTTGTGGTTCTTGTCAGGTTTGCAAATGGGTGGTTGACCCAAGTTAAAGCACTAATCCTTTAATTTAGCAGCTGGAGAAAGCTTGAACTCTGTGGTACTCGCCCACGGTGGCACAGCTGGCTGGAGCCAGGGCAGGATCTCCTCGTTGTACATCAGTGGTGTAGATAGGTAGATGGTACCTAACAACACGTGCACCACCCCATACAGGTGAGTCAGCCTTCTACCAAACAGCGGACTCTAAGATCCTTGCACAGAAGATGCACTGGTCTTTCTAAAATGATATATTTTCAATTTTTTAAAATCTCCCAATCAGTATTTCAGGGAATGAAGTGCAGTCTAGAATCTAGACTAGGTGGTAGGCTGGCCCTGTTTATAGTGCCACAGCTGCAGATCACCCACGTGTCTCATTTCCTGCTCTGAGTTTAGAATATAAATGAGGATATTCTCTTTGCATCCATACAAGTATATCCTGATTACTAAAATAAAAACCTGGTGACATCATTGACTAATGTGAAGAGCAGAGAAGCCAGAAGCAGCACATCCCTTAATGGTGCCCCCAATGTATAGAAGGTATTTTTTTGTTTTCACCTCCTCTTCTAACTTTGGGTCTTTCAGTATTTAAATGCCAGCTGGTCATAACATAGCTATTATGAGGTTCTTTTATGGGGAATTCACAACTTTATCTTGGTTAACTTAAAAAAATGAAGTTAAGATTATTTTCTGGATTATATTTTTCTAAGCAAAAGGAAGTTAAATGAGAGCAAGGCAGAATTCTGCTTGCAAAAGTGCTAGGGACTCTACATTGGAAAAAACCATTTTCCCCAACCCTACCTATTGTCTACACACTGATGCTAGAAACAGTTCCAGATCCTCTTTTGCTTTAGTGAGTCATTAGTAATGGTGTTAGTAGAGAGATAGTAGTAATTCTTTATAGGAAGAAGAGGTTCTGGCTTTGTTCTGGTCCAGGTTGTTTGCTAAAATAATTGCATAGTGAATCTATCTCTCTTGTGTTGGGGTGATCAGACCCAACACCAGGTTGTGGGGGTGACAAAGTCCAGCAGAGTCAAAGGATTGAGAAAAAGACAGTTTGAGAGAGAAAGTTGGGACACCAGGGGGCCATCACTAGTGTACAGAGGCTGTGAAGGCCCTGAGCTCTGGGAGCCCATGCTATTTATTGGTAATCCAACAAAGAAACAGGTGGTGAAAATGTGGAGGTCAAAAGAGCAGGCACATGATCTACAGCTGTGATGGTTTAGCATTTATATGGAACATGTTCTGCTACTTGAGATAATGGGAATAGGAGCCTAGGAGCCTATGAGGGCTAGAAGTAAGGAACCAGCAAGTCTAGACACATTCCCAAAGACATTATGCAAGCCCTGCCTCAGTTTCCCTCCCAACACTCAGCTTTTCCTCAACATCTTGCTTTGCCCATTATTCATATTTTGACTAGAAAGAAAAGCCCAGGCTTGACCTAACAAGCAAGATTATGCCTTCATTAAAGTTAAGGCTTGGGAGAAGATTACAAATATTTCAGTTTAGTATCTTAAGTTGCTGTCACATGGAAAAGAGTTCTAATAGCTGAAGTTGTTTGCTGATGAAAAGGTTGCCTCTACCAGTAGTGAGCAGCCTGTTACTGGTAGTGGTCAAGCAGAAGATGGTTGGTGAGGATCATAAGGATGGCCACAGTGATAGCTGGCATGGGGCAGTGCTTTCTTTGCAAAGTACCATCGCACTAGAGATGCTGTTGCTTGTCTTTGTTGTCAGTCATTTGCTTGGCCTGAACTTGGCCTTAACTTCCCCCTCCCTCAGCATGTTCCACCACCTCTACTGAATGGGCAACTGGCCATATGATCAGTCCCCAAGCCATAACTGATCAGACTAGCAGTGGTCCCTTGGCCAAAGGGGAAGCAATCAAATTCTCTCTTATAAGAAATTGTGTTTCAGTAATTCGAGATCTACCTTTATTAGCACTTAAACTGAAAAGCCATGAGAGCCACCTGGGCAGTCATCATTCTACACGTGCACAGAGAAGCCGTGATTGTTGACTGGCAGAGTGGGAAGACCAGATGCAAAGAGGAAATGGAGATGAAGACTATTAGTGTAATTACAATAGACTATAAGAGTTGACTTTCCTCCTGACAGCTTTCTATTCCTGGTTTCAGACCCTCCAGCTTCTCAGCATTTTCTGCCCTTGATTTTCCTAAAGCACTCCTGTATCCCTCCAGCTGATTTCTGGTTAAGTTAGTGGGGGTGAAGTCCTGTTACTTGCAAACAAATGTTCGCTAATTAAGACAACGTTTATTTCATCTGATCATCGGAACAATTATATCTGGCAGAGTGAGGACACTGAGGATGACAGAGTTTACATGATTTGCCAGTCTCCCAGCTGGGAAGTCGAGAGGCTATGAGTGTACATGATGTTAGGACTCCAGTGCCTTGATCCCACCATGAGTCTATTGACAGGGCTATGGAGTGCTTCCTGTTCTGAGTGGGAAATTATACTAGACGACCCCTAAGGTCCCATCTACTCTAACTCTCTGAAGTTGAGAGTCCATGACTCACTTAAGATTCTCTGACTTTATAAAAAATCTCATTGGTATCCTTTGGTTTTGTAAATAGATGACTTCAGAGACCCTCAAGTGAAAACCATTCTAGAAGATAGTGCTCAGTCAAGACAGATGCTCTTGTTAGAGGGTGAGCTTAGTGTTGAAATGAGTGAATTTTCTTTTCTTTTGTTACATGCGACCTTGTGTTCATTTCTACTCCTTAGGTAGGCAGACAGGGTTGGTGTACTGGAAGTGTATTTTTAGTCTGACATTAAAAAATGTATCATAGACACCAACACAGGAAGCAGTTTTTAGGTGAGTCAGTGTATAAATAACCTCAAAGAGTTTCATGATGGGATGGTAGATCTTTCAGTTTAGCAGTTCAGTATCTGAAAACCCTTTCCCAATTTCATTCATTCATTCGATAGGCATTATTGGGACTTGTACTACATGCTAGCATTTTGCTCAGGATTTAAGAAATAAAGATAAGTCCTTATTCTTCATAATACAATTTCAGAAACCATCATAACCCTCTTTTGTTTAGTTTTCTCTTTTCTTTTCTTTTTTTTTTTTTTGAAATGTAGTCTCGATCTGTTGCTTAGGCTGGAGTGCAGTGGCGTGATCTTGGCTCACCGCAACCTCCCCCTCCTGGGTTCAAGTGATTCTCCCGTCTCAGCCTCCTGAGTAGCTGGGATTACAGGCGTGTGCCACCATGCCCAGCTAATTTTGTATTTTTAGTATAGACGGGGTTTCACAATGTTAGTCAGGCTGGTCTCAAACTCCTGACCTTGTGATCTGCCCACCTCGGCTTCCCAAAGTCCCAAAGTGCTGGGATTACAGGCGTAAGCCACCACTCCTGGCCTAAGAGTGAATTATTTAAAGGCAGGGACACTGTGTTGTTCATTGTTATATCCTTAGCACAATTCCAGGCACAGTAAATATTCCATGTGTACTCAAAATAATTAGGAGCTCACAGTCTAATTCATGGAGAGAGAATTAAAAAATTACACCAGTGTGTTCAGTGCATTAAGTACCCAAAGGAGTCCATAAACATAGAAGGGGAAATGATTAACTCACGGAAAAGGAAATGTTTTGATTGAGTCAAAGGTGGAGTTTTAAAGGCGTTGGAATCTGTGATCACTTACAATGTGAAGGCAAAGAAACAGTCCAAGGGCAGTCTTATTTTTTTCTGGAAAGTGAAAGAGCTTGGAGAGACAACTCCAGCACTGGGTTAAGTACTTTCAAGCCAGAGTGTTTGGGCTGAATCATAAATTATGAATGTTTGGCCTGCTGCTTATAAATTATGAGACCCTTGGCAAGGAAGTTTTTGAAACTTCCTTGTACTTCATTTTCCTCACTTATAAAATAGAATAGTAGTACTACCTTTATAGGGTTGTTGTAAGGATTAAACTAGAATAGTGTATGTGAGGCTTTTACATAGTAAGTGCTGGATACATATAGTAAATGCTCAATATAAGTGAATAGTTGGCTGGGCGCAGTGGCTCACACCTGTAATCCCAGCACTTTGGGAGGCCCAGGAGGGCAGATCTCTTGATCCCAGGAGTTCGAGACCAGCCTGAGCAACATGGTGAAACCCTGTCTCTACAAAAAATACAAAAATTATCAGGATGTGGTGGTGTGCCCCTGTAGTCCCAGCTGCTTGGGAGGCTGAGGTAGGAGGACTGCTTGGGCCCAGAAGGTTGCGCCACTGCCCTCCTGCCTGGTTGAGATTCTGTCTCTAAATAAATAAATAAGAGTGAGTAGTTATTATTCTCGGACTTGAATAGAAAGGAGGAATTGTGTTCCAGAGAGAGCATAGAAGCCCAGAAACATAGGTGGCAGGGCTGAGTGTTCAGAAAAAGGACCCCGTCCATGGATGTTAGCCACAGGCCTTTCATTACTTCCGGACAGTGGTTATTAACTTCAGGTCAAGGACTTTAACCTTGGGAGACAAATATGCATAGACCCCATTTGCACATTTAGTATTCATATTTCAATGGAAGCCCTGAAGCTCACCCATGGAATTCAGAGGTTTATGAATCCCGATGAGGGTATGCCCCATGAGTACCAAAATGCATGCTGATCAGCACTGAAGCAATTGGATAAAGTCCTAAAATAGAAGATGTGGAAAATTCTTAGCATCCTTAGGAGAATGTGCCCACAGGCATGATTTAATTATATTTGACTATAAACATAGCAGCATGTAAATTAAAATATTTTGAAATGGAAGAATATTAAGATGGGAGCAGAGGTGTATGGGAGACAACCTCTTGGAGTGGAAGAGTGGTAAGAAAAGATCAGGACAAGAGTTAGCAATGGGAACATTCTTTTGGATGAAGGTAACTCAGCAAAGGCATTAGGTATAGAGAAGGAAACGTTGATTATGCATCTCCTCTGCAGGCTCAATGCTAGATGTTCAAGGTTAAATCTCTACTGTCCTCTGTGAGGCTGTTACTGGAGAAAAAGTTTTAAATTTAAACAAGTATGAAATTATGGAAGTTAAGTGACTTCTTCAAAGTGATTTCTAGGTGAGAAAGTGAGGACTAAGACCATATTTTTCTATCATGAAATGCTCTGAAATAACATATGTGCAAAGGACGGTAAGCCCATTTGTTGGGCTGTAGAAAAGTGTCCATATTAGAGAAAAAAGATGAGCTGCTGAAAGACAGAGGGCCTGGTAGGTGAGTTGCCTTGATGACCAGCTAAGAAATTTGGAGTTTGTTTCTTAAGAAAAGGAATTGAACATCACATCTCTAGTGCTGAAATAAAATGTGGAATTCAGGATTTGAGACTCGTAGCTTGTCCTTTGAATTATACAGCAGCTGAAAATCGTGTTTCTTTTTTTCCCATCTGGACTTCTCACTTGGTGGTTTTCCCAACGGGAGGGCATCTGTGAACCTTTTAATGGGAGAAGTCATCAAGCTGGGTTAGGGCTGTGCTCCCAGGGCTGGCTTCGGAGGCAGGTAAAATCTGACTCCCTTTTGCTTTTCAGCTACAGACACAGCCATTGCTGCCACCACCAGCTGGGTGACTCGGAATCTAGGGGTTGCCAGTAATTGTGGGTTTAAGTCACAGAGGAAAAAGATAAGAGGAGAGCCAGGCTGGTTTTTCCACAATTAAATGTTGCCTCTCAGGCTTCTCTGTTGGCAGGAATCCAAGAGGTCAGGAACCACCAGCCATATTATTTTTGTCCCTGGCTGCCTGCTCTCATTTGTATCCCCTCCTCATTCATGGGAACGAAGAAAAGGTGGGTTGGAAATAAAAAAGCTTGTTCTAGCCTACTTTTTCCTTTACGAAACTTGTCAGAAACAAAGCTTTCCTGTGAAACAGACGGGATCCCTTCTAGTAGCTGGCTTTTCCTGCAAGCGTTTTCTGTCTCTTCTTTTCTTTCTGCTGGCAGCACAAATGTATTTTCCGGGTTAGGGGTGTTACCATTGTTGAAATCTACTTTTCTCCTTGTATAGTCATGCTGGTATGCGGTGTTATTTCTCAAGCACTGCCCTGTAGTCTGGTTCTCTGGTATTTTTGTATTTGTTAATTGTTTAACTCTTCCATTAGTCAAACTCAACTTGTTATCCTTTGTCACTCAAACTCCATTATAAGTGCCCTGAGGACAGGCATGGTTTTATAGCTCTTTGTTTTGGCCTCAGTGCCTTAAGTATAGAAGGCAGTCAACAGCTGGAGGTGTTTTAGATTTCTACATTCATGAAATATTAGAACTAGAAAGGATCTTAGTAAGCCTATGATCCAACTGTAGTATTTCATGAAATAATACATTATGTAAAGTGACTTACTCAAATTGTTTGGCTAAATAGTGGCCTTTTTAGAGCAAGAAGCGGGTGTCCTAACTTTCCTACCCCATGACTGAGAGACATAAGGGGAAAGTACTTGAGCTGCTGAGTCAGGCAAACCTGGGTTCTCATTTTGCCTCCCTCTCACATTGGTAGCATGGCCATGGGCCTCAGTTTCCTCACTTTGAAATTGCCTGTGATGGTTTCCATCTGGCTGGCATCTGCATGGGTGAAAATGTCTACACATAGTAGGCAGTAAAAAATGTGAGCTCTTAGGAATCATTGTTTTATTTCTTTTAAAAATACTTCATTTATAAGAAAACATATTTCTGAGATCTTTTCAGCATCAGAAAATGGTGCCCGATTGCTCTTGGTGAGAACAACTTTGGAGGGAGAACAGGCCAGTAGGCCTCTTTGATGGAGATTCAGCCTAGAATGAGCTAGAAATAGAAATTAGTCCCACCTACAGGACATAAAGCTCATGGATGTAATGCCTTTTCCTTTTCCCAGTTGTCCCTCCATATAAGGGAGTTTGGGTTGATTAACTCAGCAGTTAGTAACACAGCCCTTATCTTACTCACACTCAGAAGAGGATGTGGAGTAGTGGAGGAGGTCACCAGGCCAACAGGCCCAACTTGCTTCCTACATGATAGGAACATCAATGGTCATAAACCATTTGATGAGATAGGAGAAGCCAAGGGCTGAGGGAGGAGATGGCATTCGGGGCAGGTGTGTGGAGTGATGCATGTAGAGACCAACGCAACAGTGCTAGCGTGACCCGAAAGGAAAGAGCAATGATTTTAAGGGAAAGGCTGAGGGTGATGGCTGGAGAAGAAGAGCAGAAAGGGAGTCCAGCTTAACACTCTTGTGTTGTGGGTGGCTTTTATTGAGGGAGGAGCAGCAGAGTTCTTCCGCAGCTCCACCAAGGGTCATGGTTTTCCATTATGCTTCCCATTCTCTCACACACACATATGCTTCATCCACCTTCTTTATAGTATTATGAATCTGTCCATTATCTGGAACCCCGGGTGGCAGTAGAATATTGTCCCACTGTCTCCTGGAGCCCAACTCGAGGAATGTCCTGGCTGATTGATCAAGGGAAGGACCTTATCTTTAAATAGAACCCCAAAGCTGAGTGCAATAATTCCCCACATAAGCCGTATGAAACAAATACTTCGTGTGAATAACACTGGCCTGACTCCAGCAATAACACAGCTGTTGAAACAGCTTAGTCACCAGGGCGATGGAGGTATGCAGTGAGGGAATGTTGGGGTGCCGTGATCTGACATTTAGCTGGCTGGCAGCAGCGCTGAGAGCCAACATGGAGCTGCGGGAGAGCTGCAGAGAGAATCTGCTACCCGTCCACAGGCATTATTCCCTTGTTTCTTTTGAAGCCCAACCGTAATCCCTTCCCTGGGCAAGGCAGACTGAGGAGGAAAACAGAAAACATTTTAGGACTGAAGGGAGGGAAAGAAATGGTTTGCTTCTTTTAGACACCTGGTTTCTGCCCCTTAATGATGCATGTTTATTTCCTGGATAACTTTTTTTTAAATGCCCCAGGCTAGGCAGAGTATAATTTAGATATGGCAAAGGGGGAAAAAACTCATTTATTTATCTTGCCTAGAAAAACGTCATGACTCTTCTTAGCTTACTTGTGTCCAGGGGATGTATGAAGAAGTCAGCAGGGAAAGTCCTGGCCCTGCTGCCTAATATTGCCTGAATCTCTGTAGCGGTTCATCTGCCAGAGCTCTTGTCTGAAGGACTCTGGGTAGATCTGGGCAAAATACTTAGCTGGTTTCGTCAGGATTTTGGGAGGACTAATAAACTGCCATGGAGCGACCCCATCCCTCTGCCAGCTCTTTGAAGAACTGACCTGTGTGTTTTTTCTTTATCCTGGACTCCCTCTGCACTGTTTGTTTTGGAAGTTGTTAAGTTAAATTAGCCATCCCTTTCCTTTCCTGGTTACTGTATGACAATGCAGCTGTCAGTCTGTGAACTCTGCCATCATCTATTTTTAGACACAGTGTGAATGAAGCTGTCTTCTCTAATTGCATTCAGAGAGAGAGAGAGAGAGAGAGGGGCACGCAGGTAGATTTTCACAACGATCAAATCAGCTATTCTAAATGCTCTGTGTACTGACAGTGTCCTGGAGAGAAAGCAAAGAAACCCACTGTGTGTTTTCCTCACTTGCTTTCAGGTTTGTTTTCTTTCCACATTGATGTTGATTATGGTCAAATAGGAAAGTGCTGTTGCCACATTTGCTTTCCAGTGTTTTAACACTTGCTAACTTAGATGGTTCTGAGTTCTCTAGCTTTGTTAGCGAAAGATTGGTTCATCATTGGGTTCAGATTCTTTGGTAAACAAATTCCTTAGAAAATATCCTCCTGGCAGTATTTTCCACAAGGTTAAATCGTCTTAAGCACACTGAGAACTGTGTTAGCAGTGGGCCTCAGTTTCCTTAGGATGTCTCTTTGTCTACCTGGCCCCCCATCCCAGTCCGTCTTCCGCACAGCTGCCAGAATCTCCTCCTTTGCTTTAACATCCTCTAAGCAAAATGCTGCAGCACTCAGGGCAAGCTTCTTCCCTTTGTCATTAGACCCTTCCTGTTCTCTAGCCTTCCCTGTTCCCTCCAGTCCCTCTCACATTCCCTGCCATATTGAATTAGTTGCTTTCCCTGCTATTTTGTGCTTATGTGACTTTTTATACATGGGGCTTCCTCTGCCTGTAATGCCTTTTCCTATCTCGCTGCCTAGTGAACTCCTATTCTGCAATTCATTGGTAAATATCACCTCTTCTCAGTAGGGTGAGCCAGAAGATTGTGTCTTCTGTGCTACAATTCTTGACCTTCTACTCAGAACTCTTGATCTTTTTGTGCTGACTGTATACTTCATATATACTTCTAATGCAGTACAAACTACATGGAATTATACTTATTTATATACCTGCCTTCACCACTTTACTGTAAACAATTTGAGGGCAATGACTTTGCCTTATATGCCTTTTTATCCCTACTCTTTTTTTTATAGAAGAAGTTTAATTGTTTCACTCTTTATAGACATATATAAACATACATTTTTATGTTTATATACATGTATATAGTTCCAAATCCTATTTCTATATAAGATTTGTATTTATTTATATACAGCATTTGGAACTTCTCTGAGTATTTTTTTTTTTTAATTATACTTTAAGTTCTGGGATACATGTGCAGAATGTGCAGGTTTGTTACATAGGTATACATGTGCCATGGTGGTTTGCTGTACCCATCAACCCGTCATCTACATTAGGTATTTCTCCTAATACTATCCCTCCCCCATCCCCCCACCCCTCAACAGGCCCAGGTGTGATGTTCCCCTCCCTGTGTCCATGTGTTCTCATTGTTCAACTCCCACTTATGAGTGAGAACATGTGGTGTTTGGTTTTCTGTTCCTGTGTTAGTTTGCTGAGAATGATGGTTTCCAGCTTCATCCATGTCCCTACAAAGGACATGAACTCATCCTTTGTTATGGCTGCATAGTATTCCATGGTGTATATGTGGCACATTTTCTTTATCCAGTCTATCATTGCTGGGCATTTGAGTTGGTTCCAAGTCTTTGCTATTGTGAATAGTGCCACAATAAACATACGTGTGCATGTGTCTTTATAGTAGAATGATTTATAATCCTTTGGGTATATACCCAGTAATGGGATTACTAGTTCAAATGGTATTTCTGGTTCTAGATCCTTGAGGAATCGCCACACTGTCTTCCACAATGGTTGAACTAATTTACACTCTTACCAACAGTGTAAAAGTGTTCCTATTTCTCCACATCCTCTCCAGCATCTGTTGTCTCCTGACTTTTCAATGATCGCCATTCTAACTGGCATGAGATGGTATCTCATTGTGGTTTTGATTTGCATTTCTCTGATGACCAGTGATGATGAGCTTTTTTTCACGTTTGTTGGCTGCATTAGAATCTTCTTTTGCGAAGTGGCTGTTCATATCCTTCACCCACTTTTTGATGGGGTTTTTTGTTTTTTTTTCTTGTAAATTTAAATTCCTTGTAGATTCTGGATATTAGCCCTTTGCCAGATGGATAGACTGCAAAAATTTTCTCCCATTCTGTAGTTGCCTATTTACTCTGATGATAGTTTCTTTTGCTGTGCAGAAGCTGTTTAGTTTAATTAGATCCCATTTGTCAATTTTGGCTTTTGTTGCCATTGCTTTTGGTGTTTTAGTCATGAAGTCTTTGCCCATGCCTATGTCCTGAATGGTATTGCCTAGGTTGTCTTCTAGGGTTTTTATGGTTTTAGGCTTTACATCCAATCTTGTGCGAGGACACCAGTAGGTGCTCAAAAATATTTGGTGGAAACAAAAATAGAGTTGGATGGTCCATCTAGCACAGGGATTTCAGGGGTGTGTGTGCAGGGGTTTGGGGGGAGTAGAAGTAAAAAGGCAGGTGATGGAGAAAGAAAGTATGAATGTCACCAAAATATAGAGCAAACCACTTGTTTGATGGTAGAGTGACAGGAAATTTAGGTTTGTAAGAGTTATTTGGAGAAAGAAGGATGATAATCATTAATTTGGTAAATATTCAATGAATATCTATTGTGCAAAGACATGAGTGATATAACTGTGAACAAGACTGAGTCAGTCCCTGGCTTTTAGGAACCCAGCCTAAATAGGAGATGGGTAGGGAGAGAGATGGGGATAAGTAGTCAGGAGAAGCAACATGGAGAATAAGTGTCATAAGTGTCATATTGCTGGGTGAACAAGGTACTGTGGGAGCAAGGGGGGGGTGCCATATTGAGTTTGGGTGAGTAAAAGAAGGCAAGAGTAAATCTGGGGGGAATTCCAGAAGATGAGTAGGAGTCTGGCACGAGCGGGGATGCCAAGCACTGTCTGCAGCCCAGATAAAGAAGCCTTTTGTAATTTACCCTCTCAAAGGAGGCATCTCTTCATAAAATTTGGTGTGATTATGGGGACCCTGAGTACAGCAGGTGTAGATAACCTTGAGTACTAGCCTTGAAATAGCAGCCAGCGGCCGAGCGCGGTGGCTCACACCTGTAATCCCAACACTTTGGGAGTCCGAGGCGGGTGGATCACCTGAGGTTGGGAGTTCAAGACCAGCCTGACCAACATGGAGAAACCCCGTCTCTACTAAAAATACAAAAAAATTAGCCAGGCATGGTGGCCCATGCATGTAATCCCAGTTACTCAGGAGGCTGAGGCAGGAGAATCGCTTGAACCCAGGAGGCGAAGGTTGCAGTGAGCGGAGATCGTGCCATTGCACTCCAGCCTGGGCAAGAAGAGCGAAACTCCATCTCAAAAAAAAAAAAAAAAAAAAAAGAAATAGTAGCCAGCATTGACTGAGTGCTTACTATATGCCAGGCCTGTGCTGAGTGCTTGGCACCCATTATCTCATTTACTCCTCACAGTGATAGGAGAAGGGCATTACCATTACCATTATCCTCATCTTACAGATAGAGACATTTAGTGACTCCCAACATTGCATAGGCACCAAGTAGCTAAGGTGGGCTGTGGTCCCAGCCTGTCTGTCTCCAAAGCTGAGCTCTTACTCATCTTCCAAGGCTGGAGAGGAGAGGGGCTGTATTTGAAGTGGCCAACCTAGGTAGAAGGGGTAGTGAACGTTCATAGAACTAGAACCTAGGCTGCTACATAACACCTTAGCCAATTATGCCATTTAAGGAGTCTTAATATCACACTGAAGACAATATAAAGGCATTGAAAGTGTTTTAGAAATCATTTCTGTAGCAGGAAGTGTGAAAATTAGACAGGAACAGGGCAGGTGTTTTAGTCATGGAGGCTGGAGATAATGGTGGCCTGAACAAGCGGCATATCAGTGAGGAGAGGAGGCTAAATCTGAAAGACACCTAGTAGAGTTGACCAAATTTGGTGGTTTGCATTTCTAAACCATGAAAGAGGAGAGACTGGTGAAAAGTGAGCATGCAAATTCAAATATCAAGAGGGAAATCTGGACTGGAGAGGGTGACTTGCATCCCAGGAGCAGATGAAATCCTTCAGGGTGAACGTGTTGAGTTAGATGAGGAAAGAGCTACTCTCCAACCTGGTGAACAATAGATATGGTTTTTTTCTATATTCGGTGGTACTTCAGATTCATTTATTTAAAAAAATTGATGTCTCCACTTACTTTTTCAGTGGTATAGCATTTAAGTACTAGTAGCCTTGGCTACAATAGGGGTAAGTGGATGTTTTCTAACTGCATGTCACTTTGAAGAGAACCTAATGTGAGCACCGTTCTCCCTTGTCCTTGTCATGTTCCATAGACAGATATGTGACTTCAACCAGATGATAATGCATCAGAATACAGCAAGGAACCAGTTTTGCAATGCTTAGAAATATGTTTTCTTACATGTGGAAGATAATTCTCTGCAATTCAAATGCTTGATTTGATGAGGAAAGACGAGAAGCAATGTGAACTAAACTGTTAGGCTGGTTTGCAAAATAATTGTACTCATTCATTTTTATAACCACTCACACCCAGGCCTGTAGGGCATCTTAAGAAAACCGCCAGGGCCAAATTTGTAATTAGCTGAGTCCATTTTTGCCAGACCTAACCATGTATAAGACAGGGTTGGTTTTGTTATTTCCTTAATTGAAAGCGTCAAGAAAAATTCAAGCCAGGTCAGAGAGTTTTTTATTGGGGAAGGAATGCTGGCATAAATAACTCCAGATTATATGTCTGCCAGAGGCTGGGAGGAGATTTGTCTCTGTGGCCTCTTTCTGAGGTTACCCAAACAAACTCTGGTGACTGGCAGCTCCCCTATGTAATGTGGGAATGCACACGAGCATTGAAACCTCTTTAATTTTTTTCCCAGGGCAAAGGCCCAGGAAAGTCAAAGTGTCTCTAGGAACCTAAAAGCTTTTGACAACCATAAAATCATTCCTGATTTCCTCTAATATATCTTGTCCTCTCCTTTTTCCCCTTTTATTCCAGTTAATAGGTCAACAATATAACCCAGCCACCCTGGGACTAGATGGAGAAGGAACTGGTATTGGTTAACAGACTTAGGGAGTAGTTCCCACTGTTTCCATACTGCAAAGGTGGAAACTGAGACTTATTCAAGGTTGTTCAGGTGGGAAGTCATAAAAGGAGAATTCAAAATCACATCCATTTGGTGCCCAATTTATACACTTTGTACTATCCTGGCTGGGAAATACCTGTTTCAAATATAGAAGGTGTAGAGCTTAGGTGACAAGCATTCTGATGTCTTCCTCAATTAAGGCTCTAGTGGCCTTTTCATTGCTTTTCCTTCTCCCCACATTCCCACCCCAGGGACCATTCTTACATTAAGCAGCTGCCCTAGATTTCTTGGGGACACTAGACCTCTTTCCTAGCGATTTCTAGCACCCCCCTCCCACCATTTCTGGCTTATAGAAGGTACTTGCCCTCCTCTCTGACTTTCCACTTGCCTGCAGAAAAACTGATTGGCTTTGCTTTTCTCAAGCAGGGCAGGGCAGTATAACTGGTATAGAGACAGACTTCCTAAGGATACAATTAGTTGATGCTTCCCAACATGGAAAGGCATGGATCTTTCTGTCTGTAACCACACTTTGCAGTCTAGGTCTGCTCCTATGGAACCCTGGAGCATAGGGGAAACTGCCCCCATAACAGGATGGAAATAGTAAGTGTAACGAACGACAGTGCCTTTCCACACTTCCCTTCCTCCTCTGAATGAATTCTCCACCCAACTAAAATATGTCTCCAAAGCTATTTGAGAAATGTGAAGCTTGGCTAGCCCATAGGACCTATGGGCTTCTATACCAAAGCTGCTGGTATAGTATAGGTATGGAAAACCATGGATTTCAAATCTATAAATGCCCTATGCTGATACCTTACAACTGTACCCCCATGAAACTGATATAACCAGTGTCCTTGTTTTATAGGGAAAGTTCTAATATAGTGCCAAATGTAGCTTAGCCTTCCTGCCATTCTCCCAGGGAGTTCAAATTGGATTCCTCGCCTTCATTATCTCTGGAGGGTGGAGGGGAAGTATTGCCCACACAGTATCCCAGGAGTCATGAAACCAGTGTTTTATTAAATGCAACATCATCATTAATGCTGAACTTTATTTCCAAGTCCACTGGAGGCAGAAGAGAAAACAATTCAGGTAACCAGCTTCGCAGTTTTACTGTATTCCTCTGTCCAGTGCTTTCCCGTTTCTGGGTTTTGTGATCTAGGTTTGGATTAGGGATTCATAGTGGGAAGCTCCATGTTCCTGAAACCTGGTAATTATTTTGAATTAAGGATAAGAGTTTCACTTCCCTAATAAAATGTCAACAACAATACCTTACCCTTCATGCTTTCTGCTCTGTCTTGAGCATTTTTCATGCAGTAACTAGTGTAATAATCATGAAATTCTAGGCGTTAAGTCTTATCCTAACAGGTAAGGAACCAGGTCTGCTAAGATTGACCTGTGCTACCTCATGTGTGCTATCTGTCTGGGGGTGAGGAGTGATATCACAGTCTAGTAAAGGTCACTTGAACAGGCCATTCTCCCTGTGATTTCTATTTTTTTATGTACATCATAAAAGATGGCAGGATGCTATGAGACTATTGGCTATGAAGCTCTAGGGTCCTGAGTCTGGTATTTCTAGGGTAGGGCTTTCTGAGTTATGGCGTCTTCACCTCATAAACAGGAATAACACCTCTGCTTCAGATTGCACGGGAAGTAAGGAGATGGTAACGTGAAGAGACGGCAGAACATGCTATAATTTTAACAGCCAACAATAGATGGCTTTAGAAAGCTTAGATTAGATAATTCCAGACATTCTTATGAGCCATACTTGCAGCCTCCCAGGAACATTGCCTGTTTCTCTCCTGTAGAAAGCTGGAAAGGTATTTAGTTTGTGTTGAGTGGCTCTTTGACCAAGTATGCTTGATTCAGCTGTTAGCTTCTTTTGAATTCTACTGTGTTTGTTTGTTTTCACCAGCAAAGGTAGTAGAGTGCAGTGGGGCCCTTACGTGATCCAGACTTGAGCTCTGCTGTTTACTAGCCATATGTTCTTGGGCAATTTATATAACGTCTTCCTCCCAGGATGGATGTGAGGCCTGAAGAAGGCTGGTGCATGTTAGCCTCTGATGAAGGAGAGCTGTTGCTATTATTAAAGACTTAGCATATTCATATTGTGTGACTGCTTTGAGGGGCTTCTTCTATCACAAGTTAGCCAGTTTTCTTTAAGCAATACCAAAAAAGTGATTTTATTTTAAGGCAATTTCAATGACTTTATACAAGTTCCTTAAGATCTGAGGGCATCACTTTACTCATTAATTAAAATAAAATATTCTGTCCACTTCATGGAATTGTTGGGAACATTAAATGAGGTAATTTAAAGCACAGAAACCACAGGAGCTTAACATGGAGTAATTGTACATTAAAATACTGTGCACAATTTTCATTTTAAACCGCATATTTTAAAATAGTTTTTCCTTTGAGGATCCTCAACAGATTAGAATAACTTTTGAAGCTGGGACCAGGCAAGGAAGCAATCCTATCTAGCCTTGTCTCTGTGAGGCACCTGCTCTGAACCAGGCCCACTACAAACATTTGTCTGGCTTGGGGAAACAGTATGAATGAAGGCATGCCTATCATGTGTCTAAATATTTAGAAGTGATAAATCAGGCCAGCAAACTGTTAAGCCAAGTACGTTGCATCCTCTGATGATGAGTTACTTGCATAATGAACAGGATGGCCAGGTTCGAATTGAGGACTCATGGACGACTTGGAATTCTGTGCCAAAATGTGACTGGTCAGGAAGTGTGGGCCCCTACACCCCTTTTCTCCCCACCGCTGGCTCCATCCCATAAAGAGAGGGGCCTTGCGTGCTTCTACATGGACACCCTAACCTCCGAGCTCAAGCTCTGTTCATATCTTCCAACAAATAGCAGCCTTTTCACTCCCACCCCCACCGAACATCCAAGAGTATACAGGTGGTTGTCTAGTTCTTCTTGGGAAGCCAGACCTGGAAAGAGGCCACACAGACCTTGGAAGTAAGATAAGAGTTCAGAGCTGTCTAGGCAGAATGTTCTGGAGTCTGACATCTCGGAGCGTGGTCTAGAAGTGAGGGGGTCTGTAGGCTCTGGGTATATATATCCCCTTCACTTGGGAGTCTTCTTGTCCTATAAAGAAGGGAACAGTTGACAGAGTGGGACCCTTTAAAAGTGTGGGACCCTTTAAAAGTGTGGGGCCCAAACTTCAAAGGCCCCTCTTGCCTGTGTCTAAGGCTAGTGTTGCTCTGAACCCTATGGCTCCAAGGAGAACAACCTGTGAGTAATTTGTAACCTGTGTGTGAGCTGATGACATTTTTTACAGCTTTTCATATTTATACTCTTGTGTTTCTCCAAGCACCCTTTTCAACACAGTTTAAAGTCCCAATTCCTACTCCCAGCGTTATAAGTAGGATGTACTTTATTGCCTAAGATTTGACTCCATGGGAGCTCTGACTGATTCTTTCTGTTGACCACTGAGGCTACTAAGTGGGGAGAAGTTGTAGCCAGCTTGGTCCCTGACCAAGGGGAGATACCAACTCTGAACATTGTTTCTGCCAAGCTGGGAGTGGCACAGTTTCTTCTACAGACTCTTGCTCTTCTCCACCTCCAGCCCTGGGTCTACATATTCCCCTGGTGTCCTCAAGTCCAGAGTCTCTCCTTGGATCTTGCACAGATGGGAAGATGTGGGAGAACTGAGGTCCAGCAGTTTTGTGTGCAGACTTTGACCCAGTCACCCCATTGTCAGTGCCATGCTTTGTTCTGCCTTCTGCAACCCCTGGTACTTTCAAATTCTGAGTGGCTTCAGGTTCCTGCAGATATGTTGGCTCACTTTTCTAGAATATCCCCTCTATAGGAGTGTAGGCTGTGGCTGCCAGGAAACCCTACTTCATGTATTTTTTATGTTTTAAAAAAATTTTGAGGCCAGGCACAGTGGTTCACGCCTGTGATCCCAACACTTTGGGAAGCTGAGGCAGGCGGATCACCTGAGGTCAGGAGTTCAAGACCAGCCTGACCACCATGGATAAACCCTGACTCTGCTAAAAATACAAAATTAGCCAGGCATGGTGGTGCACGCCTGTAATCCCAGCTACTCAGGAGGCTGAGGCAGGAGAATTGCTTGAACCCGGGAGGCAGAGGTTGCAGTGAGCCGAGATCATGCCATTGCACTCCAGCCTGGGTAACAAGAGCAAAACTCTGTCTTAAAAAAAAAAAAATGAAATCTCTTGTCTGCTCATGTGTCTACAGTTAGTTTTTTCCCCTTGTGATTTAATATCTTTTGCTTTTCTTTTTACTGTCTTTGTCTTTATTTTGTGGAATTTCAGGAGGAAAACACAGTGGCTAATTCACTATGTTTAACTGAGGATAAAAATAGGAATAATAGAATAGTGGGTACTGATGTTCATCGAGGGTTTCCTCTATATCAGAATGGCCTCAAATTCCTTCTTCCATGGATCATCTCTTCCTTTTCCGAGATTTCTTCTGAGAACCAGGGATCTGCCATGCTGCCATGTCAGCTTTAAGCCACCGTAGAAAAGCCCTGCTTTTCAGAGGGCAGTTATTCCTATCTGTTTCCCTTGTGATTTGTATGTGTTCAGGTTTAGTAAACATTTATTAAGCACCTACTGCATATGAGGCAGCATGCAGTGCTTTCACTAACTTGACTTTTAATCCTTGTCGCAGCCCTGGAGGAGGTGGGTATGGAGCAAACTCAGGTGCCTGGATACTGAGACTTCTTCAAGGCTGAATAGCCAGAGCCTAAAATTGTGCCCATTTTCATAACCCTAGTGGTGGCAGGATCTCCAGTCATTTTGGAAATGTGATTTGTGCTTTTTTTTTTTTTTTCCTCATTAAGACTTCTCTGGAGGGGTAGGGTGGGGAGAGCGGGGTAGCGGAGGGAGGGAGGGGGAGTGGTGGGGAGCTGGAGAGATTAAGTTTTTGTGTTGTGTGTCCCTGTGTGCGAGCGTCATTTTAAGGTGGCTCGGGAGCGGCCCGGAGGAGCGAGGGACCGAAAAGGGAGCCATGCTGCGCTGAGGGGAGGCTGCACAGCTGCAGCCACCGCCACCGCCACCGCCGCAGGGTGGGGTGGGAGGGGCGGGAGCCACCGCCACCGCGGCCTCCAGAGTGGGCGCCTTTTGCCGTGGACGCTGACCGTCCGGGACGAGGGTTTCATCACCTTAAATGGTTTTGAACCAATGAAGCTGTATTCCCTTAAAAAGACGGACAGCCCATCGTGTGAACTATAGATTTATAGTGTACAGATTTATAGTGTGTACAGATTTATAGTGGGTTCATAGTGGCGTCATGCACGGAGACTCCTGCGAGTTCCCCTAAGTTCTTAGAGGACTGCTTTGCCTTTTGATCTGAGAGTTGCAAAGTTCCATAAAGTATGGCCCTTGTGGATAAGCACAAAGTCAAGAGACAGCAATTGGACAGAATTTGTGAAGGTATCCGCCCCCAGATCATGAACGGCCCCCTGCACTCCTGCCCCCTGGTGGCGCTGCTGGACGGCCGCGACTGCACTGTGGAGATGCCCATCCTGAAAGACCTGGCCACTGTGGCCTTCTGTGACGCGCAGTCCACGCAGGAAATCCACGAGAAGGTTCTAACGAAGCCATGGGTACCATGATGTACCACACCATCATCCTCACCAGGGAGGACCTAGAAAAGTTTAAGGCCCCGAGAGTGATCGTGCAGATAGGCAGTGGCTACGATAACGTGGACATCAAGGCTGCCAGCGAGCTCGGAATTGCTGTGTGCAATATCCCGTCTGCAGCCGTGGAAGAGACACCGGACTCTACCATCTGCCACATCCTCAATCTGTACCAGAGGAACACATGGCTGTACCAAGCACTGCGGTAAGGCACACGGGTTCAGAGCATGGAGCAGAACCGCGAGTTGGCCTCGGGATCGGCCAGCATCCGTGGGGAAATGCTGGGCCTCATCGGCTTTGATCGCAGGGGGTAGGCGGTTGCAGTTCGAGCCAAGGCCTTTGGATTCAGCGTCATATTTTATGACCCCTACTTGCAGGATGGGATCGAGCGATCCCTGGGCGTGCAGAGGGTCTACACTCTGTAGGATTTGCTGTATCAGAGCGACTGCGTCTCCTTGCACTGCAATCTCAACGAACATAACCACCACCTCATCAATGACTTTACCATAAAGCAGATGAGGCAGGGAGCATTCCTTGTGAACGCACCCCGTGGTGGCCTGGTGGACGAGAAAGCCTTAGCACAAGCTCTCAAGGAGGGCAGGATACGAGGGGCAGCCCTCTATGTGCGTGAGTCGGAGCCCTTTAGCTTTGCTCAGGGTCCGTTGAAAGATGCACCGAATCTTATCTGCACTCCTCACACTGCCTGGTACAGCAAGCAGGCGTCACTGGAGATGAGGGAGGCAGCTGCCACTGAGATCCGCCGAGCCATCACAGGTCACATCCCAGAAAGCTTAAGAAACTGTGTGAACAAGGAATTCTCTGTCACATCAGCGCCTTGGTCAGTAATAGACCAGCAAGCAATTCATCCTGAGCTCAATGGTGCCACATACAGATATCCGCCAGGCATCGTGGGCGTGGCTCCAGGAGGACTTCCTGCAGCCGTGGAAGGGATCATCCCTGGAGGCATCCCAGTGACTCACAACCTCCCAACAGTGGCACATCCTTCCCAGGCGCCCTCTCCCAACCAGCCCACAAAACACGGGGACAATCGAGAGCACTCCAACGAGCAATAGCAGAGAATGCCGGAAGGTAATCATTCAGATACATTTGGGACCAAGAGATAGTGAAAAATGATGAACTAAGAGAAAAAGAATATGATGGTCTTTGTAACTGATTCTGGACTTATGCATCATTGATGCTGCAGTGTTAAAACTACAAGAGCTAGAAAACTGAAGATGTCGTCTGCTTACGGAAGCGCTGAAAGACTAGGATGTGATTTATTAACGACCAACTTCTGTTATTGTGTGTTAAGTTTTTCATCTGTGCATCAAATCACAAAGAATAAATAGAGCTTTTTCCTTTATCAGTCCCTTGGGCACAGCAGGTCCTGAACACCCTGCTCTACAATGTTGCATCAAGAGTTCAAACAACAAAATAAAAAATATTAAGAGGATATCCCCATCCTGTGACTTGAGTCCCTTAAGTCTACAGGGGCTGGTGACCTCCTTTTGCTAATAGGAAAATTACATTACTACAAAATGGGGAGAAAACTGTTTGCCTGTGGTAGACACTTGCTCGCATAGGATTGAAGACAGTACAGGCTCCTGTACAGAGAAGCATCTCTCACATCTGAACTGCATACTGAGTGGGCAAGTTGGTTGTAAGTTCAGTAAAAACCCTCTGATGCAAAAAAAAAGTATTAACTTTCACAAGCTGTTTGTACTCAAATACATTTTCTCAGTTTCAGATCCTCTGCTGTTTTATTGAGTGGAAAGTTGAGCTAAAACGGTTCAAGAAGAATAATGTTGCATTTCCTTATGTCTCAGGAAACACTTTTTATGGTAACTTGTCAGATTGTCTATGAACAAACCCACTTTTTTAGACATTGATAAAGTCTTCTTTTCTTCACGTGATATTTTATACAAGAGCACTTCAGATGTATTAGATGTGACTGATTTTAACAAATCCTATTAGATTTGTATCAACTAGTTACATGTTCTATTCACAGTCTTTTGTGAATCATTGCCTTTTTGTTTGAAAAGATGGCCTCTTTTGAGCCTTTGTTTGGATACATTCCTGTTTTTGTGACAAAAGAAAAACTTTAAAATTGTCCCAAGCAGAAAAATAATGGCTATCAGAAGTATGTTTTGTTTCAGTGTGAGTTACTGTTACTGTATTTGTTTATTGTAAACGTAGACATTTAGCATTCACTGCAGTTTTCAGTAAAAAGTAATTAAAATTTGTTGAGTTCTGAAATTCAAGTACATCTCACTAATGTAAAAGTTCTCTACTTGAGATGTTTAAGGCAAGTGCGTTGTCAATTAGCCAATTTCCAACTCTTGTTACTACAGGGTTCTATCTGCCTATTCCATAACCAGACTCAAGAATGCTGACAATTACCTCATGTGATACAAAGTTTAATTGAAAACTCAAAACCTCACACAAGTCCATCATTATCAAGTCATGCCGTCCTTAAGTTGTAATGGTGGGTTAGAGCTAAGTCAATTAAAAAAAAACAAAGTTGCTCAACTTTTAGAATTCTGATTTTAATTTACCCCAAAGCAAAATGACCTGGACCTGGTTCAAGGGAGGGAAGTGAACCTTGAAACTGTTTTGCCAATAACCTAACAAAATGATATTTACAAAGAAGTGTTCCAAAATAGTCCCATGAGTTAAGAACTTGAAGTTGATTTAATGGACTTTCTTTTTAAATAGAATTAAACCTTTATACTCAAAAAAAAAAAAAAAAAAAAAAGACTTCTCTGCTCTTGAACTTGCTCATCATAGTATAAAACAGACAAAATTAATAGGTGCAATGTTTTATTAATCTCATCTCCTTAATGAGTTCTGTGGTGAGTTTAACTCATTCGTGGTCCAGTCCACACATATGGAAGTATGTGTGAACATTCATTTGTGCAATTATGTATTATTCCTATCTGTGTATAAGTCTTTAATTTTGGAAAAACACTTTGCCTTTTACATTAACTTCATCCACAATATGAAGGGATTTTGACTTTTGGAAAAGTAGCAAATCCTATATTTGAGAACTTTCGGGAATAAGTTTGAGAAGGATGTTTTCAGACAGAGTGTGACCAGAGAAGAGCCCCAGAGGGACGTGTCTGAGAGGTGGTTGAAAAACTTGGTCATGTTTATCAGAGAGGAAAGAGAATGCAGGCAGATGTGGTATGGTTTTCAAGAACATAAGGCACTTTTTATGGAAGAAGGAAGGACATCACCTTCCACGTGGCTTCTACAGGCAGACCTAGGACCCATGGTACAAGTTATGGGAGGATGAGGTCTGACCATTTGTGCTCCCTCAGAGAGAGTGAGGCCCCTGTCTCTGGAAGAGTTTAAATGGAGGCTCTTGACTCTGGCAGAGTGGACATGAGAGGGGACCCAGCATTTGGCTTAGACTTTCATCCTATGACTTCTAAGTCTTCAGGTTTGGAGTTTGATAGAAATTAATATTTCCCTTTTGTCTCGTTGGTTTCCAAGTCAAAGCCTATAAGAATTTTTTGAGCTGTTTCTAAAATATCTTTCCAAAAGTCATTTCTGAAACGTGCATCCTTTCTCTTGCAGGAGAAAATGCAGAAGTCTCCATGGACGTTTCCCTGGCTTACCGTGATGACGCGTTTGCTGAGTGGACTGAAATGGCCCATGAAAGAGTACCACGGAAACTCAAATGCACCTTCACATCTCCCAAGGTATGACCCCTTGCTGTCTAAGCTGACAGTTTTTATTTGGTTCTCAGGTATGTGGAAAGATTTGCTTACTTTTCATAGGTGTGTCCCTTCTTCGCATGAGGACAGCTTTGGTAATACCTGCTCTGCGGAGCATTTTATTTCCTCTTCTCTCCTGCCACGGGCCTTTCCTAACTTTGCTTTTGCCTATTACTGTTAAGATTTCCTGCAAAATAGTAAAAACATGAGGTTGAAGCCTCTGAGTACCTTGCCCCAGCTTTAGCCATTTTTTTCCTAAAGAGGAGAAAGATTAGGTGGTTTTATCACTGACGGTGTGACCTCAGGTAAGCTTACATAATCTGTCTGAGCTTCAGTTTTTCTTCTGCAAGATGAGATAAGAGTACCTACCTTGGGAGTCTGTTTAAGGGCTAGATCAAGCTTGTCCAACTCTGCCTGCGGGCCGCATGCAGCCCAGGACGGCTTTGAATGTGGCCCAATGTAAATTCATTACTTTCTTAAAACATTATAATTTCTTTTTGTGATTTTTTTTTTTTTTAGCTCATCAGCTATTATTAGTGTATTTTATGTGTGGCTCAAGACAATTCTCCTCCTTCCGGTTTGGCCCAGAGAAGCCAAAAGATTGGACACCCCTGGACTAGATGATACAATGACGTAGGCAGGATGACCTTCTAATTTAACATCTTGTCTGGGACATATTTGAGAGTCAAAGCGGATATTAACCAGATGGGCCACTAGGAGAAAACATATAAACTAAGGCCCTCCATGGGTAAACCTAAGTACCCATTGCAGTGTTTTTTGAAACACTAGGGGAGTCTCCCTCCCGCAGGTTTCCTAGAACAAAGCTACAGAAAATGTGTTCTGAGAACCAACAGTGGCAGCATCACCTGAGAGGTTTTAGGAAAGGCAGATTCCCAGGGCACACCCAGAACCTATTAAGTCAATGTCTCAGGGTGTAGGAGCAAGGAATCTGTGTTTTAACAGGCCTTCAGTTTATTAAACTCTATGAAGTTTGAGAGCCACTGCCCTAGACCCTCTGCTGAGTGCTAAATATAGGGCTGTCCTCCAGAGAAAGCCATTTGTAGGTAGAAATGAATGATAGACAAACTAGAGGAAGCAGGAGAGAGGAACAGCTAACATTTTCAGATCTTTGCATGCAACCAAGAAAATTAAAAACCTTTCTAGCTATCTCTGCAAGTTGACTGCATCTTTGAAATACTGGTTGAACATCTAAGCTAGATGGCTTTCGGATACAGAATTTTATCCATAGAAAAGGGAAAAGTCATTTCTCATTTATACACATGGAGGGCACTGAGTAGCGAGGGGGAAGGGTGTTTGCCTGCAACTGCTTCTTAATGCTTAATTATCTTTAGGATGTGTTGATCCCTTGCAAGAAAGATATTAAATCTTGAAAAGTGCGAAGGAAATGAATCATCAAGTCTCTGCTTTTTGATTGCAGTGAAATTTAGTCTTGAGTCTCAAGATTAAATGAGAAATTGCTTTAAAGCTTTTGAGTCCCTGGTGGATTGTGAAGTTAAAAAAAAAAAAGTCAAGTTGCCACCTGCTGTAATTTGTCCTAATGAGCTAGTCTCATGCTGGAGTTGGGGGAGAACTGGGGGTGGGGCAAAGGAAGGAGAGAGAGGAATCTTCTTAAATGCCCTAAATACTGGCAGAGGCAGGACTTTAGTGCATGAAGAAAAGTCTCTAACAGGATACAACGAACTTGTCTCTGAGACAGGAAGGTTGAGCCAGTGTCCCAGATGCCAATGTGTCTCTTTTAATTTGAACTTAGGTAAATTTGTGTCAAGGGTGTCCATGTTACTCACTCAGTAGTGACAGGGAAGTGTGGGGCACCCAGAGACCCATCGTGGGGGATTAGAAGTGACCCTGGAGATCATCTTACTTAACTTTCTCACTTAGGAGGAAACTGAGGCCAAATGAGGCAGGGTGACCCAAGGTACCCAGCAAGGAACATGGTCAGGACTAGAATCAGCCTCCTGGCCTGGAGTTCAGGAGTCTTTATCACAGCACAATGCCTGCCTTTGGGCAGGGCCCATGTCCTTCTCCCAATTCTGCTACTACTTTTGGGACCCTGGGCGAGACACACACCAGATGGAATTAGACTAAGTAGGTTTTGTTCCCTTCCGCCCTCAAGTTCTCAATTTCCATCAATAAAATAAGGCCCTAACTGGAAACAAATCAGAAAATACCCTCTTGCTGTTACCACAGAGGATAATCAGCCTCCTCACTGCAGCTTAATCTGAGGGAGAATTAGAGCCTGCAGTGAACTTTTAGTAGTACCTGCAGAGCCCCCATCCTCCCTGATTTGAAAGTATAAGAGAGAAAGGAGTGGAGGGGAGAGAAAGATGATCTATATAGGAAGAATCATCTGACCTGCAGCTGAGGTTTGAAAAAGCAGCATTCTTTCTACAGAAGAATTTTTAAAAATCTCACATGCCAACTCTAATCAACTGGTGTGTCTGACAAGAGCTGCTCACACCTTAGGGATAAAAACTGTTGACGACTGATTGGTTATGTGTGCCGTGGTGGGCAAGAGGAGGTAGAAGCACCTCCCCACCTCTACCTTGCCGTGTGTGTCTCTGTCTCTGTACAAAGGTCTGTTTACTGCATTCTAAGCTCTGACTGTTCAGTAAGGAACCCTCCCCACCAGCCAAGATCTCAGAAGGGGCAGAGCCCCTTCCTAGCCCCTTCCTACATACTCTTAGACTATGGACTCTTTGTTATCTTCTTTCTTCTCACTTCTTCAGTGGATCTTTGCTCTGAAGATTTATGACAAATTATGGAGGTCTTGCAAATTCAGGCTTAGGAACGACAAATTAGATCTCCCCTATCACTTGATCAGGAGGTGCCAAGGAAACATTGAAGCTGACATAGAAACCCAACATTGATGGTAGACTCTCATCTTCTATATCAGGGAAAAGTCCCGGCCTGCTGAAGCTCATGCCTCTTTATGCTCATCTTTACCCCTGGCCCCCACCCCTCAGCAGGTACACAGCCGGGAGTCCTGGTGAGGTGGAGCAGAATTTAGTTTTCAAAAAAAAGGTGTCTCCCTACTGTCCAATTTCCCACCACCGTGCTCTGGGCAGTATCTCTTAAATTGTTTGGCACGAAGTCCAAGAGGCTTTCCTAGACACTGGGCTAAATTCTTATTTCATTAAAACTTCTATTCCCTTCTGCCATCTTGGACTGTTAGGAAGCACCGGAGGCAGAAAATTCTTAGTGGGTATCTCTGGCCACTAATCTTATTATCTTTCTTTCTTCTGTTTCGACCTTCCCTAAATACCAACGGCTCCTTGTGTCTTTTTTTTTCCTGGCAAGTGAATAAAAAGAAGATATTTTCAGCTTCTTCTAGCTTCTCCCTCAGGCCAAAATCAGGAGAATAATTAGCCGTCATTAAAGAGTGTAATGATTCAGCAAGAGCTTCCACCTGAACGTTTAAGAAGCTGACTGTTCCACAGAGCCTTAGAGGACCCTGACAACACACTGCAGATAAAAACTCTTGTAGCCCTGGCAGACAAGATTCGTAAGATGCGAGGTTCTAATGAAGATTAAACAGCCTAGAAAGGTGTTAGGAGATAGAAGGAAGGTATCTCTGCTTTCTACCTAAAATTTCTGGTTCTACCTTGAATACAGCTGTTTTTTGTTGTTGTTGTTGTTGATGTTTGTTTTAGGTTGGGATAGCTGGGTAGACGCCATGCCTCCAGTATGCATTGTTACTCTGTACGTCTAAAGTGTACCTTTAAGCATTAGCTGCTTACAATTGATGTTATGGATCCAGGGTAACAGAATTCAGAGCCAGTCTATTGGAAATAGTGACCCTGCCTCAAACCCTCTGCTCTTTTTCCAGACTCCAGAGCATGAGGGCCGTTACTATGAATGTGATGTCCTTCCTTTCATGGAAATTGGGTCTGTGGCCCATAAGTTTTACCTTTTAAACATCCGGCTGCCTGTGAATGAGAAGAAGAAAATCAATGTGGGAATTGGGGAGATAAAGGATATCCGGTTGGTGGTAAGTGAATGTAATTGATCTTGACATGTGTATTGGAGGGGAACTCCATCTCACTCTTGGCACCTCTATGCCTCACCTGTCTCATCTGAGAAATGGGAATAATAACATACTCATGATGGCTGAGATCATAAAGTGAACTAATTTGTGTGAGAGATTACAGAAATGGGAAACAATGCAATTATTGTGCCCACTTAAGATTTTAAATGGGCTTAAGATCACTTAAGATCATTACAATGATGATAAGATCATGAAATAGTCATGATTGCATAATGAATAACACTGAGATAAAAGTAAATTTTCTTTTTTATGTGTTTCACCTTGCAAGCACAAATGTTAAAAGGAATAGGGGTGGTTTAGGTTCTTTCCATCATATTTGTTTAATTGGGGAAAAGTTAGAACTTGCTGCAAGGAGGCCATTTCTTTTCAATCTCAACAAAGTCCCACAAGAATTGTGTAGAGACACAGAAAAGCATAATAATTACCTGTAATGTCCTACTATTTAGAGAAATAATCACTGTTCAGGTTTTGATATATCTCCTTCCAGGCTTTTTTTTATACGTAGTAATTCCCTTACAAAAAGTAGGATCATATTGAACTGACTGTTTTCCTTGCTTTCTTTATTTAATGGTATATGTAATATAAATTGGTGAATGTAATATAAATATACTTTCCAATATTGATTAGCATTTTATAGAATAGATTTACCTTAACACTTACCAATCTCAACATATTGACCATCTAGGATATCTGCAACTTTCTAATGAAAAGCTTACAAAAAAAATTGATCATGTACTTAATCGTAATCTTAGCATAGGGAAAAAGCTCTTGTAGCCTTAGTAGACCAGATTAGTAAGATGTGAGGGTAGAATGAGGATTAAACGGCCAAGAGAGGTGTTAAGAGATAGAGGATATCTCTGCTTTTTACCTGAAATTTCTGGTTCTACCTCAAATGTGGCTTTTTTGGGGGGTACACTGTGGGGGTGGTAGCTGGGTAGATATCATACACCCTGTATGCCCTATTAATCCATACCTGCCCTATTAATCCGTACCTCTAAAGTGTATCTTTAGGTATTAGCATTTTAATATCAGTGGGATGAGTCCAAGGTAAGATAATTCGAAGTCTCTTGGAAATAGTGACCCTGCCCCAAAGCCCCATGTTCTTCTTTCAGACCCCAGAACATGAAAGCCGTTATTGTGAATGGGATGCCCTCTTTATTTCTCTGGTCTCAGGTCCATAGCACAGGGCTCTTTTAATATGTATTTCTATTATCTCTGAGGAGAGTCCAAGGGTGTATGAGGGCAGTACCTGCTATGAATGTGAAAGCTCTTGATCGTGAACATTCGCAGACGAGGTCTCCACTTACCTCTCCCACAAAAGCATTTGCTAGTAGAAGGAAATGCTAAGATAATATTCACCTTCAAAATTATCACTGGTCTCTGCCTAGGGGATCCACCAAAATGGAGGCTTCACCAAGGTGTGGTTTGCCATGAAGACCTTCCTTACGCCCAGCATCTTCATCATTATGGTGTGGTATTGGAGGAGGATCACCATGATGTCCCGACCCCCAGTGCTTCTGGAAAAGTAAGAGCTGGTTTTGGAGCGCTCTTCAGGAATACTGGCTTCTCATGATCTGCCAAGCTCTTGCTTTTGCTGGTGTCCAGTTCAAGCAGCCAGTGTGTGACTTAGGCCAGTGATTTGACCAGGAGTCATCCTGGACTCCTTTTTCTCCTGCAGTTTTCCTATGCAAGTTGTTATTAAGTAAATCCTCGGGGTTCTACCTCTCTCACCTTTCTGGCTCTTTTTAATTAATTAATTTATTTTTTGGAGACAAGGTCTCACTCTGTTGTCCAGGCTGGAGTGCAGTGCTGGGATCTCAGCTTGCTGCAGCCTTGACTTTCCAGGCTCCAGTGGTCATCCCACCTCAGCCTCCCGGTAGCTAGAACCACAGGTGTATGCTTCCCAGCTAGTTTTTTGTATTTTTTGTAGAGACAGGGTTTCCCTATGTTGCCCAGGCTGATCTCGAAATCCTGAGCTCAAGTGATTTGCCCGCTTCAGCTTCCCAAAGTGCTGGGATTACAGGTGTGAGCCACCACACCCAGCTGACCTTTCTGGTTCTTTAACCTGTCTTTGCTCTTCGGGATATTCCGTGGTCAGAATCAGATACTTGTCTGTGTTGTAGTGAAGAAACTCCCCTAAGCCCAGCTCCTCTCACTTACAGAAAGACAGTGCTCCTGTAGATGTACCTACTTTCTCTCCACATCATTGACTTCTCCCTTTCTGCTGGATTCTATTAATATACAAACATGTCCTGCCATCTCCCATTCTTAGACAAAATTCTCCCATTTCCCACTTCCCCCTGAAGCCACATACCCTTTTTCTGCTCCTCTTTACAGCAATGCTTCTCAAAAACCTTGTGCATATGTCTTCTCCTCTGTTCTCTCTTGAGTCCTTTCCAGTCTGGATTCATCTCCACCACTCTACTAAAACTGCTTTTCACGGGATCACCAACAACCTTCATAGTCCAAATCCAAAGGTCATTTTTTGTTCCTCACTTTTTTTTTATTCATCCCAGCATCTGACATAATTGATCAGTTTTTCTTCCCAGAGTCTCCTCTACCCTTCTGTTGGTCATTCTTCTTTGCTGACCAGCATTTAGATTCCATTCCTGTCTCCTTCCATCTTTCCAGACTCTTAGACTTTGGGACTGGGGCACCTGCTTTGGACCTCTTCTCTTTATTAGCTGTGCTTTCCCTAGGGGGGTTGATTTCACCTACCTTTGTGGTCTGAAAAATCATCTATTCTCTGATGACTCTTAATCTGTATCTTTAGCCTCAGCCTCTCCCAACTCTGGACCCAAATATTCCAGCTCTTTACTTAATGTCTTCATTTGCATTGAAAATGTCACATGTACCAAGAACAACACTTGATTGTGTCCCATTTCCAACCTATTCCCTCCCAGGATCCCCATTTCAGTAAAAGGCAACTCCATCCTTTCAGTTGTTCAGACTGGAAATGTAGCAGTGAGTCATCCTGTATGTCTCTGTTTTTCACACTTCTCATCAACCTCACCAGGAAATCTCACCAATTCCACTGCTGCCACCCTAATCTAACTAACCAACCATCGCTTCTCACCTGGATCAGTGGGAACAGCCTCGCAACCCCTTTCCTTGCTTCCATCACGTGCCTCCCTGCAGCCTATTCACAGGATAGCCAGGAGTGCCCCCTTTCAAGTGTTAATCAGATCCTGTCACCCCTCTGCTCAAAGCTCTCCACTGGCTTTTCATCTCCTTTGCCCTGACCTATAAGCCCCTTGATGATTGGGTGCCTTCCACCTCTGATCTTGTCACTTGTCCTCTCCACCACCCACCAGCCCCCTTTATTGTGCTCAAACCCACACCCCAGGGCCTTCACACCTGCTGATCTCTTCGTCTGTCCACCTTACGTAAAATCACATCCCCATTGCTCTCCACTCTCTTGCCTAGCTTTTTTTTTCATGATGCTCATTCTTCATTTATTATCTTTTTCTTGTACTCCCTCTCTCATTCCATCTCTATGCAAGCATCACAAGAGCACAATCCTTGCTTTTCTTGTTCACAGTTATATTCCCAGCATCTTAGAATAGTGACTGACACATAGTAGGAGTTTAATAAATATTTTTTGAATGAATCATGTCACTCCATTGTTTAAACTTTTTATTGGATTCCAATAAAAAGTCTCTTCAAGATAAATTTCAGTTCTCCAGTGGGGTATGCAAGTTTCTTCATGAGCACAGCCCTCTTTGTTTCTCTGGTCTCATGTCCTGTCATTTCCTGATGTGCCACATGCAGATCCCCAAATGCAGCAGGTTCTTCCAGGCCTCTATGCCTCCATCCAGGCTCTGCCCTCTCCTCCAAACACCCTTTCCACTTCCCTCACTTTGACTCACAAGTCAGCTCCATTCCTGTCTGTGTCAAAGTCAGAAGTCCTGGTAGCAGCCCTCTATGCTTTAAAACTCTATGATGTTCCTGATCCTAATCTATTCAGTTGTCTCTTTATCTGGCTCCTCTACTAACTGTATCTCCCGTGAGTGAAAAAACAGGTCCTGTTCATTTAGGATTCCATAGTGCTAACACAATACCTGGTACATGATCTGTGCTTAATTAACATATGTGTTTCAAGGGGATGGAAAAAAGTATGAATAAATCAGTGACTTAAGAATTATATTTTAGTAGAGAATTGGCAGTTCTTAGTGTGACAGGGGAAGAGTAAAATAAAAGCTAAACAAGCAGTCAAGAGAATTTACATTTCAAATGTGTTTGGAGTCATGTATTATTGAAACAAATATGCTTATATAATTCATAGTTGCTGAGGATATCACAATAATAATGAGTGTTCTTAATGATCAGATGAATGATAACCTGAATAGGTGAAAGAGGACAATTGTACTCACTGAGGCCTGGGTGAGAAGGCAAGGGGACACAAACATTATAGGAAGACTGCCATCTGCAGTGGTACCAAAGTAAAGTGTGAGGCATTAAGGAGGTCAGGTTCACTTCCATAGAAAGGTTGGTATAGCACTCCCTCATTCTGCAGCAGTGCCAACTACATAGGACGTTTTGCATCTCTGTGCAGAAGAAATTGATCATATGGCTTCAGACCCAATAAGTAACATCTCATGTCTCAAAACTGAATTCGGGGAATTGTTTGAAAATCTGCCTTCCAGATGAATAAAGTGGCTGTCCTGATATTTTCTCACCATCAGAGTCATCTTTGCCCTTGGGATTTCCATGACCTTTATCAATATCCCAGTGGAATGGTTTTCCATCGGGTTTGACTGGACCTGGATGCTGCTGTTTGGTGACATCCGACAGGGCATCTTCTATGCGATGCTTCTGTCCTTCTGGATCATCTTCTGTGGCGAGCACATGATGGTAAGAGCCGCCGGGAGGGACAGACGTCTGTACCAGCTGCTCTGTGCAGGCTGCCAAGCTGACACCTGCCCCCCTTTGCCTCTAGTCAGCAGTGGGTGAGACAGAATAAACTAGTAGTTACAAGTGGGAACTCTGGAGGCAGACCCTCTGGTTCACATTCCTGCTTCACCACCTGCTGACCAGCTGAGTGGCTTTAGGCAAATGACATTATCACTCTGAATCTCGGGTCCCTCATCTATAAAATGGGATGTAAAGACCTACTGCATGGGGTTTTCATGAGAATTAAATGACAGAATGTGAGTAACTTAAGATAAACACACACATTCTAATGATTAGTATTATTTCTTGCCCTTGAGCTTGAGTTTCTTGTCTGCTGGCTTCTGCCCTGCTTGTCCTGTCCCCAGGAATACAGGTTAACCATCAGAGAATGTGGGCCTGGCTCTTTCCAGCTGGCAATGTGTCCAGGTGGCCTAGTAACCCCTATTACTCTGAAATACAGACCTTCCCGGTCTCCTCAGTTTGCACAGACACCAAATCATATTTCAAGAGGGATTGAAGGTACCATGGTTAAAAATAAGAATGGTGTCATCATCACATTGTGGCTAAGATGATATGCCAGCTGGAACTTGGTCTTCACGTCAGGCACATGGGCTTCACAGCAGAGTGGACTGTTTTTAAATTCCATTATGGCTCAATCATGAAAACCAGACCTCTCAAGTCCTGCTGCCCTTCCAGGAGAGCAGTGTGAGAGCAGAGAGAGAGACTTCTTCCTACTGCTAAACTGTCTACATTAAGGGGTCTTTCTCCATGAGGTGTCCTCCAGCAGAGATGCGCTGAGAATGAGGCCTCAGCAGCAGGGCGGGGGAGTGGATGGAACTTGGTCCAGCACCAGGAAGCCAGCCAAGGATTGTCCGCAGGGAGCTGGTGTGGACTGACCCACCTGGGGCCCCACCTGGAGGCTAAGATCATCTTTGCTTTCCCTTTTTTCTCATTCTACATTCCTTCCTTTTCTTTCTCTTGGTGTCTTTGTTTATCAAGGGGACTCATTCCTGGTTTTAATAAGGATGGGGAGAAAATATGCCTATTTTCCTCACCATAATAGACACACTTTACATATTTAAATGCTTTAATGTCTTTACTTTGTCTTCTGAGGATCAGTCACTTTTATAAACACAAGTTACAAGTCACGTAGAAATTTAATTCAGAATGAGTTATTTTGTGGACCACAAAATGTCCCCTGCCTGGGAGCCGAGGCCTTTCTTTGTGTTCCCATGGCATCCTGTTCTTATTACTCTCAGAGCCCTTATGGCTGGGCTTTGTCATGTTCTACGTATGTGCCAGACTCCCCCACAGAGATGAGCTCCTGAAGAAGAGATTTTCATCTTCTTTGTTCTCATACCTAGAATCTAGCATAGTGCTTGATACACAATAGGTGGTCGGCAAGTGTCCTTCGAATGCTGACTCCCCCATAGAATTGCTTGGTCTTCCTCTCCCCTCTATCTCCCTTCTCAATTTGGTTTTCCTCAGGATCAGCACGAGCGGAACCACATCGCAGGGTATTGGAAGCAAGTCGGACCCATTGCCGTTGGCTCCTTCTGCCTCTTCATATTTGACATGTGTGAGAGGTGAGCAAGTGTTTGTGGGACACTGAGCCAAACTGTGCATCACCACGCCCACTCCTGTCATTTTAGGAGGAGTGTTTGAAAAGGAGAATGGTGGTCGGGAACCTTTGGTTTGGAAGCACTGGACGTGGTCACATCCTCAGACAAGGTCTGGGATCAAATCAAAGGCACAGCTCTTTACAGTTGAAAAATATTTGGGCCGATGTATTCTACAAGCTTCATTTCTCTTTAGGATTTCTGTAATGTTTTTTAGCCTAAATACAGCCCTCACCCCTGCAGCTGAAAAGCTAAGAATATGTGAAAAGGAAAGTTCCCGTTGCCTTTGTATTAATTGTGTCTTGCCTTTCCATCTCATTTTCTTTGTAGAGGGGTACAACTCACGAATCCCTTCTACAGTATCTGGACTACAGACATTGGAACAGAGCTGGCCGTATCCTTCCTTGATGGGCTCAGGGTTTTATTTCTTCCCCTGGCCACCCAGTCCCCAAGATCATTTTCTAAGGCTCTGCTGATGCTCCCCATATGTACTCAGCCAGGGCTTTGATTCTCAGGCCAATCATAACAGCACAATTAAGGCTAATAATAAGAAGAATTACTGCTTGCTTTCAAGCCTGGGTGAGAGCAGGCAAAATGAGAAGGTCACAGCCTATCCTCACAGCAGAGGGATCCGAGTTGCTAGGCTTACTGCAGCCTGTCTGAATTATCTGTTATACACTGTTTCCTGCAGACTGAAGCATGACTAGCTTTTCCCTGGAGCCATGGAGGTTCATCTCTGGGCCCCTGTGGAAGAGCCTGTTTCTGAAACCACCTATGTGTGAGACTTCTTAAGTGACCTTGGTGTGCTGGCAAATCACACTGCTGCTATTTATTCCTGAGACCAAGTGGAGATAAGGCTAAGGTGATTAGTTCCAGAGAAGTCGCCAAGGCTTCTGGTTGGTTGGCATAAACTCTAAGTCATCTTCATGAAGCAGAAGTGACAGTCTTAGCTTATCCCTTTTAGGATGCTGGATTTAAATATTTTATCTTCCGGAATAGTATGTGAAATGATCTTGGGAGAAAAAGACTCTGCTCTGGAGTGGAGAGAAAGGCTTGGGTTGTATTCTTCCTTGATGGCTCATATCTTGCCACGTGCTAGGGAATATCCTTTGTCTTGCCATGATGTTTATATTGGTTTCTCAGTGTCACAAGAACATTGTGAGCAAACTAAATCAGTAGTATCATTTCCTCAAAGATGAGAGAGAAGCTCTACCCTTCCTCTGTTATGCCCCCACCAAATGTTAGCTGCACAACAAGAAGAATGTTTCTAATGTTAAATCTAGTTCAACTTTTTTAATTTTGTAGATAGGATGGAGTGAGTAAAATTTCAAGTCCTGCAGAAAATAACTATATTCCCTTCATTCCAGGATGATGTTCATTATAGGAAAGAAGGAGAAACTGCATTAGATATTATATTATTTAATGAAATATGCACGCCAAGTTCATACTTATTAAATGCTTTTAAAAATAGACAATTTGGGCCAGGTGTGGTGGCTTATCCCTGTAATCCCAGCTACTCGGGAGGCTGAGGCAGGAGAATCGCTTGAACCTGGGAGGAGGAGGTTGTGGTGAGCCAAGATTGTGCCATCGCACTTCAGCCCGGGCAACAAAAGCAAAACTCTGTCTCAAAAAAAAAAAGGCAATTTGGGCAAAGTTGTAGCAGAAAGGGGTTGGAATCAGGTCATCTGCCTTCCAAGGCAGCTCACGCTATCCTAAGACTTGGTGGTTCTCAGACTGGCTCTAATTGGCAGGTCAGTCTCCCTAGTGGGTCTCAAGTATACTGGCAGCAACCCAGACTCCCACCTGTGCCATGTGTCCTTGAATCCCCATTCTGTTGGACAAGATTTTCTGTGGTGACAGAAGATTGCAAATAGTCCTTCATCCCTGGTTTCACTTTAAGACTTTCAAGCCCATGCCCAGGTCCCCTGCACTGAGCCCCCACGTATCTCCTCTTCAATTATGCCAGAGTATCTCAATCGCATTCTTATAAAACTCCAAGGACTAGCCCAGTGGTTCCCAAACATAGTCATACTTGATGTCCTAGCCCTGGAATATCTGATTCCATATATCTAGGGAGGGACCTGGGGATCTACATTTGAACCCTTCTGGTGATTTTACTGTGGTTTTTCATCTGATCCATAGTGACGAATATATGGTTTATTAGTGCTTCTCAAATTTATTGTGTATACGGATCTCCTGGGGACCTGGTTAAAAGGTAGATTCTGATTCATTAGGTCTAGGGTAGGGCCTAGATTCTTCATTTCTAACAAGCAAGACACCATTTCTTTTCTTACTTGGTTTAGAAAGCAATATTGAACACCTCCCTCTGTGGTACTAATGTGTCAAGAAACCTATCATTGGCATTAGAATATCAGGTTTTAATATTTTATCCCCTTGAAAATTTTCTACATATTTGGAGACAAAACAAGTATTGCCAACAGACCTGGGGAGAAGGGCCTGGACCCGGCTCAACTTGGCCTTGGCTAGCCCGTTGTTTCCTTTACTGGACACGACCAGATGGCCTTCATCATCGTGGCTGGAATCTGCCTCTGCCTCTACTTCCTGTTTCTATGCTTCATGGTATTTCAGGTGTTTCGGAACATCAGTGGGAAGCAGTCCAGCCTGCCAGCTATGAGCAAAGTCCGGCGGCTACACTATGAGGTGGGCAGATTTCTTGGCTCGTTCTGGAACTGGTGCTTGCTTGATCTTTCCACTTGATGTGTAAACACACACACCCTGGAGATAGAAAGCCTTTACTTTGAAATACAAATTGAGAGATTCTCATGTAGGATCTCTGGGCAAAATTAGAGGCCAAATCTTACTCTGAGAAGCATCTAGCTGGCCTAAATCTTGGTGTTTTCTGTGGTACAAATGTGTTTCCATTTTCAGTAATGAATAAACTTGTTCAGCCGGTTCTTCAGCTTGGTGATGGAATGTAGGTTACATACTAGCTGGGAGATTGGACTATGGCATAATTGGGATTTTGTTGGGATGAGGCTTTAGTCAAAGTTCTGTCCCAGAATCAACCCTGTCCTGTAATTAAACAGGGTTTAGCCCACGTGATCTGATTTCCAGACTCTTAACAGGCCACATTCCCCTAAAATATCCAGCAGATGCTCAGACAGAGTTCAGTAATCTCTGTTTATAGATTATGTTCCTCATTCAAGAGAAACACTTAACATCCTCAAATCCCCAATGCAAGCAACACATCCTTGATTTATCAGGGATCCCCTGGGTTCATGCCTAAGTGGCTGTCCTTGGAGAAACAAGCCTAATTCCTGTATGAAAAGAGAAGCAGAAACTACAGAACCTCAGAGTTTTTATATGCAGTAGATCTGCACAGAAGAGCCCCTGAATAATAGGCCTCCCTCTCTGAAACACAGGTTCTCTTAAATCCTGCTCTTAGGAAACCACAGGCACTTTCTAAGGCTTGCCTGTCTCCAGAGCTGGAGTGACATGAGAAAATTCAACCAAATCCACTTCATGTTGATTAATATGCACATTTCTTTTTGTTCACTGGAGCAGAATTTTATTACAACCACAGAAAACTTGGATTTGGTAACTTTGAACCCTTGCAGAGAAGCATAACCAGCTTAGCAGGGAAATTAGCAGCCTCACGACGTGTTGTGAATATAATTTCCCAGGCTCTCGTATCGCTGCTTTATGAGTGATAAGAACATAGGAAATACTTGGCCCAAGAAATTTTCAGCCACACTCACCTCTGCAGAAGAAATATTACTATGGGAAACTATTTTACTGTCATTCTTAGGGATTTGGTTTTACAGATTTCTTTAAAATTAAGCTTTTTATAGATTTACATAGTGAGAAAAGGATTGGTAGCTGATGGAGTATTAAACTACTCTTTCTTTTCTAATAGGGGCTAATTTTTAGGTTCAAGTTCCTCATGCTTATCACCTTGGCCTGCGCTGCCATGACTGTCATCTTCTTCATCGTTAGTCAGGTAAGTGGACCCTGAGATGTCAAGGTGAGAATGTCTCTGCAGAGATCCCTCTACCCTGCACAGAAATTCAATAGAGCCACTGAGGAAAGGAGGAGAGAGGCCATAATTCTGGACAGCTGGTCAAGCCATATTTTTCTGGGTCTTGATATCACCTGGCCAAATGGACTAAATTTTCTCTTTCCGTAAAACCTTGTAGGAGATAAAAGTTTCCAAATAAATTAAAAGCCTACAGCCAGATTGAAGGGCACATATTTTATTTACTTATGAGAAAAACTTATCAAGCCGTGTAGCACAACACTAACAAGCATAAATTTGATTCCATTTTTATCTAGCATTAACATAGATCCTTATACAGTCCATCAGCTATTCCTTGTAATAATTATATTGCCACTTAAATATGAAATGTAATTCAAAAGTCTCTTTGATAGCATCTTGTCTTTTCACTGGTTATTTCCAAAACTCAACATTTTGCTATACTTGAAAATCTCAATAACAATCATTTTAAAATATTCATAACTTGTTTTGAAGGGTGGGAAGTACTGTTTAAATCTAATGTATCTATTATTCATTTGAGCATCACAAAAATCCTACGAGGTAAGTAGGGCAGGAATTGTTATCCTAGCTTGCTAGACTATGATATCTAATAGCTTTGGAGAAAGTTTTCATTTATGTTGCTTCCTAGCTGGATAGGACTGTGGATGGATTACTTAACAGTTCTAAGGTTTAATTTTCTTATCTGCAAAATAAATATTACAATAGAACCACAGAAGGTTGCTGTAATGACTACAGGAAGTAATATTTACAAAGAGGGATGCATTCTGAGAAACGCATCATTATGTGAGTTCCTCATTAAGGGAACATCATAGAGTGTACTTACACAAACCTAGATGGTATAGCTTACTACATACCTAGGCCATATGGTGTAACCTATTGCTCCTAGGCTACAAACCTGTACAGCATGTTCCTCTACTGACTACTGTAGGCAATTGTAACACAATGGTAAGTATTTGTGTATTTCAAACATATCTAAACATAGAAAAATACAGTAAAAATATGATATTATAATCTTACAGGACCACTGTCATACATGTGGTCTGTTGTTGACTGAACCATCATTGTGGCAACCAAATGTAGTTAGCAGAGCACCTGGCACATTGTAAGCATGAGTAGCTGTGTTCTTATGAATAGCAAGAAGCTTGAATGTCTTTCTTGCCAAAGGACATGCAATAAGTTAGAGATCAGAACGCAGTCCTTCTGACTCTTTTGCCAGTGCTTTGTCATTTAGCCAAAATGGAGGATTTCAGTAGTGTAGATAGTGTCTTAGGACACGACTTGCTCCATTCTGCTGGGAAGTTTCCCTAGTACAGGGACTCCTAACCATTTTTGTATATGGACCCCTTTAGCAACCTGAAGAAGGCTACGAGTCTCCTCTTAGAATGGTTTCAAATAAGTAAAATAAAATACTTCGAATTTCAAGGGGAATCATCTCTATATATTATATGTAATATATATTTACAGTGAAACAGATGCTACAGGTATATTACAGATTTATATCTACAACTGTAATTGATGTGAAAATATCATGATTTCTATTGAGAAAATCACAGTAGTACTAACACTATAGGGATTTTTCTACATCCATAATTGAAGTAAACATTATCTTTCAGCTAGAGACTAGTGAAAATATATAATTTTTTCTATTCTAGTTTATGGACCCCTTGAATTCTATCCAAGGACACCCAAGAGGACCCCAAGTTTGGAGCCTCTAGAGCCCTGTTGTTGGCTCTGCCACTGGGGAGTGTTAGTGTTGCTAGCTCTGCTGAGGTTGAAATGAACGTGGAAAAAATAAACTGATACACATATATGTCTTTGTAAGTTCTGTTCACCACATCTGCTTTGACCTACAACACTGCTGTGTTTATATCAGGTTGTTTATAAAACCTTGGAAACTTCGCTTTCCACTCCATTTGCAGTAAAACTATTTCAAACTCTGAAAGAGTGTTTTATTCTACCAGCTAAGGCTCAAACATCCATATTCAAACAAGAGTGTCTGAGGCCTGACTTCTCCCGTGGCTATTCCCTCCTATGACCAAAATGCTTTTCAGTTCCTCCAGTCCCTCAGTAGTGCACAGTGGCACTTGACACAGCCAGACCTGCAAGGCTGAGAGGGCACAGAGCACTTCCTTGGAGAAACGGCATCTCAAGGAAGATGGGTTGAGGCATAAAAGGCAATTTCAAGATATGTTTTTAGGAAAGCAGAAAGAAGGACGCTTTTGATCCTAAGGCCACACACAGGTCCTTGTGCCAGTTTGGGAGGCTGACGTCATTCTCCCCACACTGCCTCATGTATATCTTGCCTCTGCGGGGAATGCCTCCCACCTGAAGTCAAGAAGGACTGATCCCTGAAGCAGCTGCATGTTGCCAGGATTTAACCTTGTACATGTTTAATTAGTGTACTTCTTATAGCAAAGGAAGCCATCTTCCAAGGAGCATAGTCCGTGGCTTTTCTTTGGAGAAAAAGATTAATATTCTATTGCCTCAGTATTTTCTAATACAGCTTCAGCCTGTGGCTGGCTTTTTATATCTGCTGCGACAGTCGGCCCGGAGTGGATTTCAACTCTAAGGGGGTAGCAATGAGGCCTTTTGAATTCCATTAGCTCCTCACATTCCTCCTGCTGGGTTTTTTTTCTAAGATTTATTTATAGACATCTAAGACGTTTTCCGGCATAACTCTCAGTGTCCCAGGTACTGTATTAATATAGTCATCAGAGGATTTATTTTTTAATGTCATTTTGGAATGTCAGAGCAATGAGCTCACCTGAAAGGAAACCTATTGGGTAACTTTTTGAAATGGATCCCAGCCTTAGGTAAAAGGAATGTATTAAAACCCCCATTATACTCTCGGGCTTGCTGTGGGAGAGCTTGCATTTAAGCCTCATGAAATATAATGCGAGGGGATCTCGCCAGGATATTGAAGCTCTGAGGCCAGGAATGAAAGGCGACGGGAAGCTGTGGAATGCAGTGACCTTGAGGCTTTGTAGCTGGGTACTGAGGTGCAGTCTTTTAATGCCTGCCATTTTAATGGCCTCAGTCATAGCAACCAAGAGATGGTACATCGCAGTCTGGTATTTCAGCCCCTTCCCTCTGGAAAAGAAAGAGGCGTTCCATTTAGAGGTGGCGGCAGTAGGGAACAGAAGTGCAGTGCAGGGGAGAAGGTCACCGACCTTCATTAAGGGGACCCCCAGGTGCCTGACATTCAGGTCAAGCCACATGCAGCAAACTCCCAGAGAGCCTGTCCCCAGCTCTTTTGTGTGTGTGTGATCACTTCATTCTGTTACTTACAGAGGAAATGTTTCCGGTAAGAGAGCCTGTGTCTGGGATTTGGAAATCTTGTTGTTAAGTGGAATGTTGGTTGTCAAGACTACTGGGTGTAAAGAGATTTGACCTTCACTTGGCTCCAGGGGTATAATTGGGTGGTTTCACACAAAAGTAAATTGTTCAAATGTAAAATCAGGAAAAACAGGGACTTTTAGAAATAAGACTTATGCAGAGGGTGAGATTTGGGGATTTTGAGGAGGGGGGAGGGTTTGGCGGAGGGGGGCTGGGGCTACCTGATTTTTCTCTCAAAGTTAAAAGGGGGGAGACTGTTACCTCCGCCTTGGCATTAGTAAGATTTTGGATTTACAAGGCCTGCTCTGTTGAGGCTGCTCATTGTGGTACATATTGGTGGGAATGTGCTCAGAGCTGAGGATGTCTTAGGCATGAATAATTGGGAGAGGAGAGGGAAAAACAAGCCAGCCACCAAAGAGCAGAGTTACACTATCTATACCGTTTATTTCTGCAGTTCAACTCTTTGCCCACAGCAGGAAACACCACATTTACAGATTGCACATTCAGTAGGGTGTGTAATTCTGCAACTCCACTCTAAACAATGTGCATGTGTCCCAGAGCAAGTACGAGACGGGAGCATGAGTCTGATATTTCCTGTCAGGCTTGGTGTGTGCCTCTCATACTATGGGCATCTCATTCCAGTGGTTCTACTGTAAGTTTTTATTTTGTTTATATATCCAGTTTATACCATATGTTACTATGTCCAGGATATATAGTGCATACTATACAGATTTGAATAGACAAATGTGTGCATGTATGTTGTATTTGTAATGTACATTATGGGCAATGAAGTGAATTTCAAAAGGAAATTTGACCTTACATAGTCGTTGCCTCATGTGCTACCTTCAGAGCATGTGCTACCTTCAGAGATCAACCCCTGTTTAAGATAGCATTCCTACCCTTGTGTTGTATAATGGTTAAGAATACCTTCTTTTGGAGTCAGAGCCATGGCTTTCTGGCTGAGCAATCTTGGGCAAGATACTCCATCTTTCTGTGCCACAGTTTACCCATGTGTTGAATGGAAATATTACCTACCTACCTCACAGCGTCATTAATAAGACTAAATAATGTGTTTCATGTAAAAGGATTTAGTATTGTATCTGGCACATCATTAGCATTGAATAAATATGCTTATCCTTGTTATGAATACAAAAGAATCTTAGCTTTGCTAATATTTGTGTTAACCACTTATTTTAAATAAGTATAACGGAAAGCAATGTTTTAAATGAATAACACTTGTCACACATTGGCATCTCCTCTCACTTTTAAATTCAATTATTATGACTTGTGGACTGCAATACTTTGTCTTTACTTTTCAATCAAGTACTTTTAAGAGTGGTTCTTTCCATCTCCACTTTCTACCTCCATGTATTTGTCCTGGAGTCCCTACACATACCTGTACTTTACCTCTGTTCATTCAACATATGTCTATCGAGCACCACTGTGTGCAAGGCACATAGGTTGGTGTTTCCTTAGATGGGTCAGTCATGTCAATCCTAGCAAGAATCAATGTCACTAAAATTGTCAATATTGAGTATTTCCAGCTTCTGTCGCAGGAATAGGGTCTCTTACTGGCCCTTCCCTGAGCTGAAGGGTCCACTGCCTTAACAGAGTAGAAGAGCTGCCATATTGCCATATTCTCTCTTGCAGCTAGGATGCGTGACAGCCTAGCCTCCCCTCCTTAATCACATACAGAAGAGTTCTCTGTGTTATGACAGCAGGTACCTGTATTTCTGGAAACTATCTTAATGCTTTCTTTTCCTTTCCATTATATGCAATAAAAATCATCATAAGATGCTCTAAGTAATATAGTTTTTATAAAGTTAGTATATTCTGCACTTAAAGAAGAGCGACATTTGGAGACATTTCTAAGAAGTCCTAAGTAGCTTGAATGCTGGTACATTGTCCTAAAATTAGTAATGGTTATGAAATCCATCTTTGCCAGAAAACACTTCTGGGCATTTTATATAAAATGCATTATTTTCCAAAATAAATAAGAGTTCATAATAGTGGTTTGTTTATGAGTCACAAAAAGTGAAGAATTATGTATCACCAAGGCCAAACTAAAACTGCTAAGTCTATAATTGGCTAATGTGGTTAACTGACACTCCTGGTCTTTCAGAAAAAAATACCTATACTTAGACCTTAATTTGGCCTAGGGCCCCAAGTGGGTTATGGATTATACAGAAGATAATGAACACAGACCCACTGTATCATAAACAGGCAATGAAATCCACCTGCTTGTTAAAGTTCTTAACATTTCAATCTAGCCTGCCATCTTACAATTTAAAAGTGATTCCTAGAGAAAGTTTATACAACGCAGCCTCATTCAGCTGTCAAAGGAATATTTACCCAATACTTTCTTCTATTTCCATTTTAAGTGTCCCGTAGTAAGCAGAAGTGGTCAAAATCATTTCATTTGTCTCAGAGCTGGCACAAATTAGTCACTTAGCTCAGCAGCTCTGTTGACAGTTCTTAGTGTAATCCATATATCTTTAGGCAGCCCTTAAGACAATTACCAAATCATTAACACAGACAAAAGCAGCTTCAAAACATCTCTTGCAGAATTTTGAAGCATATGAAAGCTTCATAATTATTTTCATGAGTGGCTTACTTCAAGGGATGTTATAGAAATAACTAATATTTACTGAGTACCTGCCAGGCAGGTTCTAGAAATATTTTTACTTAATTCTCTTCGATAACCTGCAAGCTTTTATGTTACACTTACGGACACTGAAGTTCTGAAGTCTGGAGTCTTCATCTTGTCTTACATTAAGCCGAGTGAGTGGTAGACACTGGATTTGAATTAATCTATGGTGCATCAGGCCTTAAAGACATGGCAGCAGAGAACTGGTCTCTGCCTGCAGGGAATTGACATCTAGCTGGGAAGACAGACAGCAGAGGAGGAATTATAATTGTGAATAAGTGATGGGCTCAAACACAGTTTGTTTAACTTAGGGATAGCAATGAATTGCTGTTTTTAGGAAGAGACACTCCCCAGGTGATACTAATCTGTGGGCAAGGTAAGGACCACTGACTGTGCCTGACAGAAAGCTAGAGAACCTTCAGTTGACCTTAATTTACACCGAAATGATTCAGATTAAAAGATGGAGTCTTACATGGCCCTTCATGTTTCCCACATGTAGAAGAGACTTGGTTTTCATGTTGGTTGGTTCCTTTATTGGTGTTATGTTTCTTCTGTTTCTTCTCTGTTTCAATTGAATATCACCATCCTTTCTCCGCAGGTAACGGAAGGCCATTGGAAATGGGGCGGCGTCACAGTCCAAGTGAACAGTGCCTTTTTCACAGGCATCTATGGGATGTGGAATCTGTATGTCTTTGCTCTGATGTTCTTGTATGCACCATCCCATAAAAACTATGGAGAAGACCAGTCCAATGGTGAGTTTCTGTCTCTTTAGAACAGCTTAAGTCAGGATAAATAGGCTTCTGTCTTTACAAGATTTAAATGGCTAAAGCTCTGAGATGCCCAGTGAAACTTTCCCTCCAAGTATACTCCTCACACTGGGAGACGGTGAATGAGCACCCAGGGGACTCACCCATAAGACAAAAAGCCCACACAAGCCAGATCTTTCTTTAAGTCCTCATTTTTAAATCTCTAAAATACATTGAGAATATTGCATGCTAAGTCTAAAATATGTCTTGATTTTAGAACAAGAGTCAAATTTTCTTCTTTACATTTTTGAGCACAATTGACTGTTGGAAACTATGCCATGTTTATTCTTCCCATTTGAGAAGCAGAATCCTAAGATATCAGGTGGAGGGAGTCTGGGCCCTGAGAGCTGAAGATGGAATAGGCTTCATTTTTCTTCTGCTCATTTTTCTTCAAGGTGATTTTTCGATGTATGTCTAAACCAATAGCTATTCTCCTGTCCCCAGTTCTTCCTGTCCTTTAGTGCTGGTATGTGCTGCTGCCTTTTTATATCTTATAATCACAGAACACTGAGACATGGATGCTGCAAGTAGCCTTAGAGAATCCAGTCATTTTATAGATAAAGAAACTGAGGCCTAGAGAAGGGAAGATCTTGCTCAGGGTTTCTTCACTAGCCACAGCAGACAGAAATGATTAACACTGTCTAGGCCAGTGCTGTTAACAGGTAACAGGTGGCCTGATAAACAACTGATCTAATAGATGCTTTTTCTGTTTGGTTCAGCCTTATTCCTCATTCTGTCTCTTTTTACACCTGCTTTACTCTAGCCATGCATTTGCTATTCCCCAAACATAGGAAGCCCTTTCTCAAATCAGTGCTCTAGTGCCTTTCACTCTGCCTTGCAGTGGAAACCAGGGTAGCAGCCCCCCAGAGCCAAGGGTTGGCCTCACCTTTAGGAAGTACTCAGTGAGTGTGTGTTGCATGAGTGGATTGCACATTCTGCCTCCATCTGGGACTAATGAAACTCTACTCATCTTTTGGGCCCAGTCAAAATGCAGCATCTTCTTTAACACCTATTCCCAATCACCCCAATTAGAATCCAGCAAATGACATTCAATGGAATATTGTCTCCATGAAATGTTGATAAATTTAGGTAGTCAAACATGCTTGAGAATGATTGAGTTGATCAGCACTAATAAGGCTTTTCACTGCAATACATGTTAATGCCTTTAGTACATTAATTTGTACTGTCAGTCTTTACAAAGCGGGGGGTGGTAACAGCATTTTCCAGAATTATTAGATCATTTGGCCCTGGCACCCTTTCTTTAGGCAGTGTATCTCTTGAAACTGTTGTCCTAAGGAATATGCCTAGGGGATCATGAGTCTACTTTCCACATGACATTTATTGTGTAGAGGTGGAAGATGAGTCATCTGTGCCTTTATGCTCCTGCTGGATCATCGACTCCTTCAGGGCAAGGACCAGTTCTTTAGGATACTTTTAAAATATTGAGTGAATTAATGCTTAGAAGTAAGAGTTCTAGATTAGCCTTCAGTGATCTTGTGGGGAGAAGGGAGGGGGGTAGTTACTTGAGAGATGAGATGAAGTGGAGCAGGAGAGGAAGGCATCTGTGCTGGGGGTCAAGGGACGTGGAGTGGTCTCAGCCACTGTCTGTCTTCATCCTGTATTTGCCATGTCCATGCGAGAGCATGCTGGACATGAGTTTCCCTCACCCCTTGACCTCTTTGGAGTAGACATGTTACAATCAGTTTCAAGCCCATCTCTGGTCTGAGGTGAGAATACAGAATATTTACTTACCTACCCCCTGCCCAACTTTGGTTTGACTGACTGTTTTGCTAGAAGGCTTGTGAGCTAGGCAGCCTTCTTCCTTTCCATTTCTAGTAAAAACACCACTCGGTGTTTTTACTGTACATGTGGAAAATGGGAGCATTCAGCCTGTCAAGCAGTGGGCTTCCACAACACGAGCAGCAAGCACTGCTGGGCTTGTGGACAAGAATCTTGATTTCATTCCATGGTCATCCTGTGGGGGACACTGAAGGAAACCATGTGGCCTTGTCCTTGATGTGAGTAGGTAGAGTTTCTACCTTCCAGAGAAATACCACTTAAAGCAATGGCTGGACTTCCTGGATGATGGAATGATAATACCGGTGGGAAATAATTATCAAGTACTGACTGTGTGCTACAGCACTTTATGTACATAAATTCTTTTGGTTGTTTTTACTGTGTGACTGTTGGCAAAACACTTAACCCTCTGTGCACCACTGCTCCCAAATGTAAGTGATCTCCTAAAAGTCCTTTTGAACTACGAATTTCTGTGGTTAGCCTGGGTGCAATGGCTCACACCTATAGTCCTAGCACTTTGGGAGGCCAAGGCTGGAGGATTGCTTGAGCCCAGAAGTTTGAGACCAGCCTAGGCAACATAGTGAAACCCCATCTCTACAAAAAAAAAAAAAAAAAAAAAAAAAGCCAGGCATGGTGGTGTGCACCTGTAGTCCCAGATATTCAGGAGGCTGAGGCAGAAGGATCCCTTGAGCCCAAGGAGTTTGAGGCTGCAGTAAGCCATGATTGTACCACTGTACTCTAACCTGGGTGATAGATAGAGGAGGCCCTGTCTCAAAAGAAAAGAAAAGAAAAGAAAAGAAAGTCCATGGTTGTCTTTCTTCCTATTAGCAGGGAAGGGGCAGAAGAACACTTCTTGCCACTAAGTGGCAGCCCAGAGAGTGATATCTGTCATAGGTAAGGGATTTCCAAACACTGGTGAGAACGTGTCCAACTTTAACACTGTTCAGCAAGTGGGAGCCCAGAGCTGTGGCCAACCCTGCAGAGGCAGGATGACTACAGACCACCATGTTGGACAGATTCTTGAGATTTGAGCCATATATTAGGCAGCTCCCATCAGGACTTCCCACCCTACACAGTAGCCAGTCTCCTAGGCTTGAAATGTTGCAATTGAGAAAAGCACTTCACTCTTCCTCAACAGAGTTTTTCATCAAAGACAGCTTGATCTGTAATTTCATGGAAAACTTGCAAATAATTCTCAACAAGAGGTCATATCCCCTGAATCCTCTGCTAAGTGGGTGTTTTTAAATGTTCACAGTTGTTTTGGTTTGTGACTATAACTGGGACATGCCTTTGGCATTTAGTGTCCAGATTCTAGGGGTGCTACTAAATGTTGTTCAATAGGCAAAACAAGGCTCATGTCATAAAGAAATGTCCTGCCTGTGAAATGCCAAGTAGACCCTCTGTGAAAAAACATTCTTCAGGCAATTTAGTGGGCAAACTATTTGGGGACCATATGCTGATCCTAAACACAAAAGTCATAAGATTTAGCAGTTCTCCTTTGGTAACATGATCTGTGATTTCCCAGCACCCCCGGGAACCCCTGGCAGCTTGTGGGCCCTTCCCTTTCCTGCATGGTGCTGTGACCTTGTGCATTTGGAAGGGGTCTCTTCCATGTTGGGCATTCTGCTTATTTTTCTTCTCTATTTTGTTTCACTTTTCATCTCTTCATCTGCCACCAGATCACACGATGTATCCTAGGAATTACGGAGCATTTGCCAAGATTTCGAAGTTCCTTGGAAAGACCTAGTTTGGAATATTATGTGGAAACCTCAAAGAAGAACTCTTGCAAGGAAGGATACATGTGTCTTTACATTCTCTGAGTCTCTGGATGGCATTCTCTCTCCACCTCCAGCATTCCCATGCTCCTTTTCCATTCTCATGGGAAGTCTTTAAGTTGGCTTTGGCCTTTCCCTCCCTATTTCTTTCTCTCCTTTGCTTTGAAGCTTCAGAGCTAGGAATTCAGATATCTTGCTACAGAGAGTGAATCCCAGGTGTGTGGGGCTTCAGCCTTTGTTAGATGGATCCTGGACGGAGCACAGACAAGCAGTTTCTGATGCCAAAGGCAATAAGAAAAGGGAAAGAATCTTTGATGGAGGTTGTTTGGTATGTGAGTTGGAGGGACATGCCAAGTGTCAGGAGGAAGTAGAAGTGGGTAGGAAGGAAATGGAATCATTGAGCATTTCACGATAGACTTTTTCTTCTCTCTTTTGGTCATAGAATGGACAGAGAAGAACAAAGTGGGCCACAGGTTCAAGACAAGGTCACTTTCCAAAGAGCATTTTCTCATATATTTCTGTTTCTCTTTCATAGTATGGATCAGAAAGTGACCCTTTACAAATGAACCACGGAGCACCTCAGTACTTAGCTCATACCTCATACCTTAGTTCCTTAGTACTTAGCCTTGTGCCATCTTGAATGAGATGGAGTGAAGTGAAGCTCGAAGGAGTGACAGAGACATAGTCCTTGCTCTCAAGGGGTCTTTAGCCTGGTCTGGGGGACAAGATTTCCTCATCTACCTCTTGAAAGGTGGCAGGACAACTCCACACTGGAGTGTTCTCACCAGCAGATAGGTGCTGCGGGAGTGTGGCGCCACATTCTTTATAGCCACAGGCTTTCGTGGACTTCCCCTGGGTTCCTTCCTATTGGCTGGTGGACCATAGCGGCAGTGAATGTGCAAACTCATTCACATTAATCATTTTATTTTTATGTACATAGAATTATATGTGTAATCATTTTATGCATATGTGTCTGAGTGTACACACACACACGTGCACATATAGATTTTTAAATTTAGCAAAGATATTTTAGTTACCTTTCCTTCAAGGAACACTTATATTTTCTGCCCTGCTGCTGCTGCTGCTGCTGTTGCTGTTGCTGCTGCTGCCTTTTCATGACAGTTGTTCTTTTTACCTGTTGCCATAACCAATTTGTGAATCATTCTGGATGTCTTCCCAGGCAGATATGAATTGCAGCAGGCTAAAGTGAATCCTCTTCTCAGAGCAAAAATACCACCTCCCGGGGCTCCAGCAGCAAAGCCCTGCACACATGAAAAACTGTGCAAACCCACTCAACCACAATTCAGGTGGGAATAAGAAGTTGGAGCTGCTTATGAAGTCAGACAATTCTTGATAATAGCTTTGATTTTTGTGTTCTTTTGATTATAAAATTCTTGTCAGAATGTTTTAAAAAAAGAAGTGAGACACAGAATTCCCAACTAGATGACTGTGGCAGAGGGAACACAAGATGCCCTCACTGCCACCATTCCCTCCTATTTCTGTTCACGCTAAGCATTTTCTGTCTAATGCACCCACTCTGCGGGGAGCAAAAGCGGCAACACTGGTTCCGCGTCTTGGCAGCTAGCTACAGTGTGATGTCAGTTTTACTCCTGGAGGTTTCTGAGGTCTCCTGCCCCTTGTTTCATAGGAAAGATGGCTTTGGCTTTGTTGCCTCGGTAAAGCGTTGGATTAAGTCCTGAGGCCCTGACATTGGTTGCCCCCTTTTATTGACGCCATCTCCCTGATTGTACATTAGATGATCTGCCCATGGCCAGCTGAGCTTCTTGATGTCTGTGAGCACTGATGGGATTGGTCTTGTCACACGGGCTGGACCCAGACCCTAAAGCAGGTCTTAAAAGCGTTTTCCCATTCCCCAGTGAAGGTGGGAACCAACTGATGGACCGTCACCAGCCTGGCACCCCTTGCTCAGCTGTTTGTAATCAGGTGTCTTCTGCCCCCTGCCTCTCCCAGGGCTATTGCTGTGCCAGTGACCTGACCTTTCCTGGCCCAGTCAATTAAAATCATTTTTTCTGAGTCTTAGAATTCTTGTCACCCCACCATGATAGGGACATCTCAGTTACCTTCTTGGGAAGAACCTTCGGCTTCCTAAATGTTTGCTAGAGTTGCTATACGAATACTACAGACAGGGTGTCCTAAACAACAGAAGCTTGTTTTCTCACAGTCTGATATTAAGGTATCACCAACGTGGGTTTCTTCCGAGACCTCTCTGTCTGGCTTGTAGATGGATACTTTCTCCCTGTGTCTTCACGTGGTCTTCCCTTTGTGTATATCTATATTCTAATCTCCTTTTCTTTCAAAGGACACCAGTCTGTTGGAGTAGGGCCCATCCCCAATTGACCTCATTGTTAACTTAATTACTTCTTTAAGAAGGCCCTATCTCTAAACACAGTCACATTCTGAGGTTCTAGGGGTTAGAACTTCAATATATGAATTTGAGAGTTTGGGGGAGATACAATTCAGCCTGTAACACCAAGATTTTACCCCCAAACTAATAAGTTCTATTGTGTTCTTCTCCCACTTGCAGTTACTGCCTGGCAGTAAGTGTCAGGAGGTGCTTTGGAGGTCCATGGGCAATGGCTCGCTCCAAGCCTGGAATAAATGACCTCTGGGGTTGACAGGCACCGAGAGACAACTGGACCCAGGGCTCTTAACCCTGTCCACCAAAGCCACTCTGCCCCATCTCCCAGAAGGGATCCTCAAAGCTGAGCTATCCCAAGGCACACTTGTTTTCTAACTGAGGGTGTTTTCCTAAATGCCAGTGGGGAAGAACACCAGTGCCGATATGCTAGGCTAGACCCAGCCATGCAGAGTACAGAGGAACTGCCCTTGCCTGCACCAGGCAAATCTTTCATGGGTGTTTTGAGCACTTACTATATACCACATACTGTCCTGGGTATTTACTTTCTTTGGAAAAAAAAAAAAGGCCAGGTGCGGTGGCTCACGCCTGTAATCCCAGCACTTTGGGAGTCCAAGGCAGGTGGATCACAAGGTCAGGAGATCGAGACCATCCTGGCTAATGCGGTGAAACCCTGTCTCTACTTAAAAACACACACACACACACACACACACAAAATTAGCTGGGCATGGTGGCATGCGCCTGTAGTCCCAGCTGCTCAGGAAACTGAGGCAGGAGAATCTCTTTGAACCCTGGAGGCGGAGGTTGCAGTGCTGAGATCGCTCCACTCCACTCCAGCCTGGGTGACAGAGCAAGACTCCATCTAAAAAAAAAAAAAAAAAAAAAAAGAAGAAGAAACCTACCATTCACCATTTTATTATTATTTTTTCTTTTGGTTAAGATCTTTCTATGTTGCCCAGGCTGGTCTCCAGCTCCTGGGCTCAAGTGGTCCTCCTGCCTCTGTCTCCCAAAGTGCTGGGATTACAGATGTAAGCCACTGCACCAGCGACACTATTTTGTTCTTTAACATAACAATCATATTAACACCAAAAATGTAAGGCAGACATATTCTTAAGCAGTTCTTTGCATGAAAATAATTTGGCTTTAAAATACTACACTTTTCTGTTTTTCTCATTCTGCTGTGAACCAGAGACTTCGTTACAAAAAGTTATCATTTGAACTTAGCTTTGAAGGTGAATAGGAGAGAGGTTGGTGTGGGCCTAGGGAAAATTCTACAAAAAAGGATAGGTCATGAATGTTCTGGAAAGAACATAAGCTTTGGAGGTAGACACAGATGGTTTGGAATCTTGGCTCCGGCACACATTGTGTATGACCTTGAGAACAAATATGAACTCATGGTATGGGAGCTCCCTGGCTTTCACACTTGGGCAGTGGGGTGTTAATTTGCATTGGTAGTGGTGAGGATGGAAGTACGTAGGCCTTATTAATATTAGAAGACCTCTAGTGGTACCTCCGATCTCTCCCGGAATCTGTAATACATCCTCAGAATGAGAGTAGCTGTTGTCATTTTTATTGAAGTGGGCACAGATACACAAACAATTGTCATTAAAATGCTGCCGGTCCTAAGAAGCTGTCTCCAGTGCATATGGCTTTCTTCATCCTCATTAGGCATTCCAGGCAGTTACAACCAAGCAGCCGCTTACACACCTGTGGATGTGACTCCACACATATGGATGCATTGCCGTAGTCCTTTGGGATGAAATCTGTGCCAGAGATTGGTCTCATTTCACAAGGTTAGGAAGAAATAGACCGTCATCTAATTGTTAATGAGCTGTGATGAATTTGACATCATAACCAGGGAGAGAAATTTACTGCAAACTAAAGCATTCTTTTCTTTTTTCTTTCTCACTCTTTTTCACCCCAAGACACATATCACATTTTCAGAAGGGTTTTTTCTTGTCTGAGATGGGAAGAGACTTTTGAGCATGTTTGTGCACTGAACAGCAGGAGCCAAGAGAGGGGGAAACTAACAGATGGAGCAAGACCTTGGCAGAAGTAGGAGGTGATGGAATTAGGAGGCAAGTGGAGGGATCTCCACTCGTGCTATGTTACTGCCACGTTCACACACCCATTCCCCAAGGGGGAACAGTTGGCCTTCAAGGTACAATAAAATCACATGTGAAACATAGATTTTGGTGCATGGAGTCCCATTATCTGGGTCCTCATCCAGCACAGTAGAGAAATTAATTATGCCACAGTAGCTTCACATCGTACAAGGAAATACAGGGCATGCTAAACCCCTAACAGTGCATATGGCCAATACTCATAAATTTATAACAGCTCTCCTGTCAGTGCACTGATTTATATGCTATAAATTTATCAGATACAAAAGCAAAGTAAATATGCTAAACAATTTATTCAAATTATTTTATGTGTAGTTTTTTGTTTTGTTTAGTTTTTGAGACACTCTCTCACCCAGGCTGGAGTGCAAGGGCACGATCTTGACTTAATGCAACCTCCGCCTTCCGGGTTCAAACCATTCTTCTGCCTGAGCCTACTGAGTAGCTGGGACTTACAGGCATGCGCCACCACACCCGGTTAATTTTTTTAATTTTAGTAGAGACAGGGTTTTGCCATGTTGACCAGGCTGGTTCAAACTCCTGACCTCAAGTGATCCGCCGCCGTCAGCCTCCCAAAGTGCCGGGATTACAGATGTGAGCCACCGCACCCGGCTGTATGCGGATATTTTTAGCTGTAATGCTGTGTGTGTGGACTTCATACCTCACTGGCAGTCTCACTGGCTGCTGGAAACTTGAATATTTAAGAAGAGGCAGCAGAACCCAAAAGTTGAGAGCCTGCATCCTGGCACCTATTTATTTGAATCCCACACACTATTTAGCAGCTTGGGCCTTGGGCAAGTTACTTAGCCTCTCTGTGCCTCAGTTTCTTCATCGGCAGAATGGGAGTGATGATAATAGTGCCTCTGAGGACTGCTATGAGAATTAAGTGCATTAATATTTGTACAGTATTTAGAACTGTGTCAGGCACGTGTTAAGCATTATGACATAGGTATCCATTTAAATAAAGAAGCCAAGGCAATTTTGGCTGTTTTTTCAAGTGATCTGTAGGATCATATGCATATTCTAAGATCTGCTAATTGGAGTCATATTTTAAGTTTAAAGAATTAACATCTTTGGTTCAAAGCCTGAGTAGAATTACTCTCTAGCATCTATTTCTAAGAAGTCCTCAGGGAAAGGGATTCCTTAGGTAAACGGTTATGAGTGCTAATGGGTCCACTGGGGTGGTCAGGACTCTTTGAAATTTTGATGACTCACACAGACATGCAGATCATGAAACTGGCTTTGAAGTTCTGATGGCTAGCCCAGATATGCAAATCCAGAAATAGCTTTGACTGAGAAATGTGAAGCTTAGACTGCTTGTGCTTGACTGAGGTGTGGACTAGATGTTGCAGCAGTGAGAATACAAGTTATTGGCCTGGGAGTAGTTGCTCACTGTACAAGTGGTGGTTCAGCTTGGCCCAAAGTAGCCCAGCTAAAGCCTCTCACCAGCCTTACTTGGCATCTATGCTCTGGCTTGAGGGCAGATGAATGTGGATGTGCTGGAGGCTGGACTGATGCCCCTTTAATGCCTTCTCTACCCATAGTCCTGTGGATTAGACCCTTGCCAAAACAGCCCCAAATGTCTTCAGCAGTCCTCTGCAGCAGCCAATGAGTCTGCTTCTGAGGCCAGGGAATCTCCTGGGTAGAGAGCTTACAGGGTGGCATTTAATAATAGGACTGATTTTGCTGTGCAGCCACAGAGAAATGGGTCTACGATGAGAAACTAATACTGCGTGGCACACGTGAAGGGAACCAGCCAAGCAGCCTGCTGGGCCAGTGGGTGGGAGTGACATCTGGGGTTCTAAGGCCACCAGATTCATTGATGCCTAGCAGTTCTTAAATTAGTGATAAGATTACTAGTCCTAAGGGTAGGGCCAAGGCTGCTTCTAAGTTATGGTATGGCATTTCAATGGAAAACAGCATTTAGTTACTTAATTCTATGCTTTAAATTAGAAAAACTTCAGTTCCAGAAAACTTATCATATGATATGTGCACAATATAAAAATCACTGACACAAGTTTAACTTTCTATTCCCCAGCACCCCTCTCCACAAACATGTGTGCACACGTGCACCCCCACACACAGTCAGACTGAGCGTGGTTGCGTTTTCCATTTTCCCTTTGTTGTTTATACATTCACTTGTCTTATGGCAGGTAGCAGAGTTTTCGAGGTTTAACTTAGAGAAAATTTTTTTCTCCTACTAATTTAGAAAAGTTCAAATTATTCCATTTTAGCAGAACACTGTCCACTGATAATGAGTTCAGAACACTTAGGACAATCCTGAGGGCAGAAGGAAATGCACAGCACGTTTCTGGCACTTCTTTTTTCCTGGAGAATAAAGCCCCTCATTGTTCCTAGATGTGTTAGACATGGCTCCTTCCCCAATCTATGGATAGATATAAGCAGGTCTTATTTGCTTTCACGTGACATAGATGCTTTGTAGTTTATTTTTTTATTTTTTTAGAGTCAAAGTCTTACTCTGTCACCCAGGCTGGAGTGAGTGGTGCAATCATAGCTCACTGCAGCCTAGAATTCCTGTGCTCCAGTGATCCTCCTGCCTCAGCCTCCTGAGTAGCTGAGGTTACAAGTGTGAGTTACTGCACGCAGGTAATTAAAACAAATTTTTTTTTTAGAGTCAGGGTCTCGCTCTGTTGCCAAGGCTGATCTTAAACTCCTGGCCACAAGCAGTCCTCCTACCCCTGCTTCTCGAGTAGCTGAGATTGCAGGCCTGAGCCACTGCACCTGGCTCCTATTTTGTAAATTATTCATAGCAAATGTGTTGGTGCCTGACTGACCCATCCGTTGGGAGGGGTGTTATGCTGGTTTAGCCCATCACATTGGTCTTGGCATCAGATGTTCCTTTGCCAGCTCTCTTGTGGGCCTGCTCCTCCACCCAGGACAATTACCTTGCCTACCTCCCAGCTTCCTCATCTGTAAGGCTGGCACGTTCATACTGCCTACTTCAGAGGGCTTCTGCGAGGATTAAAGAAGATCACTTACAAAGTGATTAGAATAGCGTCAGGCACAAAGTAAATGCTCATTAAATGTTAATGATTACTATGAATAATATCAGCAGTGAGCTGACTCACGTATCTTAATGACTGTCATCTAGGAGCCAAAAATGGTATTTTAAAAAGTTCTGCAAAGTCCAAGTGAACAGGTTTGGAGTTAGTCCTTGTTCTGAATGTTGTGTGCCCTAGGTGTCTCTGTGTGCTCAGAATGTCAAAGAGGGCTAGCATCAGGGCAGTTGTCCATGAGATGAACCCCAGCTTGCTTCTCCTTCCTCCTTGAATGCATCTAACACCGAAAACCCTGTTTCAGGCGATCTGGGTGTCCATAGTGGGGAAGAACTCCAGCTCACCACCACTATCACCCATGTGGACGGACCCACTGAGATCTACAAGTTGACCCGCAAGGAGGCCCAGGAGTAGGAGGCTGCAGCGCCCGGCTGGGACGGTCTCTCCATACCCCAGCCCCTCTAACTAGAGTGGGGAGCATGCCAGAGAGAGCTCAATGTACAAATGAATGCCTCATGGCTCTTAGCTGTGGTTTCTTGGACCAGCGGCATGGACATTTGTCAGTTTGCCTTCTGACGGTAGCTTTTGGAGGAAGATTCCTGCAGCCACTAATGCATTGTGTATGATAACAAAAACTCTGGTATGACACATTTTCTGTGATCATTGTTAATTAGTGACATAGTAACATCTGTAGCAGCTGGTTAGTAAACCTCATGTGGGGGTGGGGTGGGGGTGTATTCCTTGGGGGATGGTTTGGGCCGAATGGGGAGTGGAATATTTGACATTTTTCCTGTTTTAAATTCTAGGATAGATTTTAACATCCTTTGCGGTCCCAGTCCAAGGTAGGCTGGTGTCATAGTCTTCTCACTCCTAATCCATGACCACTGTTTTTTTCCTATTTATATCACCAGGTAGCCCACTGAGTTAATATTTAAGTTGTCAATAGATAAGTGTCCCTGTTTTGTGGCATAATATAACTGAATTTCATGAGAAGATTTATTCCACCAGGGGTATTTCAGCTTTGAAACCAAATCTGTGTATCTAATACTAACCAATCTGTTGGATGTGGGTTTTAAAAAATGTTTGCTAAACTACCCAAGTAAGATTTACTGTATTAAATGGCCTTCGGGTCTGAAAAGCTTTTTTAACTTCTTGCTTAAAATGCGTTTTATTTTGATAAGATACTTCAAATAGCCTCCAAAAGTGTAGATCCAATCATTTAAATAAACCTGTATGTATATGCATATGTGTACATGCATATCCCCTCCTGCTAAAACTCATACACATGCGTGCAGATTATTTTCCAGGTTGAACCTAGAGGTGGGGAGTTGATGGGGGAAATAGGTTTCTGAAAAACTGATATACTTTATCATCAAATCAAAGTGTTTGGGGATAATACCTATTCCTGGAGAAAGAGTGACATTTTCTGTCCTGTGTGGTTAGCCTCCCTAGGCTGGCAAGGGATGCTCATATGCGTGACAACAAAGGTGGGGAGAACATCACGTGCTTTAGAAGCAGAGCCGTCCTCTGCCCTATTCAGACTTTCCCCAATAGCCTTTTTCGTTGTATTTTAACACTTGCACTGGAGATAGCCGAGAGAAGGAACACTGTTTCCTGTTGAAGGTCTGTGATTTACATCTGACCTGGCTATTTCCTCACTTATATCGATAAACTTTAACTGCTTACTGGGGTCACAGTGAAAATTTCAATCAGTTCATATATATGGAAGTGTTTTATGAACAGCAAGCCACATAAATGTGTTTTTCCTGGAGTCTAAAACCAGTTTCATGAGTAACTTGTTTTTCAGACACTGAGGTCTGGAGGTCTGGGGCACAGTCCATGTAATTCACCACTCAGCACCCCTAGCCTGCCTTTTCCTGACTTTGGCTTAAAGCGTGGTAAGCAGTGACAGTAGAAAATGCTTTGACTTTGGCTATTCTCTCTAGGCCTTTTCCTAACCTGGTGGACATTGGGATGGTGTACGATCCTGTGCACTCAATATCCACTTACCAATCAACCACTGCAGTGCCAGGAATCAAAGGGAGCCGTGCCTCCCAGTCCAGCAGGGAACTCCTGTCCCAGAAGATAGAGGGAACGTTTCTCTATCCCCTGGGTTAGGAAAAGGACTTTAGATAGACCTTAAAGGAGAAAGATTTTACCAGAGCCAACGGGCAAAGGGATCAGCAGTACAAAAATCATAGAAGAAAGATGCAAAGCATGGACAATGTTTGGATAAGGTCGGCGATCAGGCCTGGCTGGCACATAGGAATGGAAATAGCAGATGATGAGCCCTGTGCACCTGTGAGCCAGATGGAGAAGGGTTTTTAATGCTGTGGTAAGAGTTACAAGACTTAGCCTCAGATATTAGGCAGAAAAGTGATACGATCAGAATGATCACTGGAGCCTGGAGAGGCTGGACAAGCCCAGAAAAGAGATCACAGAGACTGGAACCAGGACAGTAGCAGAGGACTTGGAGGAGAGGATTATTTTGGAGATAAAATGCACAAGGTTTGAATGTTCTGGATGTGGGTTGCACAGAAAGATCGATCAGAGTCAAATTTCAAGCCCTCGCTGGGGAAGGGAATGGGTGGGGTTTCGGACAGAGAGAGAGATTCTTGGATGACAAATGTCAGTGGATTCACTACTTAAAGTTTTCTAAGTAGGAGCCAACTCTAGCAAGCTTAGCTAAGAGACAGACTGTACTAGAACTTTCCTAGCATATATGAGAGATCCATGGAAGAGTTGAATTAACCAGGAAGATGGGAAGTGGGGCAGCTCTAAGGGCCCCTAGCACCAGGAATCCATGCACCTTTCTCTCAGAGCAGTACCATTCACTACTGAGTCTTTATCCAGTTCTTGTTTCTCTCACTTAAAAACAGGAGTCTTAGGCAGGTGGCTGTCCCTGTGCCAGTCACCTGTGACCAGGAAGTCAGGTCAAATGGCTGCTTGGGGCCTACCTTATAGATCGGTGTCCATCTCCAAAGAATGGAGAATCCATTTTGAATTGGGCAAACAATCAGAAAAGATCTAGCACAGTGGGCAAGATGATGAGTTTGGGTTTGCCTGGGCTAGGTTTTAAAAGCCATCTCTTTGAGGAAATGAGCTAACAATTAGAACTGAGGGGTCCAGCAGATTGGGCAGCCACCACCATTGAGAGGAAGAAGGACAACTGGGCAGAGCAGTAAAACATCAAGCAGATGACCACCAAGAGTGGTGAGCCAGACATGGCCATATTCTATAGGAAAGGGGAAGAAGATAAGGTGGATAAATCAGAGAAATGTGGGGTTTCAAAGAAAGAACCAGATTCATAAGGAAAAAAGACGAAAGAAACAACGTTAGATGTCCTCAGAGGTTCAGCAGCATTTAAGGATCCAAGTCTCTTGGATTTGGTGGTTTGGATGTGTGTAACCTTCTTAAGTGGCAAGGGCAGAAGGTAGACAGAGAAGTGTAGCAGAGTCAGTGGGCAATTGTGGTGGGAAGGAAGGAGGTAAAATGGTTGCTCCGAGAAGAGCCAGAGTAAAATGGAGACTTGTGTTTTTTAGTCCGCAGGGAAGTGAACTAAGTTTGTAAACCTGAAGGGTGAGATCCAGCCATGAAGGAAAGATGTTGAGGAGCTAATGTAAGCCACAAGCCAAATCAGAGTTTTGGGACCAAGAGTACAAGTTGATGAGTTAGCATCGAAGGAGTGAAAAGACACTTTCATCCTGAGACAGGAGAGAAATAACAAATAGACAGTGGAGGAGAAACTTGAGGTCCAGAGGAGAGGGGTTGCAGTATGTCCCCTGGCTGTTCTGCCTTCTCCACCGATGTGTAGTGGGTGTTGGAGTTTCACTAAAGAAGTCTCCATTTCAAGAATGCAGGTTGGATGCAACCCATTTCAATCAGTGGAAAGAGAAGTGGAAACTCAAGAGGTGAGAAAATGCTTTTAGTAAGGACCATCAACCTAGAGAAAAAATTTATTATTGGCCATGTATACCAGTTTTATACATTGTCATAATAAACATTTTTCAAGCAGCTTTAAAGGATATTATAGGAAAAAAGTATATAATTTTACAGATGTCTGTTTTTAAAAAATAAGAAAGTTTACCAATACTTACAACAAACAAATAAAATGCAATTGCTATATCAAACTGAAAACAAAATCAGTTTTATGTTGGTTATCCCAGTGGATTTTCACTATGTATTGTTCCTACAAGAAAATGTCCATAGTAATGAAATAAGTGATTCCACGTGTGACTGCCCAAGGGTGGTTTTAACCATTTCTCAGAACTGAGATAAAGCTCTAACAATTCTGATGCCTGAGTTCAGCCTATAATCTCATAGCTGATCGGGCCCTTGGAACTCATACCCCTGGGGTCCAAGCAGGTAACTTTGAGAAGTTCAAGAGAAATGTCAGGGGAGGTTGGAGGACCTCCCAGTGTTCACATGGTAGTGGCCACACCCTGGTCTTGGGTCTCATCCTCACCTTGTCAGTTCTAGAAACTATATTTTATCTACTCTTTCAAATTGAATCAGGCTTCCAAAGGCTGAATGGTAACATTGGGGAATCTATAAACTAGAATTTCTGTGTGATCTTTTACAGTAAAGAATGCATATATCTTATGGCTCCATCATCGTAGACTTCCTTCCTTCCTATTTTCAGGTAACCATGGAGGCTAAAAGAGGAAATAGAAGGTTTTTGGTGGACAAGGAATAAATTCACAGAGAAACTGCTGTCCTTGGAAGAGATAATGGCCTAACCCTGTGCCTCCAAAGAAAATATACACAGCTCCCTAAAAAGTGCCTAGCATAGTGTGGGAATTCAATCAGGAAGAGTCGGTGAGAGAGTGAACACACTTGACTAATCCCCATCTCTCTCTGCTGCGTGACCCTGAGTTATTTGGGACCCATCTTCTTGATTCAAGCTGACTCATCAGGATGTCAGTGCAGTTGGTCAGGCTCAATTTGCTGGTGTGTCCAGACATTCATGAGCCTGTACTTTGTCTTCTGTATTTCAAGGTCCTTTTTATCCTGTAGTGCTCCGGGAACCATCTGACTTCTGCAGGCTGTCTCTCCATCATGTTTTGATACGTGATTGATTTTGTTGCATGGGGATAACTTGGTTTCTGAGATGACATTAGCAGCCCCTTTTCTGCTGACATCGGGGGGCCTTCTAAGCATGTCTTGAAGTGTTCAGAGCTTCCTGTCTCCTGTGACAACACACTGATCTCTCAGGGAACAATGCCCTTCACTATTGAGACCAGACCTTTCCTTTGTGACTTTTCCTTATTTGGATTGATGGAACCCCTTTTTGTAGGGCCTGCCCCACTCAAGTCTTCCCTACCCCAGGCTCAGCATCTCAGCTCCTGAACCCCTCCTCCAGACATGGTTTCTAGAAAGTTCTCCCATTACTACTTACCTGTTAACTGCATCCTAGCTTCTCAGGGTTCCAAAATATGATGTTCAGATGGCAGGACTGCTCCAGCTGGCACAGATTAGTGTGAAAATGTCCCTTCCTGTACTAGGGCTTGATGTCCTAGGAAAATGGTACAGGATTTTTAAAAATACTCACTTCTTACTTTTTTGCTTCTCATGACCAAGCAACCACTAAATACTTAGTTTTAAAAATTTGTATTACCAATACCTTCTCTGTATTCAGCAATATTTTTGACTTAATGGTAGAACTTTACATATATCCCTGTTATGTATATTTTTTCCCATACACCAGTTAGGTTAAGGGACATCTTTAGCTTTTAAAAAAGTACAGTTCGAAATATAAAGTAAAAGCAGTTAAGTCTTTTCCAAGTACAAAGTGAATTGGTTCCAATTGCTAGAGAATTTACAAATATATATTCACCTGAGGCCAGAAAAAGCTCCTTTGGCCTAGGCCTCTCTCCTTTATCAAGCTCTCTCCATCACGAGTGTGCACATGTGCGCGCGCGCACACACACACACACACACACACAGAACTTAACAGCAGTGATGTGTGTTGTAATATGCAACTTTGTAAGTTACATATCACTCCCCAATACCACCTTCTCAGTCACGGAGTAGAGATCTTACTTCACAAGAAGTGAGACTCAGAGAGGTGAAGTGACCTGTGCAAGGTCACCTATTACAGTGCCAGAGTTGGAACTAAAGGAACTTCAGTCTGTGAACTTCAGTGTCTTTCCAGTAGCATATTTGCAGCAGAAGAGTCAAGAATGTTGTGAGCTGCAACTCTCACTAGAACCAAATGACCTTATTGGGAGATGTTAGTCCAGCCTTAAAAACAAGCTCTTCACCTCCATGAATGGCAAGTGTCTGCCCTCTTCAGGCCAAATCGAGAATGACATCTATAACTGAGCAAATCCTCAGAACCCAAGTCAGACCTTGGATTATTGCTTTTCAGTAAGTTCTGGTCCTGGCTGTGTCTCTAACTCTTGCTGTGGGACCCTCAGGGAAGCTACCCACCCCCTTCACCCCACCTGAATGAGATGATTTCTGAAGTCCTCAGCAGCCCTGATTCTAAGCCTCATAAGGAAGAGTAGGTGTTAATGGCATCCTAGGGCAATGGTAGGCGCCTGATGCAGATCTGCTGTGAGCCATGTGCTGGCATCACAGGGGTGGTTTATTAATTTCATTTATCATCTGGACAGCCCCTTCTTATAACGTACATCCTTGCCTCTTCTGAGGCTCTAAGATCCCCAAGGTGGCTCCTGTATCCAGAAACCCCTTGGCCTTCCCTCCCAGTTAAGCAAGATCTCTCTTCAACTCAGGGATGCTGAGAGATTGAAAGTGAACTACACACAGGAACAGCCAAGATAGGAGTTATTTCTATAGCACCATGCTTGGCTGATGTTCTTTACACGGAGTGGGCAGGATTTTTAAAACAGCGTTTGTGCCTTTTAGCCTGGGCTCCTCCTAAAAGCAGACTCTGGGACAAGGATTTGTGTGCAAGTAGCTGGCTTGAAAGGTGATTCCAGGAAGCACTGAGGTGGCATGGAGAAGCAAGGCTGAGAAGAAGGGAATGCAAAGAACAGCCACCAAGGTGCACGGCCAGGGCCTCTGTCAAGCTGTGAGGAACATGCTGCAGAGTTGTCCCCTGGGGCTGAGGAAGCTGTGAGAGAGAGCCACTCCACTCCCATCCTTTGTAGGTAGAGGGCCACCGCCAGGCTCTTAGCTACTTGGAACTAGGGCCAGCTTGAGGAATATGGGTGAGGCACCCATGGCCTCTGCTACATTGTTTTTAATCCAGTCTCAAAAACAAAATGGTCCTATCACAGAAACTCTGCAAAAATACATGAAAGAGTAAAGAAAAACATGTAAACATTTTACAATTACTCTATCCAAAGATAAATACTGTTAAAATGTCAGTATGTTCTTACACAAGTTTTTCCATGCATATATGTGTAGATTTATATACATTAAGATTGTATTATACATAGAAAATAAATTTCTGGACAGTTATATAACCTGCCCTTTTCAAAATATATCTAGGAAATCTTTCTATGTTATTGTGTTGTCTTCTATAACATGATTTTCATGACTTTACTATTATAGTCTCTAAAAAGGATGGTTCATAATTTTTACTGGACATTTCAGTGGTTTGCAAAGTTTGACTATTACAATATATGTTGAAATGAGCATCCTTGGATATAAATCTTTTTTGTACATCACTGATTGTTGCCTTAGTATCAATTCCTAAGAACTACTGGGTTAAAGATCAATTATTCATTCAATAAGCATATGTTGAACATCTAATATTGGGCCAGGTGCTTTTTTTTTTTTTTTTTTTTTTTTTTTGAGACAGAGTCTTGCTCGTCACCCAGGCTGGAATGCAGTGGCGTGATCTCGGCTCACTACAATCTCCACCTCCTGGGTTCAAAGTGATTCTCCTGCCTTAGCCTCCTGAGTAGCCTGGGATTACAGGCATCTGCCACCACGCCCAGCTAATTTTTTGTATTTTTAGTAGAGATGGGGTTTCACCATGTTGGCCAGGCTGGTCTCGAACTCCTGACCTTGTGATTTGCCCGTCTTGGCTTCCCAAAGTGTTGGGATTACAGGCGTGAGCCACCACAACCAGCCGGGCCAGGTGCTATTGTAAGCATTTGGGGCAGATCAGTAAACAATATCCCTATCATTGTGAAGTATATTGGTGTGGTAAAGGAAGGCGGGAGGGAGGAGGCAATAGATAGTAAGGTGATAGCGATGAAGGCTACACAGAAAAGCATTTATCATGGACACCTGTAAGCATACAGAGCCCTCCAGAACTGTGCCAACAGCAGAATGAGAGAGGCTGTGGCCCGCATCCTCACTGACACTACGTAGTTTTGAAATTTGCAACTTCAAGATGCAGAAATTGAATTTTGCATTTACTTCATTACCAGTAACACTGAGCATGTTTCATGTTCCTATGACTTGATATTTTTAGGTTGTCAGTTCAGATTCTTTATCCATTTTCTTGAGAGTCTGATTTAGTATATTTATCTTTTGTCTGTTACACGGGTAGCTCAACTTTTCTCCATTTGTCACTAGCTTTTATTTTGATTTGGATGTTTACCAGGATATAGAGCTTTTTTCTATGTAGTCAACCTGTACATTTTTTCTTTTATAGTTTCTAGTTTTGCTTTCATGCTTAAAGAAATATCCCCTAAGATAATAGGTCACCCACATTTTTTCTAGTTTTAAAAATTCTGTTTTTTTTTTCTCATCAATTCATATAGAATTTGTTTCCCAGCTGGAAGACCAATTAAATATTTTTTCCAGACAGTTATCCTAGCATGATTTTTTGGATCATAATTGGGAAGGACAGGATCTAGCAAGCTGGGGAGATCATGTCATTGGGTTACCCCCGGAGCAGTGGTGAGGCTTGGGTGTCAGAGCCATCCCATCCACAAGTGGTGCCAGAAGGCACCAACAAGACCCAGAAGCTCCCCGGGAACTCACCTCCGACTGCCAGTGAGGGTCCTGTCTGTGACAAAGAAATGTGCCATCGGGGGAAGATAAGCGTCCACTGCAGCACAGAGGAAACACGAGAGCTGCAGGCACGGGCTCAGTGAGCCGAGGAAGTCAGTGGCAGTGGCCGCCTGGCCAGGGTCCCTGGAGCTCCCAGGAAGCTGCCCTCCAAAGCAGTCTGCTCCTCTGTGCCACAGTGCAGAGGAAAGGTGTCTGGGGCCAGAAGCTGATGGCCGTATTGACTGGATGACAAACAGGGACCACACGAGCCTCCTGTTGGCAAAAGAGAACATGTGTGATGAGGCTGTATAATGGACAGCAGAAGGCCTTGGCTAGGGCTCTAACGTTACCCCTAATTGCTGTGTGTTCTTGGCCAAGCTATAGTACCTCTCTGGGTCTAGTTATCAAATTACATGTTGTTTAAAAAATTATACTAGGTTTAGCAGCATTCATTGGTTGGGAAGAATACTGTATAAGGATCCACTCTAGATGTCATGGTTTGCAGTACAAGCTGCAATTGTACAGATAAAGTTTGGGAGTGTGTACAGTATACTAGCTTGATGCAGAGGAGTGAGTGTGGGGGCAGGGGGAAATATGATTAGAGAAAACGGAGAAAGGAGGAAAAGCAGGGATAGAGGGAGGGAGGGAGGAAGGAAATTGAAAGTAAGTTGAGAAGAAATGGAACCAAGATTTTTTGTGAGTTGAATGCCTGACAATCATTCTAACCTGCACAAAGGTGAGTGGGAGGGGTCGGGGCCAGTCGTACAGGTTCATGGCAACCTTTTATTTCCCTAACTGGCTCAGGAGGGACAGTTCTGTTAGCCTTCAAAATTAAAACCACCCTTGTCCACAATTAATCAGTCCACAGCTATTTGCTGCCCTCTGCTGGCCAAGATAAACAATGGCTGCATTGCAAAAGAGTTTTTATCTTGAAAGAAATAGATTCATTCACCCAACAACTGTTTATAGAGCCCCTATTAAGTACCAGGCACTGTTCTAACACAGACCAATAACCAACATAGACAAAGACTCCTGCCTTCATGAGGCTTAACAACAATTAAAATATCTAGCATGTAGAATCCCTGCTATGGATGTGCCAGGTAGGATTTTAATCACTTGATATTTATCAACTTCTTTAATCCTTAAATGAATCCTATGAGGTAGGCACAATTGTTGGCACAGAGAGCTTGGGTGATTTCCCTAAGGTCACACAGCTAGGAAGTAACAGCCTGGTTCAACTCAGCCAATTTAGCTCCTGCTGCGCCTGTCACCAATGAGTTCTGATAGATGCATTGCCCTTCCTGCCCAAAATTTTGTATAGACGGAGCCATTATTAGATGGAAAAGCAAAAACACTGATCTTCTGGCTCAGCCACTGTGTGACCGTGAGCCTGGCCTTACCCCGTGTGGTTGTCAGAGGAGTCATCCATAAGAAGTGTATGCTTACACGGGCCCTGCTGATTGTTGTCCCTGTCCTCTTCCTCCCTCCCTGATGCTGGCCCTGGGTACAGGAGGGTCAAGGAAGCCAAAGGCGGCCTGAATCTCCGAGCTGCTGCTCCTGGTCCCTATTGTAAGGTCCTGTGAACCCTGCTTCTCCAGCTCAGCATTAATGGGGAGGGAGCAACCTGGAAGTTAATGAAGAAATGAGGGACTTCCCTGTTAGGGTGAGTGCTCTGGGACAAAGGGACAACCTACAGCAAGAGGAATTCAGGACAGCTGCAGGGGAGAGCTGGAAGCTCCCGACCAGGAGGTGCAGAGCTTGCCAGCCTCCAGGGTGAGACATACAAAAATGCCAACGACTGCTGCCAGGAGGGAGAGGGTGGAAGACTAGTGGAATAGAGCAGCAAGGGGGTCCTTGGAATTGCTTAGAAGCCCTTGATTGCTATTTGTTAATTTAAAACAAAAAAAAATTATGCCTAACCTCATACAAAAATTTTAACTTTATAAGAAGAGAAAAACATATTTTAAAGTCTCATTTGAAAATGCCTTCAGAAATTTGTTGATGTTTTTAAAAAGCAAATTTTAAAAAGTATTCCCCCCTCATAACAAATGTCCAAGCAACAACAAGAGTAATAGCGGCTCTTTACAAAGCACTGATAATGTGCTGGCACCTCACAGTAGTCCCATGATATAGGTACTTTCATTTATACCAATTACCAATGAGCATGCTGGAGCTCAGAGAGGTTGAGTGACTTGCCCTGTGTCACACAGCCAGCACTCAAGGCTGTGCCCGACTGACTTCATTATCACCACCCTATACTTTGTCTCAAAGGGAGGGAATGTTAAACTGAATGAATTGGCTCTAGGCCCCAGGGACTGCCTCGTGAAGAATGGCGAATTCCTAGTGTCATCCCAAGAAGCAGGGGCAATTTATCCTTGGGTTTGTCTGACCACACAGCAGAGGTTCCAGCTTCATTACTGGGGTTCTAGGCATGTGTGTTGGTGCAATCTGGAAGCAACAGATCTTCTTCGTGTCCCTGAGAGGGAGAGGGTTAAGCCACCTCTTGCATGATCTGGATTTGCCAGCCTGGAGCAGCCATAACCCTAAGGAGCCCCAGAGGGACCTCCTGAAAAGCAGTCATTGAGTTGAAACCCAAGGTGCAACCCATGACCGGGTGTGGTGGGGGGTGTATCATTATTTTCAAAGACTGAGACCCAGGGAAAGGCCTGTCACAGGCCACACAGTGGCTGCAGACCAGCATTATGAGAAGATCCCAGGCCTTATAATCCAAGCTTAGTCCTACCTGCAGTCCAGCACTGTGCTGAGCCTTCTACGACTGCCCCAGAGCAAACCAGGTGTCCCCTCCCAGGCCTACCACTGAGGTCACTCCAGCCTATACCTGCCCAATTAGGGCTGCTTCACACCTAAGTGGCACCCCCAGAGGGGGTTCTCTGTTCTTGCTTTACCCTATTCCAGAAGGAATAAGCCCATAGTATGATAACTGGCAGTTTTGCTAAGGCACAAATATGAATCTTGCCCACTTCTGGGACGGGGCTCTGAGCAAGTCTCTCAGCCTTCAGGGGCTGGCTCGAGGGATAAAGGGGACCAGTGGTCACTCCATCATCTGGCCAGTTTAGTCTGCACCAGTCAGATGCCTGTCACCTAGGTCTCAGAAGTCACATTTAGCATGAAACGGATTAAAACGAGGAGCCAGCTCTGTGCCTCAATTTCTTCATCTGCAGAAATGAGGATTATACCACTTAGCATTGCTGTTGGGAACATATGAATTAGGACAGTGCTTGGCATATAGTAAGTTTTAAAAAGGTATCTATCATTGTCTTTGCCATCATCATCATCATTATAGATTCTTGACACCTGTGGAATATATATAGCCCATGAAATGACAAATAAGGAATGCTTATATTGGCTCCTAAATTTCTCCAAATGACATATTTCAGCTATAGAATCCAGTGTTTTCTGTATATATCCTCCTTATGCCACAAGTTAACCAGTAGCTGGCAGTCTCCGAGTCCCTCTATCTTTCCAGCCTTCTGATCCTCACCCTATCCCAAGCTGAGACCTTGGCCCAGAGCCTCAGCCTGGCAGTAGGCATGATTCAGATTTGTTCCTCAGCAAAACTGCCAGTTATCACCCCATGGGCTCACTCCATCTGCAGTCATTGAAGCCAAGAAAGTTGAATCCGGGAATGCCAGAAGGTCCACTACTGGTTTCTCAAGGTGTGTTTCACAGGATGCTGGTTCTGTTGAGTGATTACAGTCGGTGATTTGTTGTTGAGCCATCAAATACAGTTGAGTAGCATTGGATTTTTAAGCATGTTTCTTTCTGAGGAGATCTCAGTCTTGAACACGCCACCTTTCTAAATCTGAGGCATGGGATGTACTCTTTCTCAAATGCACATTATCGTTCTGCTCCCTTTCACTGTAGGACAGCTTGTGGGATTTGCTGTCCTGTAGCAAGGCTTTTCAAGCCTTTCCCTGCGGACAGTTCACCTGGGAGCATATTGTAAAGTGCAGTTTCTTACTCAGAAGGGCTTGGGAAGGGCCTGAGACGATGCATTTCTAACATGCTCCCTGGAGGTGCTGATGCAGCTGCTCCACACACCAGACTTGAACAGTGAGGCTTGCGGCAATATTTCTAAGAGATGTGTCTGCCACGTCCCCTACCCAAGGGGGTCCCATGCCATCCCTTTTACAGCCCTAACACCTGCCAAAGTGCTTGGATCATATGAAAAACAGACTTGGCCAGGAGCTGAAGTGGAGGCTCATAAGGGCAGAATTTCTGTCTGTTTTGTTCTCAGGTATATTTCCAGAAACTAGAACTGTGCCTGGAACACAGAGTGGCTCAGTAATTACCTGGGGAATGAGTAGATTACTAGGGTCATTCAGCAAAGAGATGCCCTTTTCCAGGAATTTTCTGGCATTCACTGTTCTGAGTGGTGGTAGATTTGAGTCCAGGGCTTCTGCAAACTCACCAAAGGTCCTTTGCATCCAAAGCATCTCTTTCTCAAACTCATAAATCTGACTCAACAACCTATCTATAAGGCCTCCACCTATAAGGATACGGATATTTTTACGGACATGCGAGGTTGGATGACTCAGGATATGAGTAAGCCCAGAGCTTCAGCCAATATGGTCTCAGAGTGACAGATGGAGAGAGAAGGCTTCCTGTGGTGGGACTAAGGAGCATGGGCCTCAGGCTGACCAGCGTCCCCAGAATGAAGGGCTTTCTTTAAGATGGGGCCAAGGCGTTCCAAGCCAAGTTCGTGGGCAGCTAACTAAATGAGGTTCATGGATTTGGCCTCAACCTTGTTCTGACGCTCTCACTGCCAACCTAGGCAGGGAGCCAAATTCCTTGCTCTTTAACAGTTTGTCTGTTTGTTTTGGTCCAAGAGGCCAGGAAGAGAAGATATTTGTTTCCATGGTAATTGCTTGGAATGATTCTTAAGTAGAGGAGCCTGAAGGGCAAGTCTTCTCATTAGGTTTCCACCTTCAAGGAACTTAAAATCTTCTTAACAATCAAGGTTCCCAATACATGAACCGTGCAGTCGGTGACCAATGGGAGGTACAAGGACACTTTTCAGTAACTCCTGATTGGGGGCAATTGAGAGGGCTTCCCAGAAGACTGAAAATGAGCCGAGCCTTGAAAGAGTTGGATAAAAGGTGAGGGTAAGGGAAGAGTATGAGAGTGTGGAGATGCAACTTCACAAGCATTATTTGGGTGGCAATGACTAAAGTAGCCTGTTTAGCAGAGAGTCTGGGGTGCAGTGAGTAGAAAAGCAACTTGGAACCGGAGTGTACACAGCATTGAATGTCAGGCCGTGGAGGCTGGACACCTGGGCCCATTCTTTAGAACTAGAGCGTGAGAAGTAGGTGGGACCCACACATTTTGCTTTTGGGTTCAGGCAACCATGGGGAGACAGCCTCCTGAATGAAGCCAAGAGGAGACTGCTGAATTGGTAGAGAATGAGAGGGTCCAGCCAGTAGGTACTGTTGTACAGCTAGTGCACTGCATAAGAGCACCTGGCCAGGAGAGCAAGTAAGGACAGAAATACAGTTGTCACTCCTCTCATCAATCTATGCACCCTAGCATGGGCTGCCTTCTCCCAGAGGGACTTCTTCTCTGTCCACAAAGACATCTGCACAGGCTGGCGCTGACCCAGTTGGCTCAAGCCACAGCCAGCGAATGTTTTCTCCTTGTGGCCAAGGCATTTTCTTAGAGCAATGAATACTGTACATTCCCAGAGTGTCCCAAGGAGGGCACTGCTTAGCTTTGAACAGAACGATAAAGCACTGCATGCACGGTTCTGAGAATGCAGTTAGTACCAGAGCAAGCCAGTTTTCTGCTCCTGCTGGCTGTCAGAACAAGGGAGCAAATGGTTGGTAATAGTACACTTCAATTGAATTCAACTAAATCTTCTTCTGGCAAGGAGGGGCAGCCCCCCAAGCAGGACATACACCAGAACAGAGCATCTCATCTGCAGCCCTAAAGATCCTAAAGTTTGGACAGCAGCCATCTGACCTGTGGGTTTGGGTGGAGACCTGCATGCTTCATAAAGTATCCAAATGTTTCCCGACCCACCAGCAAACATCATGTATGTGTAGAGAGATGTAAAGGGCTCGTTCAAAGGACTGTTATAGAGAGGATGTTTCTCAATAGGGGCACACTGGCATTTAGGGTGCAACTGTCTCACACATTGGAGGATATTTAGCCAGCAGGGTCCCCCAGTCCTTGTGACAACCAAAAAAATCCCTCCTCCGTGTTTAAATGCTGCATTGGAAAGGTTGAATCCAAATGAGAACCGAGCAGCCCTTCTCTCTACAGAAAAGACAGCAGGCCCGGTGATTTGGCCAAGACCACAAGGCTGGGGAAGAAAAAACAAGAATTAGTACCCAGGTTGCCCACTCCTTACCACTTGTCACCAGCTTCTCCCACCAGTGTGGTCCTTCTTTCTCCCAGCCTTAGTTATTCTCTAGGTTTCTGCATTGAAACCACAGAACATGCTAGAACCAAGTGATGTAGTTCATCTATGGTCCCCAAAGGCTTATATAAAGCTGTCTTAGCTCAGGCTACTATAACAAAAATACTATAGATGGAGTGGCTTAAACAACAGACATTTACTTCCTACTATTCAGGAGGCTGGAAGTCTTAAGACCACGGTCAAGATTAATCTAGATATGAATTCCTTATGTTTTCATTTATGGTATCTTTGATGATTTGTGTAGTTGATTTACCAATGTTTTCTTTTTTAATGGGTACTTGTGTCTTTCAAAAAAATTCTTTAAATAAATTTCAAGATTATAAAAATATTCTAAATTTCTTCAAAAAGTTTTAAGACTTTGCCTTCCATATTTAAGATTCTGTTCCATCAAAAATTAATTTTTGTATGTAAGAGAATAAGGAGCCTCTTTAATTTTTTTCCTATATGGATAACTAATGCTCTCAGCACCATTTATTGAATAAGCCACTCATGATCTACAACACAATATCCTTTATCGAGCAAATATATATATATATACACACATATATATACAAACATATATATACATACACATACACACACATATATATATGGAGAGAGAGAGAGAGAGAGAGAGAGAGAGAGAGACAGAGATTTTTGGGGGCTTCTTAGTCTGTTCCACTGGCTAATTTGATTATCCTTACCTCAAAACCATACTGTTTTAATTACTTTAGCTTTTTAATAAGGCTTGCAATCTAGAAAAGCACATTCCTTCATCCTGTTTGTCCTCAGAATGTCTTGGCTCTTCTTGGACATTTGGTTTTTTATTTAATGCAATAATAATATGTCACTGAAATTATTGAGACTTTTATTTTCTTTGCAGAAAAATTTTAGACTACCATTTTAATTTATTTAATGATTATAAGGCTATTTAGGTTTTCCATTTCTTCAATTGGTTTCACAAGTTATATTTTTCTGGGCATTTTAAATTGTTTCCAATGTATAGACATAAAGTAGTGTAGATTATTCTTGCTATCTCTTTTGGCACTTAAAATATTTTTTCAACTTAATTTTAAATTAAATTTTTTAAAAATCTTTTTAAAATTTAATTTTGCCTATCTGTAGATATATTCCTTTGTTCATACATATTTATACCTTCACTTTTCTCAATCTTACTAAAGATTAATCTAATAGTCTTTTTAAAGAATTTTTGATTTGGTAGTTCTTCTATTTTATCTTTAATTCCTACTAATTTATGCCTCTTACTGTATTTTTTTTTTTTTTTTTTTTTTTTTTTTACTTTTTGTGTTGTGTTCCAGTGCAAATTCAGTTGATTCAATGATTTCCCCACCATCAGTTTAGGATTTGGTTTTCTTAGCTCTGGTAACATTGTTATCAATTCTTCATTTATATTCCATTTTCCAGAAGTTTGTTGCTGGTATCTCATCTCATATTTTGCCCATTCTTGTGGGTTTATATGATTGTTTAAAATCCCTTTGCTGTAGTTTTAATAAGTTTGGAGAAGGTAGTAAAATGAGCTGTATGTGTTCAATATATTATCTTTACTTGGAACCTATAATGATTATTGATCCTTCTTTCTTATTTATAATCTTTTTTTCCTGTGCTATATTCTGTTTAATTTCTTCAACTCTATTTTCCACTTCACTAATTCTTTCCTCTGCTGTTTTAATAACATTTTTCATTTCTAAAAGTTATGTTTAAGTCTTTTTCAAATCTACCATTTCACTTTTTATAGTCTAGCATTGCATGCCTATTTCTGTGACTTCATATTTTTTGAATGAATTTTGTAATTATTATACATTTCAAATATTCTCATTCCAACATTTAAAGTTCTTAGAAGTAGAAGTCTGGCATACCTCATCTCTTCTACCTCTTGCTTATAGTGGTTTGCTTTCTTGTGTGTTTGATTATATTTCATTGATCATATTTTATTGAGTGCTCATATATTGTTGCTTAATCCACGGAAATCTAAGGACCCAAATTGAGGAAGCTTTTCTCCAGAGAGATTTGTTTTTGTTGAGAGCCAGAGGGTTACCCACCTATAGAAACTTTAGCCCACTGCTGGGACCCTAGGCTTAATCTCTCTATCTTGTTAGCTGGCTTTTGATTGCAGTTTTAACATCAGCATTTGCCAGCAGGGCAACCCTGCCTTTCACCTATGCTTAGCACTTATTGCTGTGTGTTCAGGTCTTTGTTGGGGGTGAAGGTGGTAGTGCATAAGTGGTACATAACTTCTTGCAAGCCCAGGAATAAAATTAAAAGTATACTTTGTCAGGTTGTCTTTATTTTATAGCACTAAGCATTTCATAATATTTCATTCCTTATAGTACCAGAAGTGCTCTTTAATACTTTCATATTGAATTCTACTAACACGGGCCCCTCCAGGCATTACCATTTCTTTCCCTCATATATATATTTTTTGGCCTTTCTCTGGGTCCGTGGTATCTTTAGTGTGCCAATTTTCCCCATAAGAAAAGCTCTCAATTTTTTAATGTTCTTTGACTTCTGTTTTACTTTCCCCAGATAATAAACTTATAGCCTTGAGCTGTACATTATGGTCACCATTAGCTCCATGTGGCTATTAAATTAAAATTAATTAAAACTAAGTAGAATTAAAAATTCAATTATCAGTGAAAAAAAATCTCAAAAGAATCAAGGTGATTCAGTTCAGTATTTGATGAATTCCTTTAAGGCCAGTGAACTACTCTTTGAGCTCATTGCCCACCTCAGTCCAATCACCCACAGTGGAGTGGGAAGGGGGCATCTGGTGTAGACCATAGCACACTATGGGCTGGGTGGCTGGAGTGGGTACACTGCCTTAGAGGTGGGAGGGACACAGTGGTAGGCATTTTTAATATCCTCCATGACTTCATTTGGATTTTAGGACAATCCTTGACATAAACATTATTCCTGCTTTTGGTCTCTTTTAAGAGATGAAGAAACTGAAAATCTGAGAAATGAAATGAGTTACCCAAAGCTACACAGATACCAAGTAGAAAAGACAGGATTCCTTTTCCAATAAGCTGGGATTATTCAAATTTCAAATGATTTGGGACCAGGCATCCAGAGTTCCAGTCTTCCCTGTCCTAACATATAGGATGATGCTTCACAAGCCGATTCCTGCCCCACCCACAGCACAGAGCTATTGTCAGAACAGTGAGAGAATGGATGGGAAAGAGCTCTGGAATGCACGAATATTGTATACATATAAAGATTGTGGTCCCCATTTTAAAGACTAATAAAAGACCTATTGATTCAAGACTGTGAGCAGGCTATCATGAGCTTTTTGGCCTCGGGATTGTCCCTAGCTGGTGATTCATCTCCCGGGGAGCTGGGTCTGGAAGGCTCTAGAACTGGCCTCCTGCCACACTGGGGAGTGTGCTTCTCTTCTGCATTGTATCCACCTCAGAGCCTGGGGTGTGTCCCGCAGACCCGGGTCTGAATCTCTGTGCTGCCGCTTCTACCGTTGTGCCCATGATGGGGTAGATTATCCACATGTCTCATTTCCCTTCTGTGTAACATGTGGGTAATAAAAAAATAGCCCCTGCCTTACAGGTTTGCCATGAGGATCAAATGCAATAAAGCACGTAAAACGCAGGAAAGTGCCTGGCATATGAGAGATTCACAGTAAATGGAAGATCATGTTTTTTTCCCCCTTCTCTCTCAGAGTGAGGTACAGTTGAAAGGTACTTTCACATGTATTTCTTCAGTTAATCTCCTGTGCTATCCTGCCAGGTAAGTATTGTTATTCTCATATTGCAGATGAGGATACTGAGGCAAAGAGGTTGAGCTGAATGGCTTAAGGTCACATGGCTAGTAAGTGGCAGAGTTGGGACTTGAAGCAATGTCTTCTCATTGCAGAACCTAAACTCTTGTCACTCTATCTATCCTCCTACCTTCCAGCTGTTAAACATCCTTTTGCTCTCTGACAATAAAAAACCGTTCAAAGATAAATTGCCACATTGTGTTAATAGCAAAAAAAAAAAATCTAGCTATTCAACAATGGAGGATAGTTCAACAATGGTACAGACATAAAATACAGTATGAGGCAGCAACTAAAAATTATATACAAAAGGATCTATTTAAGTCAATGAAGATTCACAATATAGTAATTAAAAAGAGCTGACTAAAAATATAGTATGCATAATTTTGTCTTATTTTCATAAATAAATGGAAAGACACATTAATCGATACCAACATATTAATTACTTAAATAGTAGGAATGAGGATTATTTTGATCATTTTCTTTATGCTAATCTGTATTTTCTAACTTTAAGAGCTTTTAAATTTAAAAGCAGAAAACATTGGAATATACACGTTCAAATGCATACCGACTTAGTTGGTTTCAGTAAGGTATACATTTAGTTCTTTTAAGGGAATTTCCTCTTGACAGTGTCCAAAGCACATTGTTTTATAATGGGGTCCATATTTGCTCTGAGGAACTGATCTCGTGTTGCAGGACATTAAGCATCTCTTGTCCTGGACACTGCATACCAGTAGCCTCTATACTCACCCACCCACCTACCCACACATACACACACACACACACACACACACACACACACACAGTGACAAACACATGCACACGCGTTTCCAGGTGCCCCTTGGGTGGGGAAGTGGGAAGCAGTCTGTCTATGCATGAGAAGCACTGAGCTGCCTACACTGAAATGTCTGCCACCATTGAACAGTGAGCAGCAGGTACCTAGGTTTGCAAGGGACACGTTTCTGGAATGGAATTTTGATTGTTTTGCCTCCAATAACCGTATACTTTCCCAGCTGTTGCTCTGTGGGGCTCCCAGACCTGAAGGACACTGGTCTGGTGTCCCAGAGATGCTGTCTTTATCCTCCAAACTTCCCTTAGGAACACTCAAGCTGCAGAGGTCACACACACTGGGAAATTCTGAGGACATCATCACCCAGGCCCACTGAGGGCTCCCTTAGGCCCCCCTCGAAGTACCCTCTGCCCACCCAGCCTCGGCATCTCCTCAAGAGCACTCACTGCTAACTCCCCTCCTGGCCATTGAGTCCGGCTGCCTTGCACTATCATTTATTTCTTTATGAATGGCTCGAAGTGCCTTTTAATAAACCACTCCAGAGTATATATATTATGGATGTATCTACATCTTAAATATAGAGCATTGCTATGGGAGTTACTGTTAGTTGTTTTTGGCTGTGATTCTTCCTAGTCCTAACTCCCCACCAAGAAATTCTGAAATTTCAGAGCGAGGTACTTGATTTTTCATATTAACACTTTGATTGCAGTGACCAATGTTTAGTTTTAGGTCATCATTCTGAAGGAAAAAAGAGAAGTGATTATGTATCACCATCTTTTCTTTTCTCTCATCCCTCAGACCCTTACACCAATCCCATATCCTTTTCTTTTTGGAGCCCGGGGCATTCCTTTTTCCTCTTTTCTCCTGACATGTCTCTGTCCACTCATCTGGTGTTAGGTGTACGGTACTGACATGTTTTCCCTGGATGCAGCCCCAGAACCCAGTCCTGTCTTTCCACCCCTTATTTCTAGCAGTTCAGGCAGGTTCTGGCTCCCTTAATGTGAGGCCAAAATCACTAACACCCCTCACCTTCCAAGAAATACATCTTTTGTGTGTTTCCCATTTATACGTGGTAGGTAGTTTCTTAGTAAACCTTGAGCAGAGTTCAGAGAGAAAATCAAGATGCCTTTTTCATTTGGGTTTTGGACTTCCTGGAAAGCCAAGGACCTTGTAACAGTGATTTCTGCCTTTGTTTCATAGTTTGGAATTTTCAAAGTTGCTACTCAAAACCATTTCTTTCTTTCTGGATTCTTTTTCTACAATGAGGTGGCACCTTGGTTATGGCTTTGTGGCATATAAAACTAGACTTTCCATTAAGAGTGACTGAACTGAATGAGAATTTAGCAAATTGTGTCTATTTTTATAAATCCCTGTTTTAAAACAATTAAGTAGCATAAAAACCAGTAGTACTAAACAATGCAAAAGGGTTATGCAAAGTATAAGCACTCAGGTTAGATGTCTTTTTCCAAAATCTTGCATTGTTACCTCTCACAAGGGCAGTATACTCTTAGGTAAACTACTTATGCTGCTTCAACAGATCAAAGAAAGCAAAACTCCCTGGCTCCTGGCTTTCCTCCAACTTTTCTGTCAATGAATTGGAAAAGAGAATAGACATTAATAAAGGGTAGATCAGACATCTAACCTTATTAAACATGCTGGTCTGGATAAATTAGAGCTGAAGAGAATGGGACCACATAGATACATCAACTATGCACAGGCAGTGACTGCCTAAGACTTCACAGATCAGGATAGGTAACAAAGAACCAGAGACAGGAGGGTGCAATCCCTGCAATCCTAAATTTTATTTTACTGAGACAGGTGTCTTGCTTTTTTGCCCAGGTTGTAGTGCAGAGGCACGATCATGGCTACCTGCATCCTTGGCCTCCCAGGTTCAAGCCATCCTCCCACCTCAGCTTCCTGAGTAGCTGGGGCTACAGGCATGCACCACCACACCTGGCTACTTTTTTAAAAATTATTTTTAGTAGAGATGAGGTCTCCCTATGTTTCCCTGGCTGGTCTTGATCAAACTCCTGGGCTCAAGAGATCCTTCTGCCTCAGCATCCCAAAGTGCTGGGATTATAGGTGCAAGCCATCGCACCAGGCTGCAATCCTGAATTTTAAAATACAGAAGGTGAACTCACAAACTTGACAGCAAAAGCAGGCAAGGAGCTAGGAGGGACCCTGGACACCCATAGTCCCAATAGAGCTGGGCTTAGGAGGGATCATATGATATTGCACCTACAAAGGAGAAATACCCTCCAAGTTTTCACTGATTGTAGAGCTCAACATGAGTCAGCAGTGGGATGCAGCTGCTCAGAGCAAATGTGATATTCAGCTGCATTAATGGAACTATTATGTTTCCAAAAGAGAGCACAATGACCTCCCTGGACTTTGCATAACTAGCTAAGTCTAGAATACTGAGTCATCTCCACCGATAATGGTAGTGATGATTCTCAGAACCATTTTGTATAAAGAAGAGTTTCGTGTGACTTTTCTCCTGGGAAACAGGGTCTGCACTTAGATTTTGCTTTTTTTTTTAAATCACAAACATTGCAGGGCCCCGAGAGACAGAAGCTGTGCATTTTATTCTTAATCAAACACTACATCAAGGAATGTTTAGTTTTCTCCCTACTGCTTCTGTCCTGTGCCTCAAGGTGGGACTCTTCAACGGTCTGGATAGTTCTGGGCCCTTGAGCCAGTGTGGCTTGCTGGGTGTGGGCCCTGTGACAGAGGTAGGGCATGTCTTATGAAGAAACCTCTGTGAGCTCCGCCAGACAGCCAAGTCAAGGAGGAAAATTGTCCCCTGCCCCCAGCACCCCATGTTTCAGTTCAATTTAAGGCAGATCTTCTAACAATCAGGGCTGTTTAAACACAAAATGAGCTGCTCTGGGAAGGAGCAAGTTCTCCATTTTTGGCAGTGCCCAAGCAGCATGTGGGTGACCCACTGAATACTGCTGTGGATTAAGGAAAGGCTTGGCGGGGATGATGCTGGGCACGCCTCCAAACCCGACTCTGTGCTCCTATGCTTAGACCACCCTGGCCTCTTCTGATAAGACTTCCCAAATACCTTGCTTCTCCTCATTTGGAGTTAGTATCCCCCTACAAACTACAATTATAGGATTCTGAATCCATTTTAAAATAAAATGGAGTATTTATCCTCTTATCTCTCTCCATCACCACCAGTACAGCCTCCAATCACTCAGCTCTGACCACTTGAATCCATAAGAAGAGAAGAACTGCATAATTTTGTCTTTCTAGCTTTCCTGGTCCATTAGAAGGGCACCGCAGTGCTCCCTCTTTAATCCCTTTAGCTTTTTGGCAAAGCAGCAGGAAAAAACACCTTATGAGGAATGTGAACAGATCACAAGGGGAGCCAACCTGTGATTGTTCTTCTTCACTCACCTGCTTCCCAGTCAGTTCAGTCCAAATCCTTTTGAAGCAAGCACATGAATTGTTGCTACTTTAGGGCAATTACAGGATTTACAGATTAAACATATCCCCACTGGTTTCCCTAGCAACCGTCTTTGAATCACAGGATGAGATAAAACTATTGTTCTAGTTAATAGAGTCTGATGTTAAGAGAAGTCCAGCCATGTAATTCACAGAGGTATGCACCCTGGTGGGAGCAGAAAGAGCGCTAGGCAGGGAGGCAGCAGACCTACGTGCAGGTTCCGGTCCACTGGGGTCAGATACAGAACAGGAACATATCTCAAGACACTGGTGACAGTGCCCCCGGCAAAAAAAAGGGTTCAGAGCACTGCCAGGGGAAGAAAGATGCAGGTGTTTCTAAATGAGTGAAAACATTAGGCACAAAACAATCGAAGGCAAGGGGTCTACTTGGACAAAGCCAAGACACAGTGAGGTCAGGTGCAGGGCCCACTCCTCCAGCTGCCAGACCAGGCAATCAAGCCACCTTGGGCAATGCACATTATTATGTGGCCAGACCTGGGTGGGGTCTGGGAAGGTCAGCTGGCAAGAGGGGCATATGATTTTTGGCTTTTTACCTGTATAATAAGATGCTTGGGTTACATTTCAAGGCCCGTTCCAACTCTTCTGGGTAGTAGAGCTTCTCTGATTCTGAACCAATTGAGAAATAGTCATATTTCAGCAAATACAGATGAATATAGGACCTTTATTGGTTGTTGAGTAGGAGCCCTTAAAGTGGACCTGCAATCAGATGACCTTCAAAATGATACAACCCCAGCTGGGTCTGGACCTGCACATGAGGAGAATTGAGTCTGTGGTGCAGAAACATGGAGGTCAGATGCATGCCTCAAATCAATGAATTCTGGAGAGCAAGAAGAGAGACATCAACCTCCAGATCCCAGGCTACGATTCAACGGTTCTCCCCATAGGAAAGCAGAAGCAATGAAAAAATTGTCTCACAGTCAGCCTAAACAAGAGAGCCCGCTGTTTAGGACCCTTCTCCAACCTCCCTAAGAAGAGAAGTCATTCTTTCCCTTGGGAAGAAGTAAAAAGAGGAAGGGGCAGGAAATAACTTCCCAATCCCCCAGAGGACAGAAAGTCCTGTTACAGGCTGGGAAGAATGCAGGAGGAGAAATGTTTCCTCTAACACAGGGAGGAGGGTGTTGAATGGAATACCAAAGGCATATAGCTGGCCCATGGTAGACACTCCTTACTTGCCCTTGCTTCCCAGGAAACACAAGTCTAACCACCTTCACCTGTGTGTGCAGAGTCTGCAGCTCCCAGCAGCTATAACGAAGGTATTTACTGCCACCTACACACATAGTTCAAAGTCCCTTGGAAAATGAAAATCAACAGTAAGATATTTGATTTCTCTCCCGTAACAGCTAAGTAGAATGAATATATGAAGTTATTGAAATTTTAAGAGCGTATTTTTTGTTTCCCAGTATTTCTCGCTGTAACTATGAAGTTTTATCATTTTCCTTGTTAAAGGAAGAGAAAGTGTGTTTATAAGCGTGTATTTTGCAAAGCCCCTTGCAGCCAGTCTTCCTGAACTTTCACCATTGGGAGACTCACCCCCAATTCATGAAGTTTCTAGATTTCTTGTGCAATATCTCAGAGTTCCTCATTTAGTAAGCAGCATCTTAATAATACCAAGCCCTGTCTTATATTATATTCTGGACAGTGAACGTAGACATATTTGTTTAAGGGTCAGAGAGAGAAGACAGCACTCTCAGGAACACACTAGAGTGAGTGGTTGAATTGGATTCAGCCCTGCAACCCTTCTGTCTTTGTGACGCTTCATGTGATCCTATCGGGACTGAGCTTCAGGTTCTTTCTTTCCAGACATTCCCGTTCCCCTCTACAAGGTAACTAAGTTCATGGAGTAAGAGGACACGAATAAAGCCTTTCTGGGGCGGCCTCCTTTCTTCAAAGAGCAAAGGAAAACTATTTCTCTTCTGATAGGTTGCTGATGCCTATAATAATAATAATAATAATAGCAAATATGATGAACATTTATTGGCCCCTCTCTGCCAGGCATGGTGCTAGGTGCTTTGTATTATTTCATTTCTTCTTCACAACAACCCATGAGGTGTTGATTATTATCATCCCCATGTTACTGTTAACTGAAGAATCACAAGGTTCAGAAACTTGGAGAGGAGAGCTTTACTTCTAACAAAAGGTTACAGCCTGCAGGTGGCCATCCTGATAGGCTGGGAAGCATAGCCTCCAGCAGACACCAAAAGCAGGCACTTCAAGGGAGAGAGGGGTAAAGCAGGAATTTATGCTGAACGGTTTGGCCACGTTTATGTTTACATATTCAGCAGGTTACAGGGGGCAATAAATATTTAGGAAGTGGGGGATGCTCGCATACATAGTAAAGCAAACATGCATGTTGCATGTGTCCCATGTTCATGGTGGGCTGGAGACTTATCAGTGCTTGTTTAACTGCTAGAGTGAAAGAAAAAACCTTGAGGCAGTTACAATATAGTTTATTCCTTAAGAGGAAGGGTGTGTGACTTCATTCTTACCTGGCATGACCTTGGGTCCTGTTTATAATATGGTATCTTATTGCCACAAAGAGTCCATTCCGACAGCCTTATGATCTCTGTTTTGACATTACAGAAGAGAAAAATGAGGCTTGGAGACTCTCAAGTAACTTTGTGTGCAGTCTCACAACTGGAAAGTGGTGAGACTTTTGCCAGTTTAGACAATTCAATTTTAATTTCTAAATTTAAAACCTTTGCCTCCCACCTACCCATTCGCCCTCTTCCTCAAAGTTGAAGATTTACTATATTTAAAGGAACTCTACTATGTGTTTGCATATTCCTTGAGGGTTTGAGTTTAGGGGTCATTCACACCTGATTTATTCTTTGCTCTCTGTCCTTTAGGAAGAAATGAGAGTTTGGGGTGTTATAGAACAGTTGGGAGAAGGTAGAATTTTGGAACCTGTGGACACTCTGGGAAGGAGAGACAATAGGCTGCTTCTCTGCACCCCTCCACAGGCCAGCTCCAGGCCGAGATATTGGCAAGAGCAGCAGAAAAGAACCAGGGGACCAGGATCCTCAACTAACTTGTGGATCCTCAACTAATATGTGAGCTTGGCCCCTAGACTTTCAGTGTCTGGCTGCAGTTTCCTGCACTGTAACACAAACAGATTAGAATTGATGAATGTCAAGTTTCCTCTGAGTTTTCAATCTAGGTAATTCAATTCCACATCTATTAGTGAGAAAAACTGCTGGTAAAAACTGTTTTCTCTGAGAACTTTTTCTGCTTATTTGGCAAATGTTTATATAGTGCTTACAAGTAACTACTGTATACTCTCCTAAGAACTTTATGTGCACCAATTTATCTAATCCTCACAATAGACTTGTGTGGTATTGTAGGTAGTGATATTATCCTGTTATAGGTAACAAGACAGAAGCATGTGGTGATTTGCTCAAGGTCCTACAGTTTGTAAAAGTGAAGCCAAGTTGAATGTATGCAGTCTGGGTCCAGAATCCATGTCCTTACCTTGATATTATAGTCAGTCCTCTGTATCCGCAGGTTCCGCACCCAACCATGGATTGGAAATATTCTAAAAAATTAAAAATAACAATAAAAATGACACAAATGAAAAAATATAGTATAACAACTATTTCCATAGCCTTTATATTGTATTAGGTATTATAGGTAATCTAAAGATTATTTAAAGTATATGGGAGGAGGGGCATAGGTTGCATGCAAATGGTCCCTTATGCCATTTTACATAAGGGACTTGAGTATCTGCAGAGTTTGGCATCCACAAAGGTCCTACAGCCAATCTCCTACAGGTACGGAAGGATGACTAGAGCTTGTTTTTAATCTTATCAACATAGAATTGTGTGTCTGATCAAGTATTCCTCTTTAAATTGACAACCCAGTTACTTCTCAACTTTATTGAGTATACAAGCCCTGGGAGTGTGCGTTTTAGATACTAGGCTCAGCTTTCAGCTTTATTCTGCCTGCCTGTTTTTCTTTCATTCTTCACCCTACCAGATCTTTTTCCTGTCTCTGAGTATATCTCTTTGCAGTTCACCAAAACATCCTTTTTGGAAGATGATAAGACATATAAAAAAAAATAAAAATAAATTTAAAGATGATTCAATGACACAAGCTGGGAATCCTCCTAAGTGGCTTGCTGTATCCCCCAGTGCCTGTGCTGGGCTTTCACAGGATTTGGGAGAGAAAGTGGGGATGAGGGGGGCAGTTCTATCTTAAGATGAACTAGATACACGTTCTCAACAAGGATGGCAGTGCTGCTCGGGAGGTGTTGGAAAATTTGTTGAATGTGGAGGAACTGATTGTCACAATAATTGAGGGAGGAGGTGCTATTGAGATTTAGTGGGCAAGGGAGAAATCTGCAAATGTCCCACAATGAAGGACACAGTCCTAAACAAATTTCAAACACTCCACTAGAAATTTATGTAGGTAAAAATTTTTATAGTTACCTGAGCCTTGGTCCTAAACTCCATGTTACATATTTTTTTAAAAGGATATTTTGCATGGTTTTAAAATATACTGAATTTTCCAGGAATGCAACTCCCATGTAAATCGAGGGAAGATTGTGCTTTGTTTGTTTCGGAACTTTATCAAGAATTGTTCAGCGCTTCGAAATATTCCTTCATCAATGACAACGCAGCTTCTGGTATTTGAGTCAACAAGGCAACACATGTTTATCAGCTTTGCATTTGCAGTTGTCACAGTCACATTGATTGTACTTGTATACGCACACAAATACACTCATTTAGCCTTTATCTCAAAATGTTAAATATAAGGAAAAAAGCGTCAACAATAAATATTCTTTGAGTATTGTCTTACTTCTCTTACATCCATATTAACTCAATGTATGTAGAAGAAAACATCTGCCAACTTTATCATTGTCTCTAGTGTAGTCATGCCTGAACATTTCCAGGTTGAAAAACATTATTTTGTTACAAATTACTTTTTATTTATTTATCCTCCATGTAACAGGATACTGTATTGTTTTTCTAAAAATTTAGATTACCTGTAAGTTTTTTTCAGGATAGAAAAAGTAATATTGCAAATATATGTATTTAAAATGGTAGTGTTGCATCTGATAGGTTGAGAACCACTAGCTAAGCCTTCAAAGGTGCATGTTCCCAGCACATGTAATGGCCTTCTTCAGCTGTATGATTCCCAGCTTCATACAGTCATTTGAGAAGTACTAAGGCAGTGCTGAATTGCAGGACCGAGATCAGAAAGAAAATCTCCAATAAATTTGGACCATAGTGGAAATAAGCTAAAATTAATTTTTACAAAGGTAACTGTAAAATACCCATATGCTTGGAAGTTTTAAAACTATTTGCAAATTTCAAAAACCCCTCACAATTAATATTTTAAAATAGTTGAAACTAATTGAATGTAAACATTGATAATATCAAAACTTCTGGGATATAGCTAAACTATACTTAGAATATGCATGTAATAAAAGAAATGCATGTAAGACTGAAATGCATGTAATAAAAGACAGTTGAAATCAATGGTTTAAGTATACCACCCAAGATTTTAGAAGAGGAAAGGCAAATTAAATAAAAAAGACAGGAGAAGGAGGTAAAAAATTAAAACAGAAAAAAATTAATGAAATATAATACAGATGACAATAAAGAGAACCAGTAGGCCAAAAGTTTGTTCATTAAAAAGTACAATAAGATTGATAAACTGGCAAGACTGATCAAGAAAAAGAAAAGAGATCAAAAGCAAGAGCAGGAGCAAGTCAGCAAGACAGCAAGAGCAAATTACCCATTATCAAAAATAAAAAGTGTCGGGGCACAGTGGTTCACACCAGTAATCCCAACACTTTGGGAGGCCAAAACAGCAGGATCACTTGAACTCAGGAGTTTGAGACAACATAATGAGATCTCATTTCTACAAAAAATAAAATAAAATAAATATCCAGGCATGGTGGCGCACACTTGTAGTCCCAACTACTCAGGAGGCTGAGGTGGGAGGATTGCTTGAGCCTGAGAGGTTGAGGTTGCTGTGAGCTCTGGTTGCACCACTACACTCCAGCCTGGGCAACAGAGTGAGACCCTGTCTCAATAAATAAATAAATAAATAAATAAATAAATAAATAAATAAATAAAAAGGGGGATATCATCACAGACGACAAAGTTTCCACACAGATGCTACAAAGTTAATAAGAGGATAACATGAACAATTTTATGCCAATAAACTTGAATTTTTACATGTTATGGACAAATTTCTTAAAAAAACTTACTAAAATTGATACAAGAAGAAATAGAGTATATGAATAATCTCTATGAATATTTTTTAAATTTTATATTCAATTTTGTTCCCACAAAGAAAAGTTGGGCTTCACTGGTAAATTTTACCAAACATACGAGAAATAGGACAATTACACAGACTATTCCAGAGAATAGGGAAAAAGGAGAAATTTTCCTATTTGTTTTATAAAGTTCTATAATTTTGACACCATCAACTTGATACCAACAAAATTACAGTCCAATATTACTTACAAACATAGATGCAAATATTCTAAAAGGAATATTAGCAAACTCAATACAGCAATACATAAAAAGTGCAATTGATCAAAACCAAGTTGGATAATTTCTAGAAATGCAATTTCTAGTTTAACATTGGAAAAGCCAGGCAGGGTAATTCACTGAATTAACACCATGAAAGATAAAAATCGCTGACATCTCAATAGGTTAAAAAATATTTAATTAAATTCAACACCTATTCATGAAAAAAGACTAAGAACTAGGAAAGGAAGATAATTTCTTTAATTTCATCAGGGCCATATAAAAAGCCAGCATCATAATAAATGGTGAAATGTTGAATGCTTTCTCTCTGAGACTAGGAATAAGCCAAGTATGCCCAGAATCACCACTTCTTCACAGTATTCTAATGGAAATCCTAGTAATTACAACAATAACAGAAATTAAACCAAGGGTATAAGGAATAGAAAAACTATGATCGTTTGCAAATGTTATTTACATATGCAAAGAAAATCCATAATAATTACAATTAAAGTATCATAAATAAGTGAGCTTTGCAAGGTTGCCAGATGCAAGGTCAAGATATGAAATTAATACCAGCATTAAAAATTAGAAAATAAAAATTTAAAGCAGATATCATTTCATAGTGGCAACAAAACTACCAAATACTTTTGAATAAATCTAACAAATATGTACAAGATCTCTGCACAGAAAATAACATATATTGAGATAAATTACTGAAGACCTACATACACAGAGAAATATCCCATCTTGGTAGAATGAAGAAAGCTTTATGAAACAAACTCCATTATATGCAATCCCCATTAAAATCACAGCAGTGTTTTTTAATAAAAAATTCTGAGCAGCTTCTAAAATATATACAGAAATACAAAGGACTGTAAATAGCATAAAGCCTAAGGACTTACTCCATCAGATATCAAGACTTATAGGTAATTAAACTACAGTAATTAAGACAGTGTGATATTGATGTAAGGATAGACAAATAGACTACAGGAAAGAGTTTTCAAACAGATCCACCCATACTTGGACATTCGATCTTGCAAGCTAGCACTGTAGAGCAGCAGAGAAAGGGTCATTCAGTAAATAGTGCTCAGTCTATTGAGTAACTGTCTGGGGAGAAAAAGAGAAACTTGATCATTATGTCATACCACACATAAAAATCAATTCTCAGTGCATGGTAGCTCTAAATGTAAAGGGTAAAATAATAGAGCTTCTATTAGATAAAATAAGAAAATATCTTCATGATGTGAGGCTAGAGAAAAAAATTTATTAAATGACACAAAGATCACTAACAATACAGGAAAATATGAATAAATTGGATACATTACATTAAATTAAGAGCTTTTGTTCATCAAATGACATTATTAAAAGAGAGGGAAAGTAAGCCAAAGAGTAGAAGATATTTGCAACACATGTAAATGTGAGCAACTTATGTCCAAAACACATGAAAAACTTATACAAACATAAAAATACAGACAATTCAAGATGCTTCCTGTATAAAAAAGAGGATACCAAATAGCTAATATATCTATGAAAGGTGCTCAACCTCATTAGTAATCAAGAAAATACAAATTGAAATAAACACCTACCCTGTGACCCAGCAATTCCATTCCTAGGCCTATACCAACAGAAGTGCAAGCACATGTGGACAAAAAGATATTTATAAGAGTATTGATAACAGCCTTATTTGTAATGGCCCCTGAATGGAAGCAGCTCAAATGTCCATTCATAGTATAAATTGTGGTGTCCTCATTTAATGAAATACCACCAGCAATTACGATGAATAAAACTATACAATGTGAACAAATTTACAAACATTATTTTGAGCACAGAAATTCAGCAAGAAAGAATATATACTGTGTGATGATATATAAATGATCCCACTTACGTAAGGTCAAAAACAAGCAAAACTGGCCAGGCACAGTGGCTCACGCCTGTAATCCCAACACTTTGGGAAACAGGTGGGCAGATCACTTGACATCAGGAGTTCAAGACCAGCCTGGCCAACATGGTAAAATCTCTTCTCTACTAAAAATACAAAAATTAGCCAGGCATGGTGGCACACGCCTGTAGTCACAGCTACTTGGGAGGCTGAGGCAGGAGAACTGCTTGAACCCGGGAGGCAGAGTTTGCAGTGAGCTGATATCACACCACTGCATTCCAGCCTGGGCAACAGAGGGAGACTCCATCTCAAAAAAAAAAAAAAAAAAAAAAAGGCAAGCGAAACTAAACCATAGTTTTAGAAGACTGTATAGTAAATAAATTGGGAGTAGTTTTGGGGAAGGAACCTGAGCTTGGCTTTTGGGATGATGATAATGTCCTATGCATGATGGTGATGTATTATATGGAGCTATGTGTTAATGATGTATACATTATGTGTACTATATTTCAATATTTTAAAAAATTCAGCAATACCTTAATCAGACTAGGCTCACAGAATTTTTTTACACTATTAAACTAATGTAACAGTTGATGTGACAATTTATAAGCAACATTGATGAAACAATAGGAAGAAATCATCTATGGTTTATAACTAGTAGTAAATGAATAAGGTTTTACTCATTGAAGAAAATCTACATGCAGAATATACCCTGAAAAGTTTGAAGAAGGTAGCTCAATGAAGACAAAACTCCTTAGAGGACCCCTAACTGGACTTAAGACTTTAGGCTTCACTGGCATTCAATCACACTCTGTTCTCACCTACAGTTCACAAAGCCACCTACACCCCCTTCCAGTCCCAGAGACACTTTTTTCTTAATCCTGGACCAGATGAAGGCAGAACCATTTGAGCTCTGGCTGGCTAATAGCAGAATTGAAGTGTCTCCAACAATACAGAGCTGCAAATTGCTGTGATTCATCCTAGGTGAATGCAGTCCTTGGACACCTTATCATAAAAGGAACACAGTTGTTAAAACTCTTCTGTGTGGCCAAAGGCCCCCTCACCTACATGTGGGTACTCAGATTTGGGTTTTAATTTTTAATCTGAGAGCACAGTTTAATAACTGGGCCATTTTTCTGGTGGGGGGAGGGGAGTGTTGTCATTGCCATTGCTGCTGTTGTTATAAAAGAAAGGAAAGAGGGTGTGCAGCTCCCACAACGATCGACACAGAAGATGGGTGATTTCTGCATTTCCAACTGAAGTATCTGGTTCATCTCACTGAGACTGGTTGGACAGTGGGTGCAGCTCACGGAAGGTGAGCCGAAGCAGGGCAGGGCATCGCCTTACCCGGGAAGTGCAAGGGGTTGGCGGATTTCCCTTTCCTAGCCAAGGGAAGCTGTGACAGAGTGTACCAGGAAAAATCAGCTCACTGCCACCCAAATACTGCACTTTTCCATGGTCTTAGCAAACAGAACACAAGGAGATTATATCCTGCGCCTGACTCAGTGGGTCCCATGCCCACTGAGCCTTCCTCACTGCTAGCGCAGCAGCCTGAGATCAAACTGCAAGGCAGCAGCCTGGCTGGGGGAGAGGCGTCAGCCATTGCTGAGGCTAGAGTAGGTAAACGAAGCAGCCTGGAAACTCAAACTGGGTGGAGCCCACCACAGCTCATCAAGGCCTGCCTGCCTCTGTAGACTCTATCTCTGGGGGCAGAGCATAGCTGACCAAAGGCAGCAGAAACCTCTGCAGACTTAAACGTCCCTGTCTGACAGCTCTGAAGAGAGCAGAGGTTCTCCCAGCACAGTGTTTGATCTCTGAGAACAGACAGACTGCCTCCTCAAGTGGGTCCCTGACCCCTGTGTAGCCTAACTGGGAGACACCTCCCAGTAGGGGACGACTGACACCTCATATAGCAAGGTGCCCCTCTGAGATGAAGCTTCCAGAGGAAGTATCAGGCAGCAATATTTGCTATTCTGCAGCCTCCGCTGGTGATACCCAGGCAAACAGGGTCTGAAGTGGACCTCCAGCAAACTCCATCGGACCTGCAGCTGAGGGACCTGTTAGAAGGAAAACTAACAAACAGAAAGGAATAGCATCAACATCAACAAAAAGAACATCCACACCAAAACCCCATCTGTAGATCACCAACATCAAACACCAAAGGTAGATAAAACCACAAAGAGGGAGAGAAACCAGAGCAGAAAAGCTGAAAATTCTAAAAACCAGAGTGCCTGTTCTCCTCCAAAGGATCGCAGCTCCCCACCAGCAATGGAACAAAGCAGGATGGAGAATGACTTTGACGAGTTGACAGAAGTAGGCTTCAGAAGGTCGGTAATAACAAACTTCTCCGAGCTAAAGGAGGATGTCAAACCCATCGCAAGGAAGCTAAAAACCTTGAAAAAAGATCAGATGAATGGCTAACTAGAATTAACAGAGTAGTGAAGACCTTAAATGACCTGATGGAGCAGAAGACCATGGCACCAGAACTACATGATGCATGCACAAGCTTCAGTAGCCGATTTGATCAAGTGGAAGAAAGGGTATCAGTGATTGAAGATCAAATTAATGAAATGAAGCAAGAGGAGAAGTTAAGAGAAAAAAACAGTAAAAAGAAACGAACAAAGCCTCCCAGGCATATGGGACTATGTGAAAAGACCAAATCTACGTTTGATTGGTGTACCTGAAAGTGACGGGGAGAATGGAAACAAGTTGGAAAACACTCTTCAGGATATTATCCAGGAGAACTTCCCCAACCTAACAAGGCAGGCCAACATTCAAGTTTAGGAAATGCAGAGAACACCACAAAGATACTCCTCGAGAAGAGAAACTCCAGGACACATAATTGTCAGATTCACCAAGGTTAAAATGAAGGAAAAAATGTTAAGGGCAGCCAGAGAGAAAGGTTGGGTTACCCACAAAGGGAAGCCCAGTCAGACTAACAGCAGATCTCTCAGCAGAAACTCTATAAGCCAAAAGAGAGTGGGGGCCAATATTCAACATTCTTAAAGAAAAGATTTTTCAAACCAGAATTTCATATCCAGCCAAACTAAGCTTCATAAGTGAAGGAGAAATAAAATCCTTTACAGACAAGCAAATGCTGAGAGATTTTGTCACCACCAGGACTGCCTTACAAGAGCTCCTGAAGGAAGCACTAAACATGGAAAGGAACAACTGGTACCAGCCACTGCAAAAACATGCAAATTGTAAAGACCATTGATGCTAGGAAGAAACTGCATCAACTAACGGGCAAAATAACCAGCTAACATCATAATGACAGGATCAAATTCACACATAACAATATTAACCTTAAATGTAAATGGGCTAAATGCCCCAGTTAAAAGACACAGACTGGCAACTTGGATAGAGTCAAAACCCATCAGTGTGCTGTATTCAGGAGACCCATCTCACGTACAGAGACACACATAGACTCAAAGGGATGAAGGAAGATCTACCAAGCGAACGGAAAGCCAAAAAAAAAAAAAAAAAAAGAAGAAGAAAAAGAAAAAGCAGGGGTTGTAATCCTAGTCTCTGATAAAACAAACTTCAAACAAACAAAGATCAAAAGAGACAAGGCCATTACATAATGGTAAAGGGATCAATTCAACAAGAAGAGCTAACTACCCTAAATATATATGCACCCAATACAGGAGCACCCAGATTCATAAAGCAAGTCCTCAGAGACCTACAAAGAGACTTAGACTCCCACACAATAATAATGGGAGACTTAACACCCCACTGTCAATATTAGACAGATCAATGAGACAGAACGTTAACAAGGATATCCAGGACTTGAACTCAGCTCTGCACCAAGCAGACCTAATAGACATCTACAGAACTCTCCACCACAAATCAACAGAATATACATTCTTCTCAGCACTACATCGCACTTATTCCAAAATTGACCACATATTTGGAAGTAAAGCACTCCTCAGCAAATGTAAAATAATAGAAATTATAACAAACTGTCTCTCAGATTATAGTGCAATCAAATTAGAACTCAGGATTAAGAAACTCACTCAAAACTGCACAACTACATGGAAATGGAACAACCTGCTCCTGAATGACTACTGGGTAAATAACGAGATGAAGGCAGAAGTAAAGATGTTCTTTGAAACTAATGAGAATAAACACACAACGTACCAGAATCTCTGGGACACATTTAAAGCAGTGTGTAGAGGGAAATTTATAGCACTAAATGCCCACAAGAGAAAGCAGGAAAGATCAAAAATTGACACCTTAACATCACAATTAAAAGAACTAGAGAAGCAAGAGAAAACAAATTCAAAAGCAAGCAGAAGGCAAGAAATAACTAAGATCAGAGCAGAACTGAAGGAAATAGAGACACAAAAAACCCTTCAAAAAAAAAAAAAAAATCAATGAATCCAGGAGTTGGTTTTTTGAAAAGATCAACAAAATTGATAGACTGCTAGCAAGAGTAATAAAGAAGAAAAGAGAAGAATCAAATAGATGCAATAAACAAATGATGAAGGGAATATCACCACTGATCCCACAGAAATACAAACTACCATCAGAGAATACTATAACCACCTCTATGCAAATAAACTAGAAAATCTAGAAGAATTGCATAAATTCCTGGACACATACATCCTCCCTAGACTAAACCAGGAAGAAGTTGAATCCCTGAATAGACAAATAACAGACTCTGAAATTGAGGCAATAACTAATAGGCTACCAACCAAAAAAACTCCAGGACCAGACAGATTCACAGCTGAGTTCTAACAGAGGTAGAAAGAGAAGCTGGTACCATTCCTTCTGAAATTTTTCCAATCAATAGAAAAAGAGGGAATCCTCCCTAACTCATTTTATGAGGCCAGCATCATCCTGATACCAAAGCCTGGCAGAGACACAACAAAAAGAAGAGAATTTTAGACCAATATCCTTGATGAACATCGATGCGAAAATCCTCAATAAAATACTGGCAAACCGAATCCAGCAGCACATCAAAAATCTTATCCACCAAGATGAAGTTGGCTTCATCCCTGGGATGCAAGGCTGGTTCAACATACGTAAATCAATAAACATAATCCATCACATAAATAGGACCAAAGACAAAAACCACATGATTATCTCAATAGATGCAGAAAAGGCCTTTGACAAAATTCAACAGCGCTTCATGTTAAAAACTCTCAATAAACTAGGTATTGATGGAACGTATCTCAAAATAATAGGTATTTATGACAAACCCACAGCCAATATCATACTGAATGGGCAAAAACTGGAAGCATTCCTTTTGAAAACTGGCACAAGACAGGGAACTTCAACATAGTGTTGGAAGTTCTGGCCAGGGCAATCAGGCAAGAGAAAGAAATAAAAGGTATTCAATTAGGAAAAGAGGAAGTCAAATTGTCCCTGTTTGCAGATGACATGATTGTATATTTAGAAAACCCCATTGTCTCAGCCCAAAATCTCCTTAAGCTGATAAGCAACTTCAGCAAAGTCTCAGGATACAAAATCAATGTGCAAAAATCACAAGCATTCCTACACACCAATAACAGACAAACAGCCAAATCATGAGTGAACTCCCATTCACACTTGCTACAAAGAGAATACAATACTTAGGAATCCAACTTACAAGGGATATTAAGGATCTCTTCAAGGAGAGCTACAAACCACTGCTCAACGAAATAAGAGGACACAAACAAATGGAAGAACATTCCATGCTCATGAATAGGAAGAATCAATATCATGAAAATGGCCATAATGCCCAAGGTAATTTATAGATTCAATGCCATCCCCATCAAGCTACCAATGACTTTCTTCACAAAATTGGAAAAAACTACTTTAAAGTTCATATGGAACCAAAAAAGAGCCTGCATTGCCAAGACAATCCTAAGCAAAAAGAACAAAGCTGGAGGCTTCATGCTACCTGACTTCAAACTATACAAGTCTACAGTAACCAAAACAGCATGGTACAGGTACCAAAACAGAGATATACACCAACGGAACAGAACAGAGGTCTCAGAAATAACACCACCCATCTATAACCAACTAATCTTTGACAAACCTGACAAAAACAAGACATGGGGAAAGGATTCCCTATTTAATCAATGGTGCTGGGAAAACTGGCTAGGCATATGTAGAAAGCTGAAACTGGATCCCTTTCTTACACCTTATACGAAACTTAATTCAAGATGGATTAAAGACTTAAATGTTAGACCTAAAACCATAAAAACCCTAGAAGAAAACCTAGGCATTACCATTCAGGACATAGGCATGGGCAAGGACTCCATGACTAAACACTAAAAGCAATGGCAACAAAAGCTAAAATAGATAAATGGGATCTAATTAAACTAAAGAGTTTCTGTACAGCAAAAGAAACTACCATCAGAGTGAACAGGCAACCTACAGAATGGGAGAAAATTTTTGCAATCTACCCATCTGACAAAGGGCTAATATCTAGAATCTACAAAGAACTTAAACAAATTTAAAAGAAAAAAATCAAACAACCCCATCAAAAAGTGGGCAAAGGATATGAACAGACACTTTTCAAAAAAAGACATTTATGCAGCCAAAAGACACATGAAAAAATGCTCATCATCACTGGTCATCAGAGAAATGCAAATCAAAACCACAATGAGATACCATCTCACACCAGTTAGAATGGCCATCATTAAAAAGTCAGGAAACAACAGATGCTGCAGAGGATGTGGAGAAATAGGAACACTTTTACACTGTTTGTTGAAGTGTAAACTAGTTCAACCATTGTGGAAGACAGTGTAGCAATTCCTTAAGGATCTAGAACTAGAAATACCATTTGACCCAGTGATCCCATTACTGGGTATACACCCAAAGGATTATAAATCATGCTACTATAAAGACACATGCACACGCATGTTTATTGCAGCACTATTCACAATAGCAAAGACTTGGAACCAACCCAAATGTCCAACAATGATAGACTGGATTAAGAAAGTGTGGCACATATACACCATGGAATACTATGCAGTCATAAATAAGGATGAGTTAATGTCCTTTGTAGGTATATGGATGAAGGTGGAAATCATTCTCAGCAAACTATCACAAGGACAGAAAACCAAACACTGCATGTTCTCACTCATAGGTGGGAACTGAACAATGAGAACACTTGTACACAGGGTGGGGAACATCACCCGCCGGGGCCTGTCATGGGGTGGGGGGATGGGGGAGGGATAGCATTAGGAGAAATACCTAACGTAAATGATGAGTTAATGGGTGCAGCAAACCAACATGGCACATGTATACATATGTAACAAACCTGCACGTTGTGCACATATACCCTAGAACTTAAAAGTGTAATTAAAAAAAGAAAAGAAAAGAAACAAAAGAAGGGAGGGAGAAATTTCAAGACCCTTATAATCTTTCCCTAAGCTACCTTTTTAACATAGCTCTCATTGATACCCTGGGTAGAGCCTATATTAGCAAAATAAAAATCACCACCATGAAATACCGTGTGCTTCCTGCTTTTAAGCATTTGTCCATGCCTCGCCCACTCACTTCTTCCTGGATGAATCAACTCCACCTTCAAACTGCATCCAAGTGCAGTTTCCTCCAGACGGCTTTGCTGACCATCCCAGGCCCCGATGAGTCCTCTTTCCTGTGGACTCCAATTGCTATGTATTGACTCTCTTTTCAACACCCTAAATCAGAATACATGGTCTGCAGAGAATCTGTCTCCCACTTATGGGTGTGAGCAGCTATCTAGGAGATGTTGTTTGAAGCTGAAAATACTGGAATTTCACACATCAAAAGTTTTTTTTTTTTTACTTTAAGTGCGTATTATGGGCCAGGCACTATGTTAAACACATCATATACATGATTTCATTGAAACCTCATGACAATCCTCATAGGTAGGTATTATTATAGACATGCCCGAGGTTATACTAGTGACAATAAATTGCAGAGCCAGAATTCAAACTCGGCTCTGGATGAATATTTAGGACACGCTCACCACTCGGCCACCTAGCTGCTCACAGAAGTGAGAAAGGGTAGGGTGGCAGGGTTTGGATTGGGTGAGGCTTCCAGTGTGTGAAGAGAAGCTGGGAGAGATGAGGCTGGGCTTGACCACAAGCATATAGGAAGTACTCAGGGCTGGCATAAGTGGGATTTAGGCCCTCAAACTCTGTTGCTTTCCTTGTCCCATTTTCAAGTAAAGAATATTGGCATTTTCTGTAACTAATGGAAAGTACTATGCATATGCATTTCAAGCCTCATGCCAACTCAATGACGGCCCTTTAGCCACTGACACAGAAATTCTGGAGCCACCAATGCATGCAGCTTGTGGATGTCCACCTGTGAACACCCCAGTCCCTTGCACACTAGCTCATGTCTCCAATACTGCATGTGCTTTCCTCACCAAGATTGCCAGGGACCTTCCCAATATTCTAGGATTATATTATTATCTCTGCTGTTGTTCTAGTTTCCAAGTAACATAGAAATTATCTTTGGCCTCAAGAAGTGATAGAGCATTGTGGTGAAGAGTTTCTATCTCTTGTGCTCTTAGATAAATAAGATAACTTCCTTAGTTAGTCCGTGATTCTGCTCTATGGGATGATCTCTATAACTCACTGTTCTAGGAGGCCCCTAGTCTTGATCTTTGGGAAGTTCTTCACTGTTCATTTTCGTATTTGTCCATCTCCAAAGTGGGTGTTAGAGAGGACCCTCCCAAGTACAATGGTCTATATCTTATTATTTGTATGATTTGGGGCTTCTCTCAGTTTCAGTGTCCTCAGTGTAAAATGGAGATTATATTATACTTGCACCTATCTCATTGGGTTGGTTTTGTTGGTTAAATGAGCTAATATACATGGAGCACGTAGCAAATACTTGTATCTATAAATGCTAGTGTGTTAGTCTAGGTAGGCTAGATTCTGCTGTGGTAACAAACAGACCCATTCACATTCCATTGGCCATAACTCACATTCCATTGGCCATAACTCAGTCACATGGCCTCAGATAACTCTAAGGAAGGCTGGGAAATGCAGTCTTCATGTGTGCCTAGAAAGAAGAGGAATCAGGCTTGGTGAGCCCTTAGTCACTTTTTCACACAGACTGCCCTACTGGTTGTCAAAAAGCAATTTCACTCTGCTTCTCACACAAAGAACACACTTGTGCCCTTCCCTCAAATCCTATCCCATCACAGCATTCAGCCTCAAGTCCAGGATCTCTGAGTGATGGGCAGCAATTGCCATCAGGTGCTGATTTTGCTTCTCGAGTTTGGTGACCTATTAATGAAAAAGGAAAGTTATTCCCCATTACCCCCAGGGCCACTCACCATGCACATGATTACAGAGGAAGAATAAGATAATCATAATGAACGCCCATTAGAAAACAGAGGAAGAATGTGAGGCACACTGTGGTCACTGGACCTTGGCAATTCAGAAATCCCACTAGGCAGACATTGTAAAGGCTCTCTACCCTAAACGAGGAAGTCCTTAGTTAGGCTGTGATCTGCTCTATGGGATGATCTTTCTCACTCACTGTTCTGGGAGGCCCCTAGTCTTGTTCTTTGGGAAGCTCTTCCCTGTTCATTTTCATATTTGTTCATCTCCAACATGGGTGTTAGAGTAGACCCAAGTACACTCACTTTCTTCCTGAGATTTTCTTTAAAAAGCAACTCTCCATAATACAGACTTTTCTAGACCCGGCTTATGGTTTCTTTGGTAGTAAAATTGCCTCAAACAGTAGTAGGTTTTTGTTTCATTTGTTGCTAATCTGTTTCCTGTGTCATTAACAGCACTTCTTTTCTGATGCACCCTTCAAATATGTTTTCTTTCTCTGTCTAACTACCCGCCATGCCTCTCTTACTAACTTGAAGCTAGCAGGCTCATGAGACATCAACACCCTTCATCTCATCTGTACTACCAAGTGAGTCTAATGGACTTTTCTGGCTTCCTGTATCTTTTTTCTTTTTATTCAGGATCTAGAAGCAGTTTTTTCCTCTTCTATTCAAAGCCCAACATTAGATATTCTCTGTTTCCTTTCACCTGTGCTTGCCACACACAATTTTTGCCCAAGCACACCTTTGTCTTGTAATATCTTACTCAAAGCAGCCATAGTGGCCAACACACACTATCTTTCTGACTTACAATCACTTTTCTAGAACTTTAGGCAGGCAACCATTTTGTCAAATAGTTTGGCATAGCAAAACAGGGCTCCTCAGCCATTCCAGTCTCTAATAATTTGTCTCCTCACCAGCCCAGGTCACATGCTTTAGTTTTCTGTTGTAGGAGCACCCACTTCAAAGTATCAATGTTTAATTTGGTTAGGGTAGTCCACAGTATGCTGTGATTACAGAAAAGTCCAAGCATATAAAGGCTCAGTAGGGAAATAGTTTATTTCTCAGTTGTCTCAAAGTCTATTGCAGGCTGAGTAATTCTCCAGGAAGTAATTTGGGAGCTACAGCTCCTTCTACCCCATAGTTCTATTATATTCTATGCATGACTCTCAGAGTGGTCTTGAAAGTTCTCTCCATTCCAGTCTTATGGTAGAAGGATAGGTCTGAAAGTGGCATACATGACTTTCACCCATAATGTTCATTTTGGCTGGAGAGTCAGTCATAGCTGTGCCTAATGCCAGAGAGGCTGGGAAATGTAGTCCAGCTGTGTGCCCAGGAAGAGGAAGATACAGGTTTGGTAAGGATCTTGCCAGTCTCTGCCACTGTTAGCTATGAAATTGGCCCCAAGGCCTGTCTATTCTGCCTCCATAATCTCTCTACATATTTTTACTCCTATTTTCAATATCCCCTCTTTTGTATATATTCTTTCATAGTTTTTAATAATAACTTCTATGTTTCTCTCCAGGCTCTTATCCTTCAAATTTCATTTAGATAGTTGCCAGTTATTTTTCTAAAGCTCAGATCTGATCATATTACTCTCCTTGCCCAAAAATGCCATTGTCCTCCACACTCAGGATTACAGAATGAAGTGCAAACTCTTTAGCCTGTTGCATAAGTTCTACACACCCTATGCTCTCACATGGCAGACTTTGCCTATACGTCATGTTCTTTCCTTTCCTGCCTTAGTGCATGTGGTGTACTGTTGGCCTCCTCTACTTGTTCAAATAACACTTGTATGTTAAGACTTTCATGAAGCTGTCCTTGAGTTGCCACGTTAACAAGGTCCTTTCCTCCAACATTCTCAGTCCCTTGCTTATCAGTCCCCTTGATTCTTACATTGTTACTGTGATATGCTATAATTATTCTCACCTTATGTGTCCAAGGACAGCTGTATATTTACAAATAGCAGAACCAATAGGAAAGTTTGAAATATTTACATCTCCAAATTATGAAGGAAAACAAGATCAACATCCTTGTAAATGTCAACTCAAGACTTTAAGAAATCAGATTCTCTGTACAAGCTTTATGAGTCAGAAGAAAACATCTCTCCCACTGTTAGTGCAGGAAAAAGGAAGCATCTTGTCCATCTTGTCTAAAAACCTTTTTGTTATTAATAATTTAAAACACTTCATTGTAAACATTGGCTATTGTAATCCTATTAATTAGCCTTAAAGTTTTAAAGTAAGTAATCTGTAAGTATGATATGGAAAGAGAAAAAGAAGAGTAACTTTATAGTGAAGAAACCTGATAAACATTACCTCAGCCAGGTGATCAAGGTTAATATCTGATATAGTTTGGCTCTGTGTCCCCACGCAAATCTCATGTTGTACTGTAATTCCCAATGTTGGAGGTGAGGCCTGGTGGGAGGTAATTGGAACATTTGGGTGGTTTCTAATGGTTTAACACCATCCCCCTAATGCTGTCTTATAATAGAGTTCTCAGGAGACCTGGTTGTTTGAAAAGTGTGTAGCACCTCCTTTTTCATTCTCCCTCTCCTGCCAGCCATGTGAATATGTACTTGCTTCCCCTTTGCCTTCCACCATGATTGCAACTTTCCCAAGGTCTCCCCAGAAGCAGAAGCTTGTACAGTCCACAGAACTGTGAGCCTATTAAAACCTCTTTTCTATGTAAGTTACCCAGTTTTAGGTATTTCGTTATAGCAGTGTAAGAACAGAGTAATACAACATGAAAGTGATAAGTCTCATTGATCATATGTACTCTTGATATGATATGATGAGAATGATTATGTACATCTGTGGTCTTCCTCCAAAAATGTATTATGTCAGTTTAATCATGAGAAAAACACCAGACAAATTCCAATACCAATTTCTACAAAATACCTGACTAGTAGTCCTCAAAACTGTTAAGATCATTAGAAACAGGGAAAATCTGAGAAACTGTCAGAACCAAGAAGCAGCTAAGGAGACATGATCACCAAGTGTAATGTGGTAACATGATTAGGATCCTGAGACAGAAAAAGGACGCTAGAAAAAAAGAAAATGAGGAAATCTGAATAGTGCCAAGAAGTATGAGGGCTTCTAAAAAGTCATTTAATGCTGCTGTCCTTGTCATTGCTCAGGATCGTAACACAGACACACAAACACAATCGATGTATATAAAGATATATGCATATCCTGCTTAGTCATGTTCTTTCCCTGCCTCCTGTGGACAACTGCTCTAATGTGCTTAGTATGTATGTTGTATGAATGTGTTCCTGCAAAATGTATAATATTGTTTTGTGGGCATACCTCTTTAATTTACATAAATGATGAAGTGCCATATACCTCATCTCTTTTTCTTACTGTTTTTCAGTAAACACTATGTTTTTCACATCCATTTGTACTGTTGTGTGAACATCTAATCTACTTCTAATTGCTATAATGATATCACTCCTGGAAAGGCCCTTCTCTGCTAGTCCTACTCTCCTCCCACCACTCTCTTCTTCAAGGGGAGAGCTGGCTTTAGGTGGTTGGTGCATTCCTTTGAGTATAAGGCATAAGTATTCACTTACACAGACCTGATCATCTAGGAAAGTTTCCAAAGAAGTATTCTGGCTCATTTAATTAAGAAGACTATGCTGGCAGCATATTCAAAACTGTAATTAGTGCTACTCTATAAATCCTCTCTGCCTCCTGAGAATATTTGATTTCTGATTCCTACAGAACCTTATTTCCCTTAACCCCAGAGGACTATGTTAACTCCATCACTAAAATTCCCATAGGATTTCTGAGCATTATGTTTCAAGGTGTATACTTGTGAAAGTAGAGGAACTGGGAGACAGGAACTGATGGCTTTGTCCTGGCTATGCATCTGATTGGCTGGGCCACCCTGAGTAGGTCTTAACCTCCTTCTGTGTTGGGAAAATAAGTGCTGAAGTCACTCTCCTGAGTTTGAATCCCAGCTCTACAAATTTCTAGCTGTGTAACCTTGGGCAAATTATAGTACTCACCTAGGAAATGAGGTAATTAGGCCACAGATGATTTCCAGGGTGGATTCCAATTCAACTACTATTTCACTCATAGATGCTTTATTGGCTCTTAGCTCTGTTGGCATCATTCTGCCTGAAATGCCTTTCCCCATTGTCCTCTCCTCCCTTCAAAGTTCACTTCAGATGGCACAGCATGGTCTCTGTGAAGCTTTTTCTCATTCCTCCAGCCCTACCCCAAACTCCATCCCCCAACATTGGGAGAAATCTCTCAATACTTTTTTTCCATTACAAATACACATCTAACTAATTGGTAGATAGCACTGAGAAACCTGCTTCACTACATAAGAAATATAAACCTAGCTCAATACATGATGAGAATGATTATATAGTGAAGAAACCTGACAAACATTACCTCAGCTGCATGACCAAGGTTAATGTCTGATAGGGTTTGGTGCTATGTCCCCACCCAAATCTCATGTTGAAATGTAATTCCCAATGGTGGAGATGGGGCCCTGGTAGGAGGTGATTGGATCATGTAGGGGGCTTGGAATTGTACGTAAATATTAATTTTACATACAAAGTTAAGTTAAAGACTTTATTGTGAAAGGTGAAACTAAAGTTAAACTGAAAAAAGTAGGAGAATATGTTTGTGGCCCAGGATAGAGAAACAACTTTACCAAAGTTGTATCTACCTGGGGTGAAAGCACTGAGCCAACTCTAGACCTCTGTAGCATTCCTGTTTCACCTAGATGAACAAAAAATAAAAATAAAGGCAAAGAAACACTTCTGAAGCTTAGAGACTCAGGCACACTAAAAAAAAAACAGATTTAAACATGAGATTGTAGAACCGTTTCCTCTACTATACCTTATCGGTACATCAACAGAGGTACAAATTAATAAAAGTAGATTATAACTGAAAGAACTACCACACTATTTTAGAAGGATTTCTTAGGGAAACCCAAAGAAAATGGAGTAGAAAAATAAAACAAGGATTCTAGAGGAAACTAAAGCCTTGGGCACCTATAGCTATAGGAAACATTAAACACAGCCCAACCTGTAACCAGATGAACAGTGAATCTCCATACTAGAGGCCTGATTATCTGAGTTATAATTACTCAATATATCTGGCTTCATAATACTGAATATAATTACATACATTATATATAATACTCAATATAATTATATATAATTACTCAATATATCTATAAACAAAAATAGATAAATCACACAAAAAGGTAAAAAGAAAAACCACCTCATAATATAAAGAAACAAAGCAAAAATCTGAATCAGATTCAGATATGATGCAGATTTTGGAATTATCAGACAGGGAATTTAAAATCAATGGTTTAATATGAAGGGCCCTATTCAAAAAAATAGCATGCAAGAACAGATAGGTAATGTAAGTAGAGAGGCAGAAACTCTAAGAATCAAGAAATGCTGGAAATGAAAAACACCATATAGTTAAGTTCTTACTTTATGCTATCCATAGGTTCTCAGACATTGCAGCTTTAAGCAAAACAAGGTACTCTATGCTGTAGGAACTTACTCTTGTTTATATCAATTAGCCTACGGGAAAATTGGTTTCCTTACACAGTATGTCACTTAAAGTTGCAGTGTTCAAGAACCTATCAATGATGTTAAGTGAGGACTTACTGTAATAGAACTAAAGAATGCTTTTTATAGGCTCACCAGGAGACTGGACACAGCTGAGACAAGAATTAGTGAGCTTGAAGATACATCAGTAGCAATGTCACAAACTGAAATGCAAAGACAAAATAAAAGAATAATGATAATAAAAAGAACAGAATGTTCAAGAATTGTGAGACAATTACAAAAAAAAAGTATATATTTAATTGGAATTCTAGAAATAGAAGAGGATATATTTAATTGGAATTCTAGAAATAGAAGAGGATGTATTTAATTTGAATTCTAGAAATAGAAGAGGATATATTTAATTTGAATTCTAGAAATAGAAGAGAGCAAATATAGGAAAAGAAATACTTGAAATAACAATGGATGAGAGTTTTCAAAAATTAATCACAGATACCAAACCACAGATCCAGGAAGCTCACGGAAAGCCAAAGAGGATAAATATTAATACCAAAAAATTAAAACCCAGGTATATCATATTCAAACTACAGAAACCCAAAGACAAAGAGAAAATCTTAAACGAAGATGGAAGGGGAAAAAATCTTACCTACAGAAGAACAAAATAAGAATTACATCAGACATCTTGCCAGAAACAAGACCAAAAAAAAAAATAATTCAGTGCAATTTTTAAAGCATTGAAAGAAAGACACTCACCATCCTTAGAATTTTATATACAGCAAAATTATTCTTTAAAAGTGAAGGAGAAAAATAGTTTCTCAGACACACAATGGAAATGTATCATTATCACACCTGCCCTGCAGGAATGTTAAAAGAAATTTTTCAAGGAGAAGAAAAATGATATAGCTCAGAACTCAGATTTAAATAAAGAAAGGATACTTGGTGGAGGGGGCCAATATGGTGGACTAAAGGCAGCTCGTGTATGCTGCTCTCATGAAGAAAAACGGATGGGCTTGTGAACACCGATCCTGCAGGCCAATCATCTGAGAAACCACGTTGAGATCCAGCAAGGCAACCAGGGATACAGAGAGCAGAGAGGAGTGAAGCTGGGTGCCAGCCTGTCTGGACTCAGCAGGGAGCCAGGAGACCCTCTTTAACATGGGAAAGGGTGAGTGAATGGGAGCCCTCTAGGGGATTCACACTCTCCACAGGGACCCGGGCAAGGCTGGGAATGGGAGAATCCCCCTTCCCCCACTGCATCCCCCAACCATGCTTCTAGACTGAGGCAGAGAGCCACCTAGATGTTTTGTGGGTCAATGCTTGAGTCCAGGGGGCCTCTACAAGCCTTGGGCCCCAGAGCAGACAAGCACTGATACCATAGCCCCAGTAAAGGCTACAAATATGGTGCCTGGGAACAGTAAGATTGCTCCATCCACACCTTGCCAGAACAGGCTGACGACTTCTGGCCCAGTGGTCCCACTTCAGTCTGAAGTGGGCAGCCAGGTGGGCAATGCTTCTGACTCAGCGGTCCCACTTCTGTCTGAACTCAGCTGGATGGTGCAGTCTCCTGTTGATCTGGGTAGTACCTGGATGTCAGGGTGTGTGACCGCACCCACTTCTGCCACTGGTACCCAGGAAGGCAACATCTGCTAGAGCTTTTGGCAGAGTGGTCCCACTTTTGTGTGGACTAAGTCAGAGAGTGCAGTCTCCTACTGTCCTGGGAAATGCCCTGATGGCAGTGCAGGTAATTCCACTCATGCTCTGCACTAGAAGCCAGGCAGGAGGAGAAAAATGGCAGATAGAAGGCAGGACTAAATTGTAGCTCCCACTCGTGTGGATGTAGCAGCATGTAGAGACTCATATCATGAACTTTTGTTCCAAGAACTACTACAGAACATACCAGGAAAGCTAAGAGAATTCACAGACCCTTTGAAGGAAGTGGATTGCTCCTGCTGGCCCTGGGAGACAGCCAAAAAACTGCGAGTGTCCCAAGTGTGAAAGAGGAACCATCCTCCCCCAAACACACACCTTCACTGGGGAACCTGAAGGTCCAGATCATAGGAGAAGGATTTGACCTTACCTGGAGCTGAGACAAACTTAGAGAGCTGAGCAAAATACAGGAGTAGAAGCAGCAGCAGCAGGAAGAGCCTGTGGGCTCTCTTGGTCCCTAGGGAAGCCATTTCTGACTTTGTCTCAGAGGGATCTTTAGGGAGGGCTGCCAGAGGAACTGGGAAAAGACCACAGGGAGAAGGAAACTTCCAGTTGAATGTTGTAACAATTTCAACTGGACGCAAAGTTTCCCAGACAGAACTCAGGGGAGGGGGTGAATCAGGAGTGCAGACACAGCACAGAAGCTGCTGGAGGCAGGGAGGCACAAAACCTAAAAACCCTGTTTGCTTTCTCAACTGGGAGTCTGGGAACATGGGGCAAGTTCTCAGCCCTGCTCACCCACTACTTGGAAATAAACTTGGTGCCATCGGGCGGGCACAGTGGGAGTGAGATCGGCCTTTTGGGCTCCATGGGAGCTGGGTGAGGCCTTTAACTGCCAGCTTTCCCCCACTTCCCTGGCGACCTGCATCACACAGAAAAGGCAGCCATAATCCCCCCTGGAAACATAACTCCATTGGCCTGAGAAACACACTCCCATATGATAGGCCACAAAACAAGTCTCAATAAATTTAAGAAAACTGAAATTATATCAAGTACTCTCTCAGACCACAGTGGAATAAAATTGGAAATCAAATCCAAAAGGAATCCTCAAAACCATGCAAATATATGGAAATTAAAAACTTGCTCCTGAATGATCATTGGGTCAATAATAGTCAACAATCAAGATGGAAAATTTAAAAATTCTTTTAATTGAACAATAATAGTGGCATAACCTATCAAAACCTCTGAGATACAGCAAAGGTGGTGCTAAGAGGAAAGTTCATAGCATTAAATGCTTACATCAAAGTCTGAAAGAGCACAAATAGAAAATCTAAGGTCACAAACCAAACCACAAGCCCAGTAGAAAAGAAATAAACAAGTTCAGAACATAACTAAATGAAATTCAAACAAAAAAATACAAAAAGATAAATGAAAGAAAAAGCTGGTTTTTTAAAAGGATAAATAAAATCGATAAACCATTTTTGAGATTAACCAGGAAAAGAAGAGAGAAGACACAAATAAGCTCAATTAGAAATAAAACAGGAGCTATTACAACCAATAACACAGAAACTCAAAAGATCATTCAAGGCTGCTATGAACACCTCTATTTGAATAAACTAGAAAACCTAGAGAAGATGAATAAATTCTTGGAAATGTACAACCTTTCTAGATTAAACCAGGAAGAATTAGAAACTCTGAAAAGACCAACAACAAGCAGCAAGATTGAAATGGTAATTAAAAAGTAACCAAGGAAAAATAGTCCAGGGCCAGACAGATTTACAGCTGAATTCTGTCAGACGTTCAAAGAAAAATTGGTACCAATCCCATTGACGCTATTCCGAAAGATAGAGAAAGAGGAAATCCTCCATAAATCATTCTATGAAGCCAGAATCACCCTAATAACAAACCCAGAAAAGGACATAACTTAAAAAAAAAAAGAGAGAGAGAAAACTACAGACCAATATCCCTGATGAACATAGATGCAAAAAATCATCAACAAAACACTAGCTAACCAAATACAACAGCATATAAAAAAGATAATCCACCATGATCGAGTGGGTTTCACACCAGTGAGAGTTTAACATATGCAAGTCAATAACTGTGATACACCACATAAATAGAATTAAAAACAAAAAAATCACTTGATTATCTTAACAGATGCAGAAAAAACATTTGACAAAATCCAGCATCCCTTTATGATTAAAACTCTCAGCAAAGTCAGCATAGAAGGGACATACCTTAAGGTAATAAAAGCCATCTATGACAAACCCACGGCCAACATTATACTGAATGGGAAAAAGTTGGAAGCATTCCCTCTGAGAAACAGAACAAGACAAGGATGTCCACTCTTACCACTTCTATTCAACATAGTACTGGAAGTCCTAGCCAGAACGATCAGACAAGAGAAAGAAACAAAGGGCATCCAAATTGGTAAAGAGGAAGTCAAACTATTGCTTTTGCTAATGACACGAGTGTATATCTAGAAAACCCTAAAGACTCATCCAAAAAGCTCTTAGAACTGGTAAATTAATTCAGCAAAAGTTTCAGGTTACAAAATTAATGTACACAAATCAGTAGCCCGGCTATGCACCAACTGTGACCAAGCTGAGAATAAAATCAAGAACTCAACCATTTTTACAATAGCTGCAAAAAATTAAAAAATTAATAAAATACTTAGGAATATACTTAAGGAGTTGAAAGACCTCTACAAGGAAAACACAACACTGCTGAAAGAAATCACAGGCAACACAAACAATTGGAAACACATCTCATGCTCATGGATGGGTAGAATCAATATTGTGAAAATGATCATACTGCCATTCTACAAATTCAATGCAATTCCCATCAAAATACCACCATCATTCATCACAGGACTAGAAAAAACAATCCTAAAATTCATATGAAACCAAAAAAGAGCCCACATAGCCAAAGAAAGACTAAGCAAAAAGAACAAATCTGGAGGCATTACATTACCTGACTTCAAACTATACTACAGGGCTACAGTAACCAAAACAGCATGGTACTGATACAAAAACAGACATGTAGACCACTAGAACAGAATAGAGAGCCCAGAAATAAAGCCAAACACCTACAACCATCTGAACTTTGACAAACGTCATAAAAACAAGCAATGGAGAAGGGAGTCCCCATTGGCCCTGGGATAACTAGCTAGCTACATGGAGAAGATTGAAACTATACCCCTTCCTTATACCACATACAAAAATCAACTCAAGATGGATTAAATACTTCAGTGTAAAACCTAAAACTGTAAAAAATTAAAACCTAAAACTGTAAAAACTAATAAAATCCTTAGGAAATACCAATTTGGACGTATGCCCTGGCAAAGATTTCATGATGAAGATGCCCAAAGCAATTGCAATAAAAAAAAATTGACAAATGTGACCTAATTAGACTAAAGAACTTCTGTACAGCAAAAGAAACTGTCAACAGAGTCAACAGACAACTTACTGAATGGGAGAAAATATTTGCAAACTATGCATTCAACAAAGGTCTAATATCCACAGTCTATAAGGAACTTAAAAAGATTTACAAACAAAAAGTAACCTCATTAAAAAATGGACAAAGGGCATGAACAGACACTTCTCAAAAGAGATGTACACATGGCCAAAAATCATATGAAAAAATGTTCAACATCACTAATTGTTAGAGACATGCAAATCAAAACCACAATGAGATATCATCTCATACCAGTCAGAATGGCTATTATTAAAAAGTCAAAACAACAGATGCTGGTAAGGTTGCAGAGAAAGGGGAGTGCTTACAAACTGCTAGTGAAAATGCAAATTAGTTCAGCCACTATGGAAAGCAGTTTTGCAATTTCTCAAATAATTCAAAGCAGAATTACCATTTGACTCAGCAATCCCATTATTGTGTATATACCCAAAGGAATATAAATCATTCTACCATAAAGATGCATGCATGCATATGTTCATTGTAGCACACTATTCATAGTAGCAAAGACATAGAATCAACCTAAATGCTCATTAATGTAGACTGGATAAAGAAAATGTGGTATGTATACACTATGGAATACTATGCAGTCACAAAAAGAATGACATGTCCTTTGTGGCAACATGGATGGAGCTGGGGGTCATTATCCTAAGTGAACTAACACAGGAACAGAAAACAAAATACCACATGTTCTCGCTTATAAATGGGAGCTTAACATTTAGTACATATGGATACAAAGAAGGGAACTACAGACGCTGGGGCCTACTGGAGGGTGGAGGGTGGAAGGAGGGTGAGGATTGAAAGACTATCAGGTATTATGCTTATTACCTGGGTGAAAAAACAAAACAAAACATACACCAAACCCTTGAAACATGTGATTTACTTGTATAACAAACCTACACATGTACCCCTGAACAGTAATAAACTTTTAAAATATTAAAAATAAATGAAAAAAACACAAAGCTATAAAAACCCTAGAAGACAACCTAGGCACTACCATCCTGGACATAAAAAAGGGCAAATATTTTATAACAAAGATACCAAAAGCAATTGCAACAAAAGCAAAAATTGACCAGTGGGATCTAATTAAATTTAAGAGCTTCTGCACAGCAAAAGAAACTACCAACCAGACTAGAGACAACCTACAGAATAGGAGAAAACATTTGTAAACTATGCATCTGACAAAGGTCTAATATCCAGCATCTACAAGGAACTTAATTTTAGAGGAGAAAAACAACCTCTTTAAAAAGTGGGCAAAGAACATGAATAGATACTTCTCAAAAGAAGACATATACGCACCCAACAAGCACATGAAAAAAAGCTCAATGTAACTGATCATTAGAAACGCAAATCAAAACCACCATGAAATACCATCTCACACCAGTCAGAATGGCTATTAAAAAAAAAATTTTAAAAACTGATGCTGCTGAGGTGGCAGAGAAAAGGGAAGACTTATACACTGTTGGTGGAAATGTAAGTTAGTTAAACCATTATGAAAAGCAGTATGGCAATTCTTCAAAGAGCAAAAAGCAGAATTACCATTTAACCCAATAATCCCATTATTGGTATATACCCAGAGGAATAGAAATCATTTTACCATAAAGACACATGCACGTGAATGTTCATTGTAGCGCTATTCACAATAACAAAGACATGGAATCAACCTAAATGCCCATCGATGACAGGTTGTATAAAGCAAATGTGGTACCTCTACACCGTGTAATACTATGCAGCCATAAAAAAGAATGAGATCATGTCTTTTGTGGGAACATGAATGGAGCTGGAGGCCATTATCCTTAGCAAACTAATGCAGGAACAGAAAACCAACTATTGTATGTTCTCAATTATAAGTGGGAGCTAAATTATAAGAACTTGAGAAAGAAGGAAACAACATACACTGGGCTCTACTTGATGGTGGATGGTGGGAGGAGGGAGAGGAACAGAAAAGATAACTGTTGGGTACTGGGCTTAATAGCTGGGTGATGAAATAATCTGTACAACAAACCCCCAAGACACAAGTTTACCTGTGTAACAAACCTTCACATGCACCCCAAACGTAAAATAAAAATTAAAAAAATAAACAAATAAAAGAAATGAAAAAAAGGAAAAAAGAAATGAAGAAAGGAAGAATGCTAGAGATGGAATGAAGGTAAAATAAAATCTTTTCTTATTCTTGATTGATCTAATAGATAACTGTTCAATGTAATTATATTAACAATATATCAAGCAGTTATAGCATATGAATGAATGAAATGAATAACACCAATACTATAAAGGATGGCAGGAATGAACTGGAAATACTATGTTATAAGGTACTTGAATTGAATGTAAAGTGGCATAGTCTTATTTAAAGGTGAACATAAAGTTATACATTGCAAATTCTAGAGCAGCTATTAAAATTTTTTTAAATTGTGGTAACTGTTGTACTAAGAGAGAAGAAATATAAAATGACATAAAATGTTCTACAACTAGAGAAGGCAGAAAAAGAGGGAAAAAATAAAAAATAAAAAGTACAATTAATAGAAAACAGTTACAAACATGGTAGTTATTAAACCAACTATATCCATAATCATATTAAAATGTGAATGGTTTGAATATGTAAATTAAAAGACAGAGACTGTCAGAATAGATAAAGGAGACCTAACTATATATTGTTTACAAAAAAAACCCATTTAAAATATAAAAGCACAAATAGGTTAAAAGTAAAGTGATAGAGAAATGTCTACCATAATAATACTAAGCAAGAGAAAGTTGGAGTAGATTTGTTAATTTCAAATAAATCAGATTTCAGAACAAGGAAAATCATCAGGGATAAATTATCAGGGGCATTTCATAATGATAAAAGGGCTAATTTTCCAAGATACATAATAATCATTAACGTGCATGCACCTGATAGCAAAGCACCAAAAGACATGAGGCAAATACTAATAGAACCGAAAAGAGAAGTAGACAAATCTGTTATTATGGTTGAAGACTTAAATAAAAAAAACTCTCCCAGTAATTGATATCTCCAGGAGGTAGAAAATCAGTAAGAATACAGCTGAAGTGAACAACATCATTAACCAATTAGCAATTTAATTAACATATAAAAAGTATCTCACCCAACAACAGCAGAATACACATTCTTCTCAAATGGAATGTTTACCAGGATCACATTCTGGGTCACAAAACATACCTGGACAAATTTAAAAGATAAGAAATCATACAAATTATATTTTCAAGTGTCAATGTAATTGAGCTGGAAATCAATAACAAAATGATAGAATATTCCCAAATATTTGGAGATGTAACAATGCTTTTCTAAATAACACATGGATGAAAGAATAAGTCTTAAGAAAAATTAAAAATATATAAAACAAAATAAAAATAAAAGTTATCAAACTATGTTGGGTGCAATGAAAGCAGTGATTACAGGGAAATTTATAGCATTGAATTGCCATCTTGGAAAAAAGAAAAACTCTAAAAATCAATCATTTAAAGTTCTACCTTAAGAAACTTGGGAAAAAAAGAGAAATTTAAGCCTTAAGCAAACAGAATTAAATAATAAAAATTACAATAAAAATCAATAAAATTTAAAAATGTAAAACAATAAGGAAAATTAACAAAACCAGGCACTTGCTCTTTGAAAAGATCAATATAATTGATAAGCGTCTAGCCTGGCTAACCAAGAAAAAAAGAGAGAAAACACAAGTTGACAGTATCAGAAATGAAATAGGGGTTATAACTACTGCTCCAATGAACATTAAAAGGTTAACAAAGCCTTACAGTAAACAGCTGCATGCCCACAAATTTTATGTTTCATAGATAAATTCCTTGAAAGACAAGAACTACAAAAACTCATACAAGAATAATATGAATGTGTCTCTATTAAAGAAATTAAATCAATAATGAACAATCTTCTATTAAAGAAACCAACAACTCCAGATGGTTTCACTGATGAATTCTACTAAATACTGAAAGAAATAATACCAATTTTCTATTATTTCTTCCAGAAAATAGAAGCACAGAGAAAATATCCTAATTCATTTTATCAGGAAAGCATTACTTTAATAACAAAACCAGATAAAGACATTACAAGAAAGGAAAACTTCAGACCACCTGTGATTATAAATCTTCAACAAAATAATAGCAATTTGAATGCAACAACGTGTAAAAAGAATTATATGTCACAAATAGCATTTATCACAGTTATGTAAGGCTGGGTTAATTTTTTTTAAGTCAATATATCACATCAACAGGTTAAAGAAGAAAAATATTCTTCTAAACACTTGTATTAGTCCATTTTCACACTGCTGTAAAGAACTGCTCAAGACTAAGTAATTTGTAAAGGAAGGAGGCTTAATTGACTAACAGTTCTGCATGGCTGGGGAGGCCTCAGGAAACTTACAATCATGGTGGAAGGGAAAGGCGAAGCAAGGCACCGTCTTTACAAGGCAGCAAGAAGGAGAAGTGTTGAGAGAAGGGGGAAGAGCCCTTTATAAAACCATCGGATCTCGTGAGAACTCACTCACTATTATGAGAACAGGATGGGAGAAGCCACCCCCCATGATAAAATTGCCTCCACCTGGTCTCTCCCTTGACATGTGGGGATTATGGGGATTATAATTCAAGATGAGATCTAGGTGGGAACACAAAGCCTAACCATATCACCACTGATTCAGCAAAAGCATTTGACAAAATCCATAATTCATGGTAACTAATGATAAAAACTGTCAGCAAACTAGAAAGAAAAAACAACTTCAACTTGATAAAGAACATCTACAAAAACTCACACCTGATGTACTTATGGATAAGAATCTGAATGTTGACCAGCTGCGGTGGCTCACGCCTGTAATCCCAGCACTTTAGGAGGCCAAGGTGGGTGAATCACGAGGTCAAGAAATCAAGACCATCCTGGCCAACATAGTGAAACCACATCTCTACTAAAAATACAAAAATTAGCCAGTCGTGGTGGTAGGTGCCTGTAGTCCCAGCTACTCAGGAGGCTGAGGGAGGAGAATCAGTTGAACCTGGGAGGCAGAGGTTGCAGTGAGCAGAGAGATTGCACCACTACACTCCAGCCTGGTGACAGAGCGAGACTCTGTCTCACCAAAAAAAAAAAAAAAAATCTGAATGTTTTCCCCCTAAAATTGAGTACAAAGCACAATGTCCCTGCTCACTGCTCCTGATTAATATTGTACTAGAAGTCCCAGTTAGTGCAAAGAAAAAGAAACAAGGAGTGTACACACTGGGAAGGAAGAAATTAAACTGCTTTTGTTTATATGTGACATACATGATATGAATGTCTGTGTAGAGAGTCCCATAGAATAAATTTTAAAAACCCACAAAAACCTTTCTAAAACTAATAAGTGACAATAGTAAGACTGCAGAATACAAGGTTAATATGCAAAACCCTATTGCTTTTCTTTATACCAAGAATGAACCATTGGAATTTGAAATATATAACACCGTGCCATTTATATTAGCATCAAAATACTTAGATGTACTTGAAATTCTTAGGCATAAATCTAACAAAATATGTACAGGTTCTGTATGCAGAGAACTACAAAACTCTGATGACAGAAGTCAAAGAAGATCTAAACAAGTGGAGAGATATTCCATGTTCATGGATTAGAAGACTTAATATTGTTGTCAATTTTTCCCTACTTGATTTACAGGTACAGCATGATCCCTATCAAAATCTGAGTAAGCTATTTAGTGGATAGTAACAAACTGATTTTAAAAGTCATGTGGAAGGGCAAAGAAACCAGAATAACTTACTGTACTGAAGAACAATGTTGGAGGACTGACTAGATTTCAAGACTCACTATATTCTGAAGATCTAATGTACATCATGGGTGGCAATGGATGTGTTACTTAAGATTGTGACAATCACTACATTCCTCTAGGAAAGAATGCAGACTGTAACCAGAGACTCTGTTATAACTCCACCGAAGGGGTTGGAAAACACCAACCGAAGTCATTCTGGAAATAAATGGAGTATGTAAGACAACAGTCAAGGAACTATACATAAACATTGTACTAGTTGATAAAGACATTTCCCAGGGAAATGAAGTTAAGAAAAGTTAACAATTCTGAGCCCACTATACATATATACTGGGATTGGATGACTAAGTAAACATGGCAGAAGATGGGAGCCAGATGTCTCACTGTTGGAATGGAAATTTCTAGATCTGCAAGAGGATGGCTAGAATGATGCATATAGTAATGGGTATAGTCAAAGACATCAGTAAGAACTCATATTTAACTTAATATAGATGCAAATAGATATAGATAGAAATATTTATAGATATTCGTATAGACAAGGACAAGTGTACACACATATATTTCTTTGCCCTCTCAGTTGAGGGAGTCTGAGAACAATGACTTCCCAGTACAAACCAGCATAATAGATTTTTTTAAAAAAAAAAATACCATTCCACTTGAGAAACGGTTAATTCTAGCAATGGGGTAGAAAATATACAAGATGAGTCTGGAGCATCTTATAATGCCAAGAATTGCTGAAACACACAAAAAACCTGCAGTCTATTAATGAGAAGGTCAAAGGAGCATAAGAACCAGCTGAAAGAACTCCCAATGGCCAAAGCTGAAACAATTTGAACAAATCATTACAATCTAATAAAGTAGCATTGGGTTATAACCCCAAGCACAAAATATGTATCCTTAAATCTATACTGATATAAATAAATGATTAATAAATGGGTTAGAGAGAAATCTTCCACACAGAAGAATTCCAAATAATTTTTAAAAATTATGTAGCTACTTTGCCCTCAAAGAGGTAAGCATAAATCTCCCCTCAAGTGGCCTGCACGTACTGACTTCCTTCCAAAGAGTATGCAAAGCAGGAAAAGCATAACTTTACAATGGAGAAATGTGACGAACACGTCAGCCAGGTGATCAACATCAACATCAACAGTTATAAATCATGTCAATAGTATGTACATGTACCCTGGATGTGATGTAATGAAAACTATACTTTACCTCTGAGATCTTCCTCCCAAAGACCCATAATCCTGGTCTAATTATGATTTTTTAAAAAATCAGACAAAGTTCAATAGAGGGGTATCTTAGAAAGTACCTAACTACAACTCCTCAAAGCTGTCAAGATAAACAAAAACAAGGAAAGTCTGAGAAACTGTCATAGCCAAGAGAAGCCTAAGGAGACATGACAATTACATGTCATAGGATGAGATTGCAAAACAGAAAAAACATTAGGTAAAAACTGAGGAAATCCAAATAAACTATGGGCTTTAGTTAACTACAAAAAAAATTTAAGAAAAAAAGATAGCCAACATATGTATTGTATGTACTAGGTGCTGTTGGCTTTATGTATATTAACACTATTCATCACCACAACCCCATGATGTAACATTTTTTCTTATTAGAATAGTCGAGACCTGAGTATATTTACAGGCCAGGAGAAAGAATCTAATTGACAGTGAGAGAGACTGGTAGGTTAGAAAAGACACGATTGATTAAGCAAAGTTCTGAAGGAGCTGCCTCAAACTTGCCTCTGTATCAGAGTCACCTGAGGGGCCTTATTAAAATCTAGACACCCCTCCCACCCAGCTTCAGGCCCCACCTCCAGATTCTGATTCTGTAGACTGGAGCTGGGTGGTTTAGCAAGCATCCCCGGTGATTCCAATACAGGTGATACTAGGACTACATATTGAAAAACAATCCACGGCTCAGATGAAGCTAGTAGCCATGGATTAAGGAAAGAGAAAATGCCCAAGAATGTGCATGGTCCAGGAGCTGGTGAGTTTTGCCTGGTGGCTTCCTTTCTCTAAGAAGTGGGAGATAATATCTCTACCAATGAGGAGCTATTTGAAGCAGCTGGGTGCTAGGCAAAAGCAGACAGGTTGGGAACAGACTTGGAGGGAGTAGAAAACACTTGAATGGGATTAGGGAAGGGATTCTTAGGTAACCCTGATCCAGGAAGTCAAAAATTGTAAAGAAGATACTTAACTCGTTGTGAAGGGTGTGAAATACAACTGCTGTTAGTTTTCTACAGAGCTTAAGCAAAGGTGTTTGTAAGGAGAACCTTGTAGGAAATGAAAAGAAACAGATTTCCAAAATTATAATTATGAAGGTCCAACAACGCCCTTTCAACAACACCTAATAGAAAGGCAGCATGGTGTAAAATGCTCTACACCTGGAGCTAGCTAGCCCTCCTGGCCTCTGCCACTTAGTTAACCTTTCTATACCCAGTCTCATCATTTATAAAATAGGGATAGCAGTGGTCTCCACCTCACACAATCATAGTAAGATTTAAATAGTGAACACATGTAAAATTGTTAGAGCAGTGCCTGGCTTGTGGTCAACACTCAAGTGACTGTTAGCTCATTCATACTCCACAATCAGTACTCTCCTTGAATATTGTTCTCTAACATTTCTAAAGTAGTTTTACACACATAACTCAATCTTACTTCAGACATAAATATTTTGTGCCCATTCTACAGGCAGAGAAACTGAATATAAAAGGAAAACAAGTTGTTTGCTTAAGCCTATATAATTAGTACGTGACCAAACAGGAACTGGAAACCAAGTCCCCAAACTCCAGCTGCACTTTCTGAGTGTCTACTATGTGCTAGGTATTGAGGAAGGTGTTTTTTTCACACACTGCTATTATCAATTGCGGAAACTTAGGATAGAGTCAAAGGCCAAACTGTAAAGAAGTGGTGGAACCAGGCCTGAAGAGGAAGTCAGGCTAGATCCAAAGCTGGCTTTCCTTCAGAGATCTCCACCCCTCTGGGTGGAATGTATGTTCCCCACTATCTTGGCTGCCTCTGAGTGACACATGCTGGCACTTACTAGCATGAGGGGATCAGAGATAAATGAATTTCAGTCTTGTCCAAGAAAAGCTCATAGCTTTGTGGAGAACATGAAACAATACACACATAACTGCAATACAAGGTGGAATAGTGCTGTGGGAACTCCAAGAAGGGAGAAATTCCTTCCAGCTGGAGGTGCCATTTAGAGGCAAGGCTTGAAGGAGAGTAGGATTGGGGTAAGTGGATGAGGAGATGAAGATGGGGGTGGGGAAGGGAGCAGGGCAGCAGGAATGCATAAGCTGAGTGGTCAAGCTGCCACAAGGACCTCCCAAGAATAGCCAGTTTGTGCACAAGGCTTTTGGAAGGTAAGATTCGAAAGGGAATTTAAAGTTGGTTTGCAGGGAACAAGGAGTATGAAGCTAAAGAGTTTGAACTTTAATTCTGTAGGCAATGGACAGCCATCAGAGTTGGGCTGCTTTTATTTTTTTTGCAAGTGCTTTCTAAAATTTACCTTTTTAAAAAATTTTTAGATAATTGAAGATTCACATGCAATTGTAGGAAATAATACAGAGAGCTCTCTGGTAACTTTGACTCAGTTTCCCTGATGGTAATATCTTGCAAAATTACAGTCAATGTTACAACCAGAATATTAACATCGATACAGCCCACTGATCTTATTCAGATAGTTTTACTTGTATTCATTTGTGTATGTACTTAATTCTATGGAATTTTACCATGCGTGTAGGTTTGTATCTCTACAACCACATTCAAGATACAGAACAGTTCTCTCAACACAATAATTTCTCATATTGCTATTTTACAAACATATCCACCTTCATCCCATGCCTCCTCCCTCATCCTTAACCCTTGGCAACTACTAATAATACACGATTTCTATAATTTTGTCATTTCAAGATTGCTACAAAGATAGAATCATACGGTATATTTCAGGATTGGCTTTTTTCACTCAGCATAATTTTTTGTGATTCATCTAAGTAGTTTCATATATCAATAATTCTTTTTTATTCCTGAGTAGCATCCCATAATATGAATATGTTGAAGTCAAATAAAATATAGAGACAAATTTCTAAATTCAAAATGTTTTATTAGGGAAGTAAGAATTACAATTTGGGACATGCATACAGACTGGTTGATCTTCAGTCTTTTTTGTGTGGAGGCAAAAAAAGGTTGGAGTTTCCACAAGAAGGAGAAATGTTTTATATTGTTTTGAAAGAAAGTTCATTGGCACTAGTAACATTTTTTAGGGAGCTGGCAAGTACTGATTGGTGAGTGATGGTTGTGGATAAACCTAGTCTAGCATCTCAGCAAGATGTTTCAGTAGCTATTAGATAAAACTGGCTTCAGGCTACAACTGGCAGTTTCATAAGCCAAGATTTCAGAAAATTATATTCTTGGAGCAATGTTATATGTTCTGAGTGATTTTCCCCTTCGATCCCTTGAATATGATTTAGTTGAGGATGACAAAATTGACCCAACTGGTATGATCAACTTCCCATTTTCTTCTTTTGATCAAGATCTTTCTCTGAAAGCATCACTGATCAATCATCTTGAATTTGGCTTAATTGTTCCTCAGTGCTGGGGTAAGCCTGTCCTGGTTGTCTCTGTCCCATGTCGGAAAGAAGGCATGAGGGTCTATGTCAGGGGCTTGGGCCACATTTGAATAACAAAAAGTCCAGAAGGAAAAATTTTCTCAGGGTAATTTTCTCTGGGAAGTATCAAGTTTCCTCTTATCAATACCATGGACAACAGCAATCACCTTGAAGTGTTGGGCTAACATTATCTTCTAAAAATATTTTTAAATTTAACTTTTATTTTAAGTTCAGGGGTACATGTGCAGGTTTGTATATAGGTAAACTTGTGTCATGGGAATTTGTTGTACAGATTATTTCATCACTGAGGTATTAAGCCTAATATCCATTAGTTACTTTTCCTGATCCTCTCCCTCCTCCATCCTCTACCCTCCAATAGGCCCTGGTGTGTGTTGTTCTCTAAATGTCCATGTGTTCTCATCATTTAGCTTCCACTTATAAGTGAGATCATGTTGTATTTGGTTTTCTGTTCCTGCATTAGTTTGTGAAGGATAATGGCCTCCATCTCCATCCATGTTCCTGCAAAGGACATAATCTCATTCTGTTTTATGGCTGCATAGTATTATATGGTATATGTGTGCTACATTTTATCCAGTATACCGTTGATTGGCATTTAGATAGATTCCATGTCTGTGCTATTGTGAATAGTGCTGCAGTGAACATACATGTACATATATGTCTTTATGAGAGAACAATTATATTCCTTTGGGCATATACCCAGTAATGAGATTGCTGAGCCAAATGGTAGTTCTGCCTTTAGGTCTTTGAGGAAGCACCATACTATCTTGTTTTCCACAATGGTTGAACTAATTTACACTCCCACCAACAGTGTATAAACGTTCCTTTTTCTCCACAACCTTGCCAGCATCTGTTATGTTTTGACTTTTTAATAATAGCCATTCTAACTGGTGTAAGATGGTATCTCATTGTGGTTTTGATTTGCATTTCTCTAATGATCAGTGATGAGCTTTTTTTCATATGCTTATTGGCCACAAGTATATCTTCTTTGAAAAGTGTCTATTCATGTCCTTTGCCCACTTTTTAGTGGGGTTGTTTGTTTTTCTCTTATATATTTAAGTTCTTTCTAGAAGCTGGATATTAGACCTTTGTCAGATGCATAGTTTGCAAAAAATGTTTTCCCATTTTGTAGGTTGTCTGTTCACTCTGTTGATAGTTTCTTTTGCTGTGCAGAAGCTCTTTTGTTTAATTTGGTCCCATTGGTCAATTTTGGTTTTGTTGGAGTTGCTTTTGGCATCTTCATCATGAAATCTTTGCCCATCCCTATGTCCAGAATGGTATTGCCTATGTTGTCTTCCAGGATTTTTATAGTTTTAGATTTTAAAATTGTCTTTAATCCATCTTGAGTTGATTTTTGCATATGGTATAAGGAAAGATTCTAGTTTTAATCTTCTGCATATGGCTAGCCAGTGATCCAAGCACCATTTATTAAATAGGGAGTTCTTTCCCCATTGCTTGTTTTTGTCAGCTTGTTGAACATCAGATAGTTGTAGATATGCAGCCTTATTTCTGGGCTCTCTATTCTGTTTCATTGTTCTATGTGTATGTGTTTGTACCAGTACCATGCTGTTTTGTTTACTGTAGCCCTATAGTATACTTTTGCCCAACTATAGTATAGTTTGAAGTTGGGTAGTGTAATGCCTCCAGCTTTGTTCTTTTCCTTAGGATTGTGTTGGCTATTTGAGATCTTTTTGGGTTCTATATGAATTTTAAAATAATTTTTTTCTAGTTCTGTGAAAAATGTCATTGGTAGTTTAATAGAAGTAGCATTGAATCTATAAATTGCTTTGGGCAGTATGACCATTTTAACAATATTGAGTCTATCCATAAGTATGGAATGTTTTTCCATTTGTTTGTGTTATTTCTGATTCCTTTCAGCAGTGTTTTGTAGTTTTCATTGCAGAGATCTTTCACATATCTGGTTAGTTGCATTTCTAGGTTTTTATTTTATTTTATTTTATTTTATTTCATTTTATTTTATGGCAATTGTGAATGGGATCACATTCCTGATTTGGCTCTCAGCTTGACTGTTGTTGCTGCATAGGAATGCTAGTAATTTTTGCACATTGATTTTTGTATCCTGAGACTTTGCTGAGGTTGTTTATCAGATTAAGAAGCTTTTGGGCCAACACTATAAGATTGTCTGGATATAGGATTACATTGTCTACAAACAGGGATAGTTTGACTTCCTCTCTTCCTATTTGGATGCCTTTTATTTCTTTCTCTTGCGTGATTGTTCCCACTGGTATTTCCAGTACTATGTTGAATAAGAATGGTAAGAAAGGGCATCCTTGTCTTGTTCCTCATTTCAAGGGGAATGCTTACAGCTTTTGCCCCTTCAGTAAGATGTTGGCTGTGGGATTTTGGAGATGGTCCTTATTATTTTGAGGTATGTTCCTTCAATGCCTAGTTTGTTGAGGGTTTTAACATGAAAGGGAGTTGAATCTTACTGAAACTCTTTTCTGAATCTATTGAGATGGTCATGTAGTTTTTGGTTTCGGTTCTGTTTATGTGGTGAATCATATTTATTGATTTTCCAGGGATAAAGCCTACTTGATCATGGTGAATAAGCTTTTTGATGTGCTACTGTATTCTGTTTGCCATTACTTAGTAGAAGATTTTTTCATCTATATTCATCAAGGATATAGGCATGAAGTGTTTTTTTAAATTTATTTTTATTATTATTTTTCTTTTTGGTTATGTCTCTGCCAGGTTTTGGTATCAGGATAATGCTGGCCTCATACAATGAGTTAGAGAGCAGTTTCTCTTCCTCAATTTTTTGGAATAGTTTCAGCAGGAATGATACCAGCTCTTCTTTGTGCATCTGGCAGAATTTAGCTGTGATTCCATCTGGTCCTGGGCTTTTTCTTGGTTGGTGGGCTATTTATTACTGACTCAACTTCAGAGCTTGTTATTGGTCTGTTCAGGGATTCAATTTCTTACTGGTTCAGTCTTGGGAGGGTGTATGCATCCAGGAATTCATCCATTTCTTCTAGATTTTCTAGTTTATTTGCATAAGGTTGCTCATAATATTCTCCGATGATTATTTGTATTTCTGTACAGTTAGTGGTAATATCCTCCTTGTCATTTCTGATTGTGTTTATCTGGATCTTCTCTCTTTTCTTATTTATTATTCTAGCTAGTGGTCTATTTTAGTATTTTTTTCAAAAAAAAAAATCAGCTCCTGGATTTGGTGATCTTTTGAATGGTTTTTTGTGTCTCAATCTCCTTCAGTTTGGCTCTAATTTTTGGTTATTCCTTGTCTTCTGCTAGCTTTGAGGTTAGTTTTCACTTGGTTCTCAAGTTCTTTAATTGTGATGTTAGGTTGTTAACTTGAGAGCTTTCTAACTTTTTGATGTGGGCATTTAGTGCTATACATTTCCCTCTCAACACTGCCTTAGCTGTGTTCCAGAGATTCTGGTATGTTATGTCTTTGTTCTCATTAGTTTCAAAGAATTTATTGGTTTCTGCCTTAATTCCATTATTTACCCAAAAGTCATTCAGGAGCAGGTTATTAAATTTCCATGATTCTATGGTTTTGAGTGAATTTCTTAGTCTTAATTTCTAATTTGATTACACTGTGGTCCAACAGATTGTTTGTTATGATTTCAGTTATTTTGCATTTGCTGAGGAGTGTTTTACTTTGGATTATGTGATTGATTTTAGAGTATTTGCCATGTGGCGATGAGAAAAATGTATATTCTATTGTTGTTGTGTGGAGAGTTCTGTCAATGTCAGCAGGTTCATTTGATCCAGTGCTGAGTTCAGGTCCTGAATATCTTAGTTAATTTTCTGTCTCAATGATCTAATATTGTCAATGAGGTGTTAAATTCTCCAAAACTATTATTGTATGGGAGTGTAAATATCTTTAAAGTTGAGAACTTGTTTTATGAATCTGGGTCCTCCTCCTATATGTAGGATAGTCAGGTCTTCTTGTTGAATTGAACCCTTTACCATTAATGCCCTTCTTTGTCTTTTTAAAATTTTTGTTGGTTTAAAGTCTGTTTGTCTGAAAGTATAATTGTAATCCCTGCTTTTTTTCTGTTTTCCATTTGCTTGGTAGATTTTTCTTCATCTCTCTATTTTGAGCCTATGTCTGCAATTGCATGTGAGATGGGTCTCTTGAAGACAGCATGCAAATAAGTCTTGGTTCTTTATCTAGCTTGCCACACTGTGCCTTTTAACTGGGGCATCTAACACATTTACATTCAAGGTTACTATTGATACATGTGGATTTGCTCCTGTCATCATGATATTAGCTGGTTATTTTGCAGATTTGTTTGTGGTTCCTTTACAGTGTCACTGGTCTGTGTACTTCAGTGTGTTTTGTTGTGGCTGGTAACAGCCTTTCCTTTCCATATTTAGTACTTCCTTTAGGAGTTCTTGTAAGGCAGGCCTGGTGGTAACAAATTCCCTCAGCATTTGCTTGTCTGAAAGGATCTTATTTTTCCTTCACTTATGAAGCTTAGTTTCTGGATATGAAATTCTGGGTTGGAATTTCTTTCCTTCAAGAATGTTTAATACTGGCCCCCAATCTCTTCTGGCTTATAGGGTTTCAGCTGAGAGGTCCACTGTTAATCTGGTAGGCTTCCCTTTGTAGTTGACCTGAACTTTCTGTCTAACTGCCTTTAACATTTTCTTTTATTTTGTCCTTGGAGAATCTCATGAATATTTGTCTTGGGGATGATCCTTTTGTGAAGTATCTTACTGGGGGTTCTCTGAATTTGAATGTTGGCCTCTCTAGCTAGGTTGGGGAAGTTCTCTGGATGATATCCTGATATATGTTTTCCAAGTTGGTTTCATTCTCCCCCTCTCTTTCAGGGACACCAATGTGTTGTAGATTTGATCTCTACATAATCCCATATTTCTTGGAGGTTTTGTTCCTTCCTCTTCATTCTTTTTTTCTGCTCATGTCTGACTCTCTTGTTTCAGAAAACCAGTCTTTGAGTTCTGAGATTTTTTTCCCACTGTTTGGTCTGTTCTGCTATTAATAGTTGTCATTGCATTATGACTTGTGGTATGTTTTTCAGCACTATCAGGTTGGTTATGTTCTTTTTTATACTGGCTATTTTGTCTGTCAGCTTCTGCATTGTTTTATCATCATTTTTAGCTTCCTTGGACTGAGTTTCAACATATTCCTGTAGCTCAGTGATCTTCATTCCTATCCATGTTCTGAATTCTATTTGTGTCATATCAACCATCTCTTCTGGTTCTGAACCCTTGCTTGAGAGGTGATGAGGTAATTTGGAGGAAAGAAAGCACTCTGGCTTTTTGAATTGTCAGGGTTCTTATGCTGGTTCTTTCTCATCCTTGTGGGCTTATGTTCTTTCAATCCTTGAGGTTGCTGACCTTTGAATGTTTTTTTTTCTTTTATTCTATTTGATGTCCTTGAGGGTTTGCTCATAGTATAAGGTATATTCAGCTGACTGGTTTCATTTCTGGAAGATTTTACAGAGCCGAGGCTCAGATTCCAATTCCTGTACTATGTGTTCTAACTCTGGGGGACTTGTGTTGGGCTCCAACTTCGTTTTCTGGCTCCTCAAAGTTAGAAACCCACTGCAGTGGGATTGAGGGGGTGGTGGTGGTCAAGGTGCTCCCAGACTCCGAGACCACTGGTCACTACATTCCAGTGCGTGGTGTCTATAGAGTCCAGCCCCACAGAGTCGGTGGGTTTCTCCCCATGTGCAGAGATGAGAGAGCGTACAAATAAAGACAAAAGACAAAGAGATAAAAGAAAAGACAACTAGGCCCGGGGGACCACTACCACCAAGATGCAGAGACCGGTAGTGCCCAGAATGCCAGGCTGCGCTGATAATTATTGGATACAAGACAAAGGGGCAGGATAAGGAGTGTGAACCATCTCCAGTGATAGGTAAGGCCACATGGGTCACGTGTCCACTGGACGGGGGCCCTTCCCTGCCTGGCAGCCAAGGCAGAGAGAGAGAGGAGAAAGAGAGAGACAGCTTACACCATTATTTCTGCTTATTAGAGACTTTTAGTACTTTCACTAATTTGCTACTGCTATCTAAAAGGCAGAGCCAGGTGTACAGGATGGAACATGAAGGCAGACTAGGAGCATGACCACTGAAGCACAGCATCACAGGGAGATGGTTAGGCCTCCAGAAAACTGCAGGTGGGCCTGACTAATGTCAGGCCCTCCACAAGAGGTGGAGGAGTAGAGTCTTCTCTAAACTCCCCCAGGGAAAGGGAGACTTCCTTTCCTTGTCTGCTAAGTAGCAGGTGTTTTTCCTTGACACTAATGCTACCACTAGACCACGGTCCACTTGGTAACGGGCGTCATCCCAGACGCTGGCGTTACCGCTAGACCAAGGAGCCCTCTGGTGGCCCTGTCTGGGCATAACAGAAGGCTCACACTCTTGTCTTCTGGTCACTTCTCACTATGTCTCCTCAGCTCCTATCTCTGTATGGCCTGGTTTTTCCTAGGTTATGATTGTAGAGTGAGGATTATTATAATATTGGAATAAAGAGTAATTACTACAAACTAATGATTAATGATATTCATATAAAATCGTATCTAAGATCTATATCTAGTATAACTATTCTTATTTTATATATTTTATTATACTGGAACAGCTCGTGCCCTTGGTCTCTTGCCTTGGCACCTGGGTGGCTTGCTGCCCACAGTGTCAGCCAAAGCATTTGTAGTGCAGTTATAGTGGGATCCATTCTCATTCACAGGTACCAGCAGCAGTGGTAGTGGCAACTGCGGCAGGGTACTAGGGTGCCTGCCTCCCTGAGGGTATTCACCATAGTGGTGGAGGCAATGCAGCTAGGGGGAGCAGGGGCCCCTGCTGGTGAGGGTGTGCATGGCTGCACTGGTTGTGGTGTTGGCTTGGGAGCTGGATGCTGGCAGGTGCAGGTCTGTGAGCTTTCTCTGTGCCTCACAAGCATGAGTAATTGCTCAGGCCAGGGAGAGATCTGTTGTTTTCTGCACCTAGTTTCACTCCCACAGCAGTGTTAGTGCAAGGGCAGGGCACCGTCGGGGCAGAATTCGCTCTGTGCTCATCAAGGCTCCATCTGCAATGATGGTCAGCAGTGAGAGAGGGTCAGACTGCACTCTCGCGCTGCAGTGGCAGGGTAAGGTGCACACATACTGGTGAGATGGCAGGGCAAGGAAAGCAAAACCTGTCTGCAAAGATATGCACCAGCGAAGCAATGTTGGGAATTGCTGTGGGTCTCAGGGAAGCTGCAATGTGGGGAGGGAGTATGTGGGCTGTGAGGGCCACCCAGCTAGAGCTTTCCAGTCAGGCACAGTCCGCCAGCACAGAAACTATGATGTGGGCCCCCACGTGCCTGAGATTGCCCTGCAAGCAGGTGTGGCTAGGCTAGGGCCTTGGGGGAGGCCAGCAGAGCAAGGGGTGCTCAGGTTGGACCAGCCCCAACTGATGGGCAAGATTGCCCTACAGAGTTCAGGACTAACAGTTCCCCTGGGGCTAAAGTCTCCTATGGAAGTAAGTTGATCCAAGGGGGATGGGTGTCCCTGGCCATGCTCCACTACAGATGTTCCTGCTCCAAACCCTCTGTGCTCCACATCAGCTGGCTTGCTGCCCCTACCAGTTCTCTAAGTAGCCCTTCCTGCCAATTCAAGTGTCCATGGTGGTTGAGGGGTCTCCTCCTGGTGGGGTTCCAGAGGCCTATGGCAAGAATGTGTTGCTCCTTGCAAGTTCAACTCACCCATGCCCTCAGAGCCACTGGGGTCAAGGAAAGAGTCCGGGTGCACGGTAGCCCCATAGAGTGTTCCCAGGTTTCTCCCCACTTCAGCCCAGCTTCTGTGTCTTCCCTACATCATTTTTGGAGGGAAGTGGTAGGGGCAGCCTTCCCTCTGAAAATCTGTTAGGAGTATACCAGCTGTCTCTGTCCCTTGGTAGAAGCTATTCTACCTGGCTATGTCTAGTCAATCATCTTGCTGGGCTAACATTATCTTGTTGGGAGAGCTGGCTTTACAAAGACTAGTCAAGTAATAAGAAAAAAGTTTAAAAATCATAACACACACACACACAAAAAAACCCACTAATATAATCAGTCTGGTCTAAATACTGGTGCTAAACCATGAACCTACTGTTGAAGGTAACCAACTAAAGAAATCAAAAGACCATGTAGGAAACTGGTTGAGTCTTGAGTCCTGTTGTAGCCATTGGGTAAAATTTTATGACTGGGTTGAATTACAGCAGAGAATGTCCAGCTCTACAACAGGGACGATGAGTATAATTTGAACAAAAGATTATGTTAGAATTATGACTGAAAACATACTCGATTTCTATGAATTTATATAATTTTTGAAACATTCATGTCAACATGTACATAAATGTAACTAAAAGAAAATCTAGTATCACTTATTTGACGATGTTTTTATACAATTCACCAAATAAGCCTAGTCATCTCTACAAAATGAGAAATATGTCTTTTAAGGTTTTCCAGGAGCCTAACTGAAAAAATCTCAAAGTTAATTTTAGGTCAAAAAGTCTTAAAATAGGATTTGACCTGGGAGACATTTGTCAAAGATGTTAAAAGGTTCAAAACAGAATCACAGGTTGCTGTGAAATAACAGTTATTCATTTAACCAGTGTCATAATCAAAAGACTTCAAAAGCAATAAGAAAGTCACATGGATTTAGAAACCTTAACCCTTTTAAAACTCATTTTTTTTTAAGTAATCAAAAGCCTAATAAAGGTAACATAGAAAGTTAGTTTGCTAAAACATAAAATCTTTGTTTCTTAGACTCGCTACCAAAAACGTAAAGAAAGCCCTCTTCGGTGTGATTGTTTTTCATTATGGGAAGCTCATTCAGATAACGTGGAAGTTGAACCTGATGAAAAGGGAACTTGAATGTCATGAAACACAGGAAGAATATGTCCAAGGTTATAAGTATACACTATATTATAGAGGAATATAAACAAGAAAACTAGTACCTTGAGCAGGGAACTACATGGTTCTTAGTAACAGCATGCTGTTACTTACCACAGTAACTTTTCTGGTTATATGGAAAAATTCAGACATATCAAGAAAAGCCAAGAGCACAAAATTAAGTTATACTGGAGAAAAACGCTGCTTTTCTACGCCTTCAAGATAAATATTCTAATGTCAGGCCAAAACAGCAATGTTAGAACCAAAAAAAGCCAAAGAGGAGAATGATCATCTCAGGCCTTCTCCAGGGGAGAAAAAAATGAAGGAAATGACATATTGACCTGCAAATCATGTACAGCAAGAAACTGTAAAAGATGAACTTCTGCAATATGAATTTGAGAAATAAAAAAAAAAAAACAACTGTACCTCAAGGAATGAAATTACCACTTTAAATCAAGAAGACAACATTTTTAACCCAAAACTAGGAAAATTAAATAGATGTCAAGGAGAAGATACCTGTTTAAAAACAGAGTATAAATTTAAAAATCAAAACCCCTTAAAATTTTATTAAAATCAGATAATACTTCAAGAAATCTTGTTGTTTTAAATATAAGGAACCAGACTCTGGTTCTGTATCAGTGCCTGTCCCCTGGTCCCCTACCTGAGAACGTTTAATTTTTAGAAAAACACACAAACAATTTGTTTTTAATTCCAGCCAAGTCAATAACACATAAAACTTCTTTTATTAGCTCATCCTTTATTAGTCCTCTTCAACTTTAGACCTTTTATTTTCCTAACCCCTACCTCTTAGTCCTATAATTTTTCTTTTTTTAAAAATGTGGGATAACCAATCATTTTATCTTATCTGACTATGATACAGACATTTATTTTGTATATATGATTTAACATAAAATTTTAAGACTTTAAATTACATGAGTTCATTTATAAACATTTATTTCATTTACAGTTAATTTATTTTTTAACAATTATACCTATATTTCTTACAAAAATTGAGATATTAGATGGAGCTGGTCATTATTTCAAGTTTTTTTAAATTAAATAATTATATAGCCTGTTAACATGAGGTGTTTACCCACATAAGAGCCATAAAGTTAAATACATGGGTATCTGTAGATAACTCAGAAAATACAACTTTTGTTTTTTTCCTTACAGGCAAAGGCTCACTCTGTTGCCCAGGCTAGAGTGCAGTGGTGTGATCATAGCTCACTCTAGCCTTGAACTCTGGGCTCAAGGGATCCCCCCTCCTCAGCCTTAAGAGTAGCTGGGATCACAGGCACATGCCTGGCTAATTTTTAAATTTTTTTATGGAGATTGGGTCTTGTTATGTTACCCAGGCTGATCTCAAACTCCTGGGCTCAAGTGATCCTCCCACCTTGGCCTCTCCAAGTTTTAGCATTGCAGGTGGGAGTCACTACCCAGCCACAGCTGTTTTTGTTAAATAATATTAAATTAATCTTATTTATCAAAGAATTGCATAAATATATATCACTTTGCTTTAGGCCTGGTTTATAGCTTCATGACCTTAATAGCACAGGCAAATATAAAACTGACCAGTGCTGGTGCTCAGAAACTGATATGCCAAAACATGGTATTTGACACGCTAAACTAAAGAAGCCTCAAGGTCTCTCTGACTTTTCCTCCAACCCCACCATCCTTCCCAAAGAAGCTGAAGTTCCTTTATCTGCCTAACAACCAGACCCACCAAGGAGAGCAATTGTTGGTTCTCCTCCTCCTGTTATCTCATCTGTTAAAGAAAAGAAGACCAAAATGTAACCACACCCAAGCAGACCTTTATAGAAGTACAATGACTGCCTCCAAGGATTATTTAAATTCCAAAGAAAACTATTTACAAGTTAATATCTGTTGCTCAATCCAATCATTCTCTCACCAATCATTCATTGCCCCTCAATAAATTCCTCTTCTCCTCCCATAATCTGTTTTACCAGAATCCAAGCCCCCCATTCTTTCTGTAATTTCAAGACTAGTGTATAAACTTCTATAACTCATTGAGAAGTTGGGTCTTTATTCTGAAAGCTCCTGTGTATACACATTAAATACATTTGTATGTCTTTTCTCTTACTAATCAATGTGGCCCATGTCAGTGATTTTCCAGCAAATCTTTGGGGGGCTGAGAGCCATAGCCCCCACACCAGTAAACACAGGCAAAAATATATATTGACAATTAGAAAGACGTTTTTAATTTTATTTTATCAACAATTTTAAAACCAATTACTTTTTTAAAGATTAAGTTACATGAACTAAAAAAATTAGGTTAATTACTATGTTTTTGTGTGAGTGCCCATCTATTTAAACCAATCAGATTAACATTTCTTAAGGGATTTTTGGCCTACCACACTGAATTTTATTATGTAGACATAACATACAACATAATACATGTACATATGTGTAAATATATTTAAACAAATATACACATAAAGGTCTTCTAGCTTTTATTTTAGAATTTTAGTTGTGAGATAGTAAAACATATAAACTTGCTGGTTTATAGAGAACAGTTGGATCCAAATTATTTTTCTGGTAAAATGAGATAAAGGCTATGAATCAAATTTTGGTAAAACAGTTTGAGTTAATTACCAGTGCAGGGACCAAAGGGAAACTTCAGTGAAGGCTCACTGAAAAATCAACCTGCAAAAGGCAGATTAATTGGAGAAAAAGCATACAAATGTATTTAATATGTATACATGGGAGCCTGCAGAATGATGACCCAAGCATATAGAGGAAATTGTCTATTTTTAACTTAGGATTAATAAAATATAGACAGCAATGTAGAAATATGATTGGACAGAAAGAGTATGAGCTAATGCCAATAAAATGAGTGGGGAAACCCAGTGAAAAAAGCCAAACTCTGTAAAATATTTAGAGGTTTATTCTGAGCCAAATATGAGTGACCACGGCCTGTGACACAGCATCAGGAGGTCCTGAGAACATGTGTCCAAGGTGTTTGGACTATAGTTTTCTTTTATACATTTTAGGAAGACAGAAGATACAGGCAAAAACATCAGTCAATATATGTAAGGTATACATTGGTTTGACCTGGAAAGCCGGTACATTTTGGAGGAGGAGGGGTTTGGCCAGTGGTGGCAGGAGGGAGGTTGTGGAAGCCAGGGTTCTTGTTACATATGTGAAGCCTGTAATATGCTTCAGAAAGAATAGATGGCATATGTACCTCAAAAGGTAAATGACCTTAAACGGTGTCAGACTCTTAGTTAAATCTCTCCCGGATCAGAGAAAGACCTGGAAAGGGAAGGAGATTGTCCACAGAACACAAATTTCCCTCGCAAAAGATAGCTTTGCACAGGACCATTCCAAAATATGTCAGAAATATATTTTGGGGTAAAATACTTTGATCGCCCTTAGGGCTGCTACCTGTCATGTGATGCTATACCAGAATCAGGTTGGAATTTGTTTTGAGACAGGTTCTCACTTTGTTGCTCAGATTGGAGTACAGTGGCTGTGATCACGGCTCACTGCAGCCTCGATCTCCTTGATGTGGGAGGCTCAAGTGATCCTCCCACATCAGCCTCCCAAATAGCTGGGACTACAGGCGGCCACCACCACACTGGGCTAAATTTTTTTAAAGTAGAGACAAGTTCTCCCCATGTTGCCCAGGCTGGTCTCTAACTCCTGGCCTCAACCTCCTTATTCTCTAGGATTACAGGCGCCAGGCTAGACCTCACAGGTCTTTAGACTTCTACGCACCAGGTACCTGGTAGGGGGAGGGATTATAGTGGCAGAAGAGCAGTACCAGTGGCCCACACCACACACCCTGGCCTCAGCTGGCTGGGGCACACAAAACCAGGTGCTACCGTCAACGACTAGGCCCATAGGGTACTGCTGTCAAAACCTGCTGCCAACAACTTCCACACACTCCCCAAAACGCTCGGTAGGCGGTGGTGCGCAGCTTTCAATGCATCCGCCGCCAGGCGCTCACAGGCAAGGGAGAAAGAAGCCAGACGGAGCTCGGAGATGTGGAGGGCAGACGCAGGCGCATTTGGAAAAGGGACTGGCGGTGGGAGGCGCAGAGGGAAAAAGGAACGACACAATCGGGCTTCCTAGCCGCTGGCGGACCCGATGGGGCGTCCTGCGAGGGTTCGGCGAGGGTTCTGCCAGGATAGTAGCATTGCGCCCAAGGAGTGAGAGGCACCCGGGGCTACTGGAGCCAGACCCTCAACCCGCCCTAGTGGGAGGCGAAGAACAACGAAAGCCTCGTATTCCCATTTCTCTAATGGCTAATGACATTAAAGGTTTTCATATGGTTATTTGCCATCTGCATATCTTCAGTGAAGTGTCTGTTTATGTCTTCTGACTATTTTCTAATTGGATTTTTAAAAATAATTGATTTTTGAGTTATTTACATATTCTAGATACTGGTTGTATGCCAGATATATGGCTTGTAAATATTTTCTCCTAGGTAAACCTTTTCAGTATCGTTACAGGGTCTTTCACAAAGCAAAAGTTTTAAATTTATGGAGTCTAATTCATCAACATTTCTTTTTACCGGTCTTGCCACTAATGTCAATTTAAGAACCTTTTGCCTAGCCTTAGACAATAGTTTGTTGTTTTTTAAAACCGTTTTGTAATTTTACTCGTCACAGTTATATCTAGCCACTTAATTTTTATGTAAGGGTTATTTTTGGCGGGGGGGAATCTATAGATGTCCTGTCTTTTCAGTATCATTTGTGGAAAAGATTATCTGTCCTGCATTAAACTGCTTTTGGACTTTCGTCTAAAATCAGTTGGACCGGTTTTTGTTGGCAAAGTTTTGCCTGAAGCTTATTCCAACAGGTGAGAAAAAGTCCACAGTTTAACAGTTCCTCCCCAACCTGTAACCCCGCCTTGAACTTCTGGACTAGCCCCTCGATTGTTGTAGATGCCAAGCGGACCTCGCGCCGCTCTGCGTTGGGCCAGCCCCTCACAGCTGGTTTCTTACCACGTATTGCGCAAGCGGAATCTATGCCTGTTACCCACACTCCCTGCGCCCCCGCACCCCGCTCCTGTGCGCAAGTCGGAATATAAAACCGCGGAGGAGTGAGCTCTTGGGGTGTCCAGTTGGTTGCCGCGGCAGTCTCTCCGAGCAGCGCATTTGTCTTCTAGGCTGCTTGGTTCGTGCCTCCGAGAAAGGTAAGTCTTTCTTTCGCTTTTTTAGGGGTACTTGAAAACAACAAGTGTCAGACAAAGCAGCAGATGCTGTTGCGCAGTAGAAGTTTATGGGCGAGTTGTCCCTGAAACTGGAACCAGGTCTTTCTTGGCGCGATTACGCAAGAACCACCCGCAGCCCTGCGGGCTCCTGGCAGGTCCTGCAACTGCACTTTGGATAGTCCCGTTGGGAAGCTAGCACTTTTTAATATAGAAGAACGAGGTTTGATAAGTGTGCGAGCTTAAAGGTTGACACAGTGTCCACTATTACAGCTGCGTAGGTAGCTAGTGTTCAGGAAGTAATAGTGGAGTCATGTAGTGTGAAAGTAAGATTGAAATGGGCGAGGAGGGTAGCAGCCGCCACAGCCACCAGAGAGAAACCTGACCTTGCAGGTGCGTGGTGATGTCCATGAGCCAGGCTGGTGCCGCAACAGCAGCGGCGGGACCTTGAGCTCCGCACGGCCGCTGGGTTTGGACGCCCTCTGGTTCCTGGAAACTTTCACCTCCCCCTCAGCCTGAGGCCAGGTGGCCTGGGAAGGTGGAAGGAGTGTGGAGGGGAGTGGGGGGGGGGGTCCACTGCCTGAGAATGAGAATTCTCTTCACATCTGGAAACTTCAGTTATCACGTGTGTCCTTTACCAATTTTTTTTCTTTTATTTTCTTTTTGATAGAGACGGCGGTCTCCCTATGTTACCCAGGCTAGTCTTGAACTCCTGTGCTTAAGCGATCCTCCCACCTTGACTTCCCAAAGTGCTGGAATTACAGGCATGAGCCAATGCGCCCGGCTGCTTTACCAATTTTCTATGAATGAATTTGTACATACATCCCCTAGAGCAGGAAGTAATGTAAAACAGAATAATTAGTAATGCACATTTCCTAATGTGGGATGTTGGTGGCCAAGAGATATTTGGTCTTTACTGGAACTCTTGATACTAACATGGAGTTTATAATAGTTGTGGAGAGTGCAGACAAGGCTAGGATTTCTGTGACTAGAGAACTCTTAGTGCGTGAAGACCTAAGGAAAGCTGGATTGTTGATTTTTGTTAATAAATAAGATGTGAAAGATTGCATCACTGTAGCAGAAATCTCCTAGTTTTTTAAGCTAAATTCTATTAAAGGTCATCATTGCTAAAGGAATTGTGCCCAGGATTTGGATAGCTGATGTCATTACTTAATATTAGATGATATCAACTAACCACATCTCATAGACTGGAATAAAGTGCTAGATTTTACCTGAAAGCTGCAAAAATGAATGGTTTAGATATATGTATGTATTTATTTTATATCAATTTCAAATATTTACTGTATTAACCTCCCTGGCCCCCTTTAATCAAGAATATAAAATCATCTACTTAAATTTTGCCACTTAAGTTTAGAACACTCTTAGAATCACACTATCTTAAAGAAGCCAGACTAGAATTAGAAGCAAGTTAAGTCTGAAGATATAACAACCAGCAACAACATTTTTTTTTTTCAAATGAAAACTCTAATATGGGGTGGGTATGTTGTGTCACACCTGTAATCCCAACACTTTGGGAGGCTGATGCAGGAGGATCACTTGAACACAGGAGTTCAAGACCAGCCTGGACAACATAGCAAAACCCTGTCCCTACAAAAAATAAGAAAATTAGCTGGGCATGGTGTCACATGCCTGTAGTCCCAGCTACTCGGGAGGCTGAGGTGAGAGGATTGATTGATCCCAGGAGGTTGAGGCTGCAGTGAGTCATGATCGCATGACTGCACTCCAACCTGAGGGACAGAGCAAGACCCTGACTCAAAAAAAAAAAACAAAAAAAAAAAAACCACCACCAAAACTCTAATATGGACATATTACTCTCTCATGGGACTTGCACATTCTAAAAAGGGTCCTTTTCCCCAGTACTGGGAGAGTATGTGTTCAACTACGCAGCCAGCAAGACAGGCTAGTTTATATAGGGAGTGTGCTATTCACAAAAAGCCTCTCTTCTCTTTCTGGTATTGTACATGACACAATCATAGCTGTACCTGAAGAGAAGTGCATTTTAAGGACCATCATCACCTAGAAACATGTATAAATTTCTATACCTAGTGCCACAGGAATGACATTGCCTTGTACTATTCCTACCTCTGTCCAGAGGCCAGCTATGTGGTCTGTCTGCATGGTGCCTAGAACTTTTTCCATCTGACCTAGGATGCTTCTGAAGCAGTCCCCCTGGGCAGCTGTCTGGTATTTAGGATATACCTGTGAGAAAAGTTTCTTACAAACCTAATCTACTATGTTTATTCCTGAACTCAAAAAGTTCATTGACTGTTCAAATCCTGAAATTTTCTCTATTTCCATAAGGCTGAATTAAAAGTACTTTGTTAAAGGTAGTAGCCATGGCAAAAGAAAAACCACTGTTCTGTAGAAAAACTCATTCAATATTTACAATCTTTTCTAATCAGAGATTAGATCCTGAAGAGAAAGGTTCATATATATATATATATATATATATATATATATATTTTTTTTTTTTTTTTTTTTTTTTTTTTTTTACTCCACTGTCATTGTGACTAAGGATTCATGAACTAAGACCCCTCCCTCAGCTCTTGGTGGCACATGGTGACAGCATGCTCAGAGCAAAGGTGCTCCCCATGCCTCTTCTGGGGCTGCACTGACTGCAGGTACCTCCCCTCTCTACATCCCACACCACTGATACCAAAAACCCCCTCCTTTCTCCTGTACTGATGACTCTGTAGCTTTAACCAGGGCGGCGGTGTCACTCTAAATGTCACCTTGGCATTCAGCCCCATAGAGTGGGGAAAATTCCCTCACCTGTTTCTCTTTGACTGTTCAGTCCTCTTCAATTAAAATCTTAATTTTACAAGCGAGGAAATGAGAGTGTTTCTTGTAGGGGTGTAGTGAGAATTTAATAAAACAGTTTAAGGAAAGAAAACAAAAGGTAGTATTGCTGCACTTTCTAGATGGTAAAAAGCAAACCACCATGTCTGTTTAATATATATCACCTGCTGGTCCCTCGGTCTAGCAGGCTGAACTGTGTGCCTGGGAATTTTCTTCTCGCTGTGTGCACCCCTTTACGTCACAGGGTGGACTCTCTTCAGAGTCCTAGTGGAGCAGCTGGCCAGGCTGACATGATCTGACAACATTGTAGGTTACCACTACCATCTCTCACCGTCTCACTTTCTTCCTAGGGGTCTCCTGCTGCCAGCTAAGTGTGGGAGAACTTGTGCACGTATCTCCCCTCCGAATCCCAACGATGGGTAACGCCAGCTTTGGCTCCAAGGAACAGAAGCTGCTGAAGCGGTTGCGGCTTCTGCCCGCCCTGCTTATCCTCCGCGCCTTCAAGCCCCACAGGAAGATCAGAGATTACCGCGTCGTGGTAGTCGGCACCGCTGGTGTGGGGAAAAGTACGCTGCTGCACAAGTGGGCGAGCGGCAACTTCCGTCATGAGTACCTGCCGACCATTGAAAATACCTACTGCCAGTTGCTGGGCTGCAGCCACGGTGTGCTTTCCCTGCACATCACCGACAGCAAGAGTGGCGACGGCAACCGCGCTCTGCAGCGCCACGTTATAGCCCGGGGCCACGCCTTCGTCCTGGTCTACTCAGTCACCAAGAAGGAAACCCTGGAAGAGCTGAAGGCCTTCTATGAGCTGATCTGCAAGATCAAAGGTAACAACCTGCATAAGTTCCCCATCGTGCTGGTGGGCAATAAAAGTGATGACACCCACCGGGAGGTGGCCCTGAATGATGGTGCCACCTGTGCGATGGAGTGGAATTGCGCCTTCATGGAGATTTCAGCCAAGACCGATGTGAATGTGCAGGAGCTGTTCCACATGCTGCTGAATTACAAGAAAAAGCCCACCACCGGCCTCCAGGAGCCCGAGAAGAAATCCCAGATGCCCAACACCACTGAGAAGCTGCTTGACAAGTGCATAATCATGTGAGCCCTGGGCCTTAAGAGCCAGCTCTTCCTATCCTGTAGCGTGTAGAAAACGTGGACTCATTTCACTATGTTACATGTACATGGTTGATTTTGTGCTGTTGTTTGGACTGTAACATCCATGTTGTCAATACGTATACCTTGTAAGTGGATAACTTTTCTTTTTCCCAGGCCAGAGAATTCAAATTGTTAAAACATTGGCATTTGAAGAGGAGAACAAAATGTAGCATGATGTATTTAAAGTAAGGCCTTTAGTAATGAATGTAATGAGAGAAAATGTTTTGAAAAGAACAAAACATCAAAATGAATAGAAAGAAAAATTGGAAGGCGTCCTTTTGGTAACCCGATTATTGTGTATTACCTTTAAATATTTCACATCCTGTAAGTGCTTAATCATATCTTTTAATTGTGTATTTAAGAAAAGTGTTTTCACAACAAAAGCTTTTGATAAATTGCTGCGTGACATATACTAAATAAAAAAATGAATATGTTGATCATTAGGGGTGTGGGAGCAGAGAAAATTGTGAAAGTGACTCTCACTAAAGATGTTAGTAGTTTCTCATGTCATTTAAAAATGTTTGAGTATTCTGCATAGCAGTTTGTAAAAGTGTAACAGCTTATTGACTTAATAAAGCTTTTCCTGCATGCAATCAGCTGTAAGAATTTGTCTCACCAGAAAACAAAACATTGCCCATTGTATTAAAATTTAAACCATATCTGTTAAAAGTTTCCAATAAGAACTTCACACATGGATGTCCTTGCCATGTTGAAATTATCCAATATGGGAGGGGGGTGTTTTAGGGAGGTCTCTGCAATACAGAGCTGTTTTGTGTCTTTCCTGAACTGACATCCCGAAGAACTCCAGGCATCTTTGAGGAAGATGGTCACAGTGTTGCTGTCTCAGAGGAAGCGGGTGAAAAGCAAGCCTCTGCCTTCTGCCTCTTCCTATATTCTGAAATACTGGATATAGGCAATAGGGAGCAGAATGAAAGACAAGGGGAGGAATGATATTTGAGAGACTCCCCCATAAGGGAGTTTTTAAAGAGATTATATTTGAACATAATTTTTTGAGCGAGGGAATAAAGTATACATATCCTTGCTTTTGAGAGTTTTTTTTTTTTTTTTTAAATTGGGAGAGGTTCAGGGGAGGCTCTTAATCTAGTGATTTTTTTCCCCACAAAATATTATTGAACAAATATCTATTGAACAATGTATGTGTTTCTAGACGAGAAGCACATTGTTGAGAAGGAATCGTAAACATGATTTTTTTTTTTTTTTTTTGAGACGGAGTCTCTTTCGCCCAGGCTGGACTGCAGTGGCGCTGTCTCGGCTCACTACAAGCTCCGCCTCCCGGGTTCACGCCATTCTCCTGCCTCAGCCTCCGAGTAGCTGGGACTACAGGCGCCCGCCACCACTCCCGGCTAATTTTTTCTATTTTTAGTAGAGACGGGATTTCACCGTGTTAGCCAGGATGGTCTCGATCTCCTGACCTCGTGATCCGCCTGCCTCGGCCTCCCAAAGTGCTGGGATTACAGGCATGAGCCACTGCGCCCGGCCGTAAACATGATTTCATGGTACTATAGACATTTTCAAGCTTAGAAGATCTATTCAGTGGCTCGTTTTTAAATAATTATTTTAAAATTTCCCTATTCATTTTCATAGCAATTATTCTCAACCACTTGGAAAATACCCAAATGGTTCTACCATATAGCTTCTTATGAATTCTGTTCCTAAAAACCAATTCTTTGCTGAAGTACCTAATGTAGTAAATCTACTTCTAAAAGAAACTACTCTACCTTGGTTATTCTCCAGGGTAATTCTCCTTCAAAATGTATTGCATTTATTGTTGCTCCTAATAGGTGAGCAAACGGATTATTAAATTCAAGTGGCAAATACTAACCTTGAGAAAAGGAAGAACATGTTTTTAATGTTACAAGTAATAGTTTAAAAAAGAATTTTTGTTCCTGGGGTAACACCTTTATATAAGTAGGTAGTTGAGAATGATTTTATTTTCCATTAAAACTTGTGCTAAATGACAGGATTTTACCCCTCTACTTCTATCTTTGCCCAAATAGGAAAAATATAATCAGAATAATTACATTTTTAAAGACAATCTAATTACAACGTTTTTCCCTCCCAATAACCAACTAAACACATCAAAGGTCTCTTATGTTTCAGTTCAAATCAAATAACATGCATTAACTTTACAGTTCTCTGACTTCTAAATACCTTTGCTCTTGCTACTTCTGAGCCCTAAACACTTATCAACAGGTTGGATTTCAGCCAGGGAATCAGAATATTTTTGGATCATCCAATATCAGCTCGCCACCTAGACATACTTAGATATACTATAATTTCTTTCTTCCCAGGATGCTTAAGAAACAGTTTCATTTTCATGACCAGCAAGGGGTTCAGGAAGCATCCTACCACAGGGTCCCTGGAAATGAAACCTGAATCTTCTCATGGCTGAGGTGGTCTCCATGTTAAATTCGGTCACTGGCACTCCCTTGGCAGACATCTGGTGGGCAAACACAGCTGCGGGGTACACCACAGGGGGAGTATGTGCCACTAGACATAGTCACAAGGGTGAGCTGTCTGTCAACCTCCTCCAGAAAGGCGGGATCCAAGTTTTTGCCAAACCACAGGGCGTGAGGTTGCGGCAAGCCCCTGCTCTCTGCCTCTCACACCCGGCAAGTTTCCCAACTGGGATTCTGGCATCTTGAGTTCCAGGTCCTGGGGCACCTTCTCCTGATAAAGGTGGACCAACCGACTCTCATAATTCTCAGACACGACTCCACAAGAGGTACATGGAGTTTAAATAAGCTACAGTGGATTTCCAGAAGGTTCTTGGCGCCAGCCTTGGGTGCCGCCCATGGATATTCTGTCATGATCATGCCCTGGCGGCCCTGTCCGCCCAGCAGGGCATCACATTCGATGGTGGCGAGGTGCGGACTGGGCTCCTGCTCGGCCTGACCTCTCACCCGCAGTGGGGAGCTCCCACACCCAGAAAAGCGTGGGCAGAGGACAGAGGAGCTGCCAGGGCCTGGACTGACATTTTCCCCATGACCTCCGGCTTGTCTGAAGGGTGGAACCCCACTTACCGCAATAACATCAGCCCCTGAAATGACGACCACGTGCTTTGCTTTTGCAAAAAACTTCCGAAAATCTGCCATACTTGAACTGAGAGGAACCATTGTCTGGAAAATCTTGGTTTCTGTGGTGGCTGGAGGCTTCAGGCCACAAACAGCTGGGAAATTAATGGACTCGGGACAATGTGGAGAGGTTAGCAGGTTTTCTTACAGTTCTGATTCATTCATTCATTCATTCATTCATTCATTCAGAGACAGGGTCTCACCTTGTTGCCCAGGCTGAAGTGCAGTGGCACAGTCTTGGCTCACTGCAGCCTCCACCTCCCAGGCTCAAGCAATCCTTCCACCTCAGCCTCCCAAGTAGCTGGGATTACAGCCACCATTCCTGGATACTTTTTGTATTTTTTGTAGAGATGGGGTTTCTGCATGTTGCCCAGGCTGGTCTGGAACTCCTGGGCTCACGCAATCTCCCTGCCTCAGCCTCCCAAGTGCTGGGATTCCAGGCATGAGCCACTCTGCCCAGCAGTGGTTCTGATTCTTGCGTGGGCAGCAGGAGGTGGGGGTGGGGTGGAGCAGCTCAAAGTCCTGCCCCCAAATAAAAATATTTTAACATAGCAAATATTTATAATCTACACGCCAATGTTTCTGAACTGTAGAACGTATATAATCTTTCTACACGTTGACATGCTCTTACTTTAATCCTCACAACTATCCAATAAAAAAGTTACTGTTATGCCTGTGTTACAGATGGGGGGACACTGATAAATGTCACAAAACCGGTAAGTAGCAGAGCCAGGATTTGAACCCAACTGTTCTGCTCCAGGTCAGGGCTCTTGACCACTGTAGTACATTTCTTTTTTTTTTTTTTTTTTGAGATGGAGTCTGGCTTTGTCGCCCATGCTGGAGTGCAGTGGTGCGATCTCGGCTCACTGCAAGCTCCGCCTCCCGGGTTCACACCATTCTCCTGCCTCAGCATCCCGAGTAGCTGGGACTACAGGTGCCGCCACCACGCCCTGCTAATTTTTTGTATTTTTAGTAGAGAAGGGGTTTCACCGTATTAGCCAGGATGGTCTCAATCTCTTGACCTCGTGATCCGCCCACCTCGGCCTCCCGAAGTGCTGGGATTACAGGCGTGAGCCACCGCTCCCCGCCTGTAGTACACTTCTTCTCCAAGATGACTAGTCAAAGGGCGGAGGAGCTCACCTTTCTGTTCTCTATTCATATTATGCCAGGATGGAAAATGAACCTTCCTCAGAGTTTCTCCCGAATCCCAGATGGGAGGCAAAGAAGCAAGTCAACAATTTAACATGCATAGGGTGTTTTAGAAACAGGGAAGATAAGCACCTTTAATGAGGAGTGGGAAATATTTTCCCTGAAGAGATTACGTGACTGGAATCTTGTAGGTCTAGTAGGGTTGGTTTAGGTAGGGTGGGTGCAGGTGAGGGAAGGAGAGGAAGATATTTCATACTTCAGGCAGACAGGACAGTGAACAAAATCACAGACAAAATGTAGGGTCTGAGAGATCACAGCATGATTCCAGACATGGATGGAGGAAATTGTGGAAGACGAGCTGGAGAAATTAGAGTTAGAATTCATTCTTTAGAGCTAATGAGGAATTAGGAAGGGATTTAGGCAGACTTGATTATACTTGCATTTTGAAAAGATCATTCTAGAGCCTCTGTGGGAATGGAGAAAGACAGGTAGACCAATTAGAAAACTATTAGAATCATCCAGGAATGAGATTTTGAACAAATGCTTTAGCCATTGCCAGAGGGAACAGAGACAAGGGGATGGACTTGAGAATTATTTAGCAGGGAGAATGGCCAAAGTTTGGTGATGTGTTGGAGTTTAGAATAAAGGGAGAAACAAGGTGACTGCCATATTTCTGAGTGGGATTCCTGGGTGGGTCATGGGGTCATTGACCAAGTCCAGAAATGCACAAAGAAGGGTCAATTTGGGAGAAAATCTGTTTGCACATGCACATGTGGACAATAAATTACATTCTAGATAACAAAGTTGCAAGGTGTTTATGAGACAACCAGATGAAGGTTTCCAGTGCAAACTGGACTGGGATTAGAGACTTGAGACCATGATTTGTCAGTTTTCAACATATGGTGATGGTGAGGCTGTGGAGGAAGAGAAGAGGAGGTAAGATGAAAGTGTTTAGGGCAGAATCTTGGAGAACAGAAGCACTGAGCTACAGACAAAGAGGAAACAGTGAAGGGCACTTTGAAGTGACCAAAAGATAGGAGGAAACTCACAATGTACAGTAGTAAATACTGAGAGAGAAATGTGTTTCAAAGAAAAGCATGTAGTCCATCACAGCAAAAAAATAATAATATGAGGATTAGAAAGTCTTGTTCATACTCAGCAGAGATTTCTGGTCCCAGCCAAGAGAGAGAAGCCTCATTTCTCTCATATACTGTCTTACAACTAAAATAACCCTGGAAATAGCATAACAGATAAGCAAAGGAAAATACTTAAAGGTGGGAAAATGTGGGCGATTTAGGAACCTCAGCATGTAAGGAATGCTATGATAGTGAATTCTCTGGGTATCCTTATTGTGTCCGTGTATCCTGAATAGGACACTGCAGAAACCCCCAGGCTAGAACCACCAATAGGTGTACACGTGCATGAGCATGTGCATGCGTGTGCGCACACACACACACACACACACACAGGGCTGACAAAAGCATGTTTCCCCTAGCCAAGAAAGGACAAATTAACAAGAGAAAGTCTTTTTGGCAATATCTGTGCTACTCCAGTTAAACACCAATGGCAAAACCTCTTCTATTCTTCCTCCACCAAGAGGAAGATTGTCTTCCACCACACTGTACTCTTCCCTGAAGACGCAGATGCTAATGATTTGATTTCCTCTTCTGGTACTGTTACCAGCAGGACAGAATAGGAAACTATAGAGGCTGTCAACCTAAATGACAGTGAGAGGCTTTCTAAAAGAAAATTATGTTTATTTGGGAATAGAGTATTGCAAAGGGAATATACATGCAATAGTAAATTATTTGTATATTTGAATTAAAGGAAGACAAAGGTTTCTAAAGAAAAAAGAAATGAGGAGCATTACACAATTGTTCTTGAAATAATTATCCTTGGCTACAAAGATCAATGACAAGTATGACACCAGCCTGAGGTTGGACAGACAGTGCTGGTCATATGTCCTGCAGAAGTATTTTTTTGTGTGATTGTGATGGCCTTTGTGCCAGGTTGTGTTTTTTGTAGAGATTTTTTTCGGTTGTTATTATCAAGCATACAAGCATGAGAACCCTCTCTTCATGGCCTTCCCTAGCTCTTATTTGCCAGAGTTCTCTTAACTTTGGTGACACCATTTTGGCCCTGACAACTTTTGCAGGGCCAAGGAAAAACTTTCACCTTATCCTCTAAAAGTTTCCTGAAAATCAGTTGACAAATGGCAGACTAATAGCCAGAAATGCATACATATTTATTAATGTGCATGGGAGAGAATCACAGAGTGTTTATTAGTTTGTTTTCATGCTGATGATAAAGATATACCTGAGACTGGGTAATTTATAAAGAAAAAAGAGGCTCTATAGACTCCTAGTTCCATGTGGCCGGGGAGTCCTCACAATCATGGTGGAAGGCAAAAGGCACGTCTTTCTTGGTGGCAGGCAAGAGAGAATGAGAGCAAAGTGAAAAGGGAAACCCCTTATAAAACCATCAGACATCATGAGACTTATTCACTACTATGAGAACAGTATGGGGAAAACCACCCCATGATTCAATTATCTCCCACTAGGTCCCTCCCACAACACATGGGAATTATGGGAGCTATAATTCAAGATGAGATTTGGGTGGGGACACAGCCAAACCATATCAGAGTGGTTACTCCAACCCCCCAATGGGGCACAGAAGCTTATATACCCTTTGTCATAGAGCAGGGAGGAGACAGGGGCCCATCTTGCATTTGAAGGGAGGGAGAAATGAGACAAGTTAGAGAGACCTTGATTCTAGGGTTTATTTTTGAGTCCTCGCAATTCTTAAAAGCACTCAACATACTCAACTGCCATATTTTGGGAAATCATTTTCTGCACCACAACAGAGCTAATCCTCTATTTCAGATTCCTTCTATCCCTTCCTTGCTGGTAGGGTAGTGTGGTGGTAAGTGGTAGTATGGTAGCTTGGACCTGGCTCAGTGCTGAGCCTTAAAAAACAATGTCTTTTGACTAATAATCCAGTGTTGTTTTTGCCCCTACACCAGACTAACCCTCTAAGAGTTGTAAGACTTAGTCCTCACCTTCAAGTAGCATCATCAATCAGGAGTCAGAAGAGTCACATTTCATAATTTATTCCTAACTTTACAATTTTTTAGCCTTATATCTGAAATGAGCTGATTAGGTCGTTCATGCTCTGAATCCCTTTACAGGTTTGTGTCAGTGGCGTCAGTGAAAATGAATGAGGCTATGCAAGCTGGAGCTAGTTAATACTTCCCTCCCTCTCTCATCTCATCACTATGGCTCACTAAGGAGCTGAGCTAATACCCCAATAAGGCAGTACGAGTTTGCACCCACATTTTCTGAGAAGAGTTCTATAGGACTGAGAAGGAAGTTCAACTTTCAGTCCACCCTTCTGCAAAGAGGCAGTGTGAGCACACCACTTCCATTGAAAATACACACCCACTCGGCCCTCAAACTACATATCAGTGGAGATAATGCCTGGTAAAAAAGATTACATAGGATCTAGAGTCTTCCAAATGTCTAGAATACCACAGGAAATCACTTATCAAACTAAGAACCAAAACTAACTAAATAAATAAGTAAATAAAAATCACAGCTTAAATGAGAAAAGAAATGAACAGGCAACACC